>NC_000002.12:227489618-227792648 GCF_000001405.40 Homo sapiens | reverse complement strand
ATCTCTACAAAACAAAATTAAAATAGGTTGGGCACAGTGGCTCATGCCTATAATCCTACCACTTTGGGAGGCTGAGGTGGGAGGATCACCTGAGGCCAGGAATTAGAGACCAGCCTGGCCAACATGGTGAAACTCCATCTCTACTAAAAATACAAAAATTAACCAGGCATGGTGGCACACACCTGTAATCCCAGCTACTTGGGAGGCTGAGGCAGGAGAATTGCTTGAACCCAGGAAGCAGGGGTTGCAGTGAACCGAGATCATGCCACTGCACTCCAGCCTGAGCAACAGAGTGAGACTCCATCTCAAAAATAAATAAATAAAAATAAAAATTTAGCTGGGCATGGTGACACACATGTGTAGTCCCAACTATTCAAAAGGCTGAGGCAGGAGGAATACTTGAGACCAGAATTTCGAGGCTGCAGTGAGCTAGGATTAGGATACTCCAGCCTGGGTGGCTGAGTGAGACCCCATCTCTGATAAATACATGAATAAATAAGCTGGGTGCAGTGGCTCACACCTGTAATCCCAGCACTTTGGGAGGCCGAGGCGGGTGGATCACAAGGTCAGGAGATCGAGACCATCCTGGCTAACACGGTGAAACCCTGTCTCTACTAAAAATACAAAAGTTAGCAGGGCGTGGTGGCGGGTGCCTGTAGTCCCAGCTACTCGGGAGGCTGAGACAGGAGAATGGCGTGAACCTGGGAGGCGGAGCTTGCAGTGAGCCGAGTTTGTGCCACTGCACTCCAGCCTGGGCGACAGAGCAAGACTCCATCTCAAAAAAAAAATTAAAATTAAAAAAAAAATGAATAAATAAATAAATGTTAAGGAAAGCTATGATTCTAAGAAAATGAGTATCTTACCATGAAAGTCACTAGAGACTTTTCCACCCTAAAACTATGTGTTACTCAGGAATAGAAATTCAGAATCCCTTTTTTTTTTTTGGACGGAGGCTTTTTCTGTTGCCCAGGCTAGAGTGCAGTGGCATGATCTTGGCTCACTACAACTTCTGCCTCCCGGGGTCCAGCCATTCTCCTGCCTCAGCCTCCTGAGTAGCTGGGACTATAGGCACATGCCACCACACCCGGCTAATTTTTGTATTTTCAATAGAGGTGTGGTTTCACCACGTTGGCCAGGCTGGTCTCAAACTCTTGGCCTCAGGTAATCCTCCCACCTCGACCTCCCAAAGTGCTGGGATTACAGTGTGAGCCACCACACCCAGCCCAGAATCACTTTTAAAAAGATGATTTCAGTAATGAAAGCAGGTAACTCACAACACCGTGGAGCCTGGGTAGCACATGAAGCACCTTTATATAGTTCTCCTTCATTCATTTCTCTTACTCTGTATTTATTTTATTTTAATATCACTTCTGCTTTCTTTGGGGATTTAAGCTTTTTTTTTTCTCGCCTTCCTCCTCCCTCTTTTCTGTCTTCTCTCCCTTCCCACATGCTTTTCTTATTTCTTTTCAATAGGCCATTAGTTTTTACATATGAAATATGGTATATGATATTTTCCCCTCTTTCTGCTTCCTTTTGTCCTTCCCTGCTTTCTGTGCCAAATGTTAGTGTACATGAGTAGAATTTTACTTAACCAGCTCTAGAAAAATGTTGACCCTTTTACTTATTGATAAAAATGTATGTGTTTACTTTCAAACTGTACCTCTAATAGAAAAGACATTAGCAAGTTCTTCCACAAATTTTGGGAGTTTAGAATAAGTAGGTAGCATGAACGCATATGGCTAAAATGCCATTACAAATGAGAAAGCTTTTGTTTCAGCATGAAGGCAGCTAAGAAAATCATTCAGACACAAGTTTCTTCATCCCTCCAACTCCAAAGAAGTCCGACCTCCACAACACATAACAGAAGTAAGATACTAGGGCCAGGTGCAGTGTCTCATGCCTGTAATCTGGCATTTTGGGAGGCCGAGATGGGAGGATCACTGGAGGTCAGGAGTTCAAGACCAGCCTGGCCAACATAGTGAAACCTCATCTCTACTAAAAATACGAAAATTGGCTGGGCGTGGTGGTGCAAGCCTGTAGTTCCAGCTACTTGAGAAAGCTGAGGCAGGAGAATCGCTTGAACCTGGGAGGCAGAGGTTGTAATGAGCCGAGATCGCACCACTGCACTCCAGCCTGGGTGACAAAGCGAGACTCTGTCAAAAAAAAAAAAAAGAAGAAGATGAAGAAGGAGAAGGAGAAGGAGAAGAGGAAAGAGATTAAGTACAAGAATGCAGGGAATTACTTTGAGAAACTGGGAAGCTAACACTAATGAGAACTTTCAGTGAAGGAGGGGAGGAAAGGAGGAAAAGACTGAATGTGATGTTTCCTATAATTTATAGCAATAAAACACATTATAAGTACAGGAATCCCTTATTTCAGGAATTTTAACTATACCAAAATGTATAAATAAGAAATGACCACTCAAAGTTACCATGCCAATTACTCTATAGAATGTGAAAGATGCATCTTAGAGAAACACATAAACACACAGAAGCATTTGTTGAACATCTGCCGTGTGGTCAGATGGTCAGATTTGCCTGGAGGAAATAACGTAAGACCAGAAACCAGAAAGACTAAGTTCTAGGGTCATCTGGGTCACACACTAGCCGTGTGGCCCTGATCAAACAAAATTTTAGCCTCAGTTTCTGCATTTAAAAAGTGGGAATAAGCATGTATCCAAGTATGATTGGGAGGATTGGTGAGGTAATCCAAGTGAAAGTACCCTGTACAATGTAAAGTATGACTCAGACGCAAACTATTATTGATGATACCATTTCTACTGCACTAAGCAATATGGTCAAGACACAGACATAAGAGAAATAGTCTTGTGATTGAGCAGCTTATGATTTAGTTAGAAAGACAAAACAAAAATTCATGAGAAAGTCACAACAGCAAGCATTTATGTAGCAACTTACTGGCAGGCACTTTTATGTGTATTTTATGTATATTAATTTGTTTAATCATTACAATAATAATAGAAGTATCATCATGTATATTCTCTATTGTATATGTCACAATGACTATTATAATTCCCATTTAACAAGTGAGGAATCTGCTACAAAGTAAAATGAAGTAACTTGCCCAGAGTCACAGGAAGTAAGTGACAGAAATGAGATCTGAACTCAGTAGTAGAGAGAGAGAGAAAGAGAAAGAGAGGAGGAGGAGGAAGGGGAGGAGGAGAATAAGGAGAAGAAAAATAAATATAAAGAGGAAAATACGGTTCTAAATTCTGTGTTCCACATTTTATGTTATTAAAGGAGACATTATTCAGGTAACCAACAACCTAGCAGTGAACACTCACTCTAATGGAATATTCTCAGAGAAACAAAGATATATTAAAAACTATTCTCTTCCTTTAAAGAAGTTGGTGAATTATGAAGATACTACAAATAAAGTGTTAGAGTATGGGAATTTGACACAGGACATTTTACACAGAAGAAGAAATGAAGTTGTTCTCTTCTTTCCTTCTATTCTCTCAAGACTCGTCTGAATCATAAACAGCAACTAGGGTTTCTTTGACTAAGGAGAGAAAATATATTCTAGAAATGGAAGAGGGAGAACAATGTCCTAAGTAAATAAATAAACAAACAAAAACTTCCTAGATATGATAAGATTATCTCTTGGCACCTGTAGACATTTCTTGTATGTGATGCCAAAAAAAAAAAAAAAAAAAAAAAAACACAAACACCCTGCTTCTATTTCATCATTCAAAAAAATTTGCAATCCACCCACAATGTGCATGCCAGCATCCTACAAAAGTTTACCTGGCATGCAAGCCATTTGGCCTGGAGTTCTGGCAGGGACTACCCCAACTCCCTCCTCACCCTCAACTCTTGCAGTGTGATGATTGCTGACTTCTTAGTCTTACTTTTTGTCGTGAACTATTTATCATTTCCTGTACATCAGGAAGAGACTTGACTTTAGAGTAGAAAGTAGTCTGTCAGCATTAAGTCCCACTGAATAAACTTGAACCAAATCCAGTTCCCAGGAGTGACTAACTAACAGCCGCCTAGCATGATCACACAAGAGCCATCTGATCCCCTTCGCCAAGCCCATGAGTGTGACACAAACAGAGAAACTCAAACGGGGATTCAGGATGCGGGAGAAAAGTTAGCATGATTCCCAAATGAAGATTCGGAAAATGAGGAGGGCGGAAAGACATTGTTTGGGAAAGTGAATGCTAAACACATATCGGCCTCAGACAGAAGACAAAGCCAAGAGTAGAGGGGAAAGGAACTGATTGTGTGTCTGTCTCTGGGGACACACGAGGCCTTCTTAGATCCAGGTCTTCAGACCCTCACCACTGTCAAGGTGACTAGCCTAGGGAACATTCAGCATACACATCTGCAGGCTTGGAGAAGCCCCTCAGAACATGAGAGGGAACTCACTTGGTGGAATTCTATCCACACTTCTCCTGTGCAATTCCGTCATTCCAAGAAGTCCTGGGAAAATAGAAAATCTCTTCTGGTCTTATCTCTCACTCACCATAATAAAAATATCTAAGATCTTTCCCTAATGTGTTTTCCCTTGCCCCTGGAGTAGCTCCAACCATCACTCTTGTTAGGTGGTCATATTCTACATGTCATTCAATGTCTAATTCAAAGGCTACTTTTTCAAGGAAGTTCCCATAATTGGATGAAATAGTTCTCTACTTTGAACTCCCATTGGGCTTTGTTTTTCACACCGCATAATCACCTGTATTGTCCTGTCCTTGTCCATTTAGCACCTGACAGACGGTGCTGAAAAGTTCAAGGATGTGTGGAAGATGGACGAACCATGTGAAGTCACGTTTGATTACTCCTACCCTCATTTGCCCTATCTGTTTGTCACTAATTCTTTTTACACTTTGCCTCCAACTCATTTCCTTCTCTCCCACATTGGCTGTCCTGGTCTCAGGTCTCAGAGCTCAAAGTCTGTATTAATATAGTAGTTTTCTGAAGCAGCGTCCTCACTGCAGCCACAGAATCAAAGAATAATAGGATGATAACATCACAAAAATTGTTCTCCATTGTTCTAATTGGTTGGTCCCCAGGGGAGAAAAAGGGGTTGACAGACCAGTCCAACTTCCCCAGGGGGCTGTTTTTGACACAGGCAAGATCCTTTTTTAGGAACTAGACCTGAGGAGAAGTAATAAATAGGAAAGAAGAGTAATGATGGGGAAATTACATGAACAGAGTGAGGTGATGAGATTTCTTTTTCGGGGGGGTAGTAACCATGAGTTTGAAATTTTAAAGAAAGGAAAAATGTTTAAAGGGAATAGTTTGAAATTTTTTGCTAAATGATGCTCTATGGAAAAAACTTGTAGAGGATTTCTTACCTTTGCAAGAAATCCTACAGTAAGTTGAAGTTTATTTTTGAGAACTTTGTGCTTAGACTAGTAGATTGCTTGATGTCATGTTGAACAAGACTAAATTATACCAGGCATGGTGGCTCACACCTGTAATCCCAGACCTTTGGGAGGCTGAGGCGGGAGGATTGCTTGAGGCCAGGAGTTCAAGACCAGCCTGGGCAACATAGTAAGACCCCCACCTCTGCAGAAAATACACAAATAATTTTTTTAAAAAACTAGATCACAGAATATCTCAGCCTTATTCTGGCTACAATAGAACCTCAGGATCACAGAATCATAAAACACAAAAAGGAAGTTTTCTCCTTAAATATATAAGAAAACTGAAGTCCACAAAACTTAAGTGACCTATGCAAAGGTATATCACTAACCATTGGCAGAGTCTAGCAACCCAGAAATTATCCTGCCCAAACAATTATTCTTGCTGCTCTAATATCCAAAGAATCCCCTAAAATGCAGACCATGCCTATTATTCCCATTCTTCACCCATTACCTATCAAAAGAAATTCTAACATCTTAAGTATGAAGTTACATAGGAAGACACACAAAAATATTAAATGAGTAAAATTTACCCAAAAATGGACAGAGCTTTATAGCTCTTTGATAGTTATAATTTGGCATTAATTTCTTCATAGATCTGCCACTTTCTCCCAAAATGTACCTTCTGTTGAGTTAAATAAGCCTCCTTTCTCATAATAAAGCCTATCGATTATTGAAAGTTCTCTCTATAACATGTTATTTATGTACTAATCATTCTTTGGGTACCTATTTCTATACCTATCTTAGAGATAAGAGACTTGGACAATTGAATAACTTGCCTAAGGTCACCCAAAACTTGTAATGTCGGAGCTGAGATTTGAAACCAGATAAATCCAGACCCACATTCCACGCTGCTTCTGCTCCATCACCCGCTTCTTCCATACTGGCCATAAAAGGAGAAAGTTGATGGCTGCCCTGGAATCACTGGATTCCAAACCTGGGTAAGCACCCTTGCCCAGGTTCACATGGCTAGACTCTAGTGGAATCAGAAATTCAACACTGAACTACCTTCTTCCAAAACCCGAGCTTCTTCTACAGTGTTTTCCTTTGACTTCTAGCCTTGTGACCTTGCTTCTGTCTGTTGCCCTATAACTTTTCCAAGTCTTCCATGGCATTGCTGGAGGTAACTCTGTCTTCCATGAAGCATTTCCTTATACTCCTTGCTTCATAATTACTTATCACTTACAGCAGTTTGCTACAATACTTCAAACTGAAGAATTATTAACTTCAAATTGTTTGGATCCCTAGGCACTGCCGTGGGTGGTCTTCAAGATGTTTACCCAGCCCCAGAAATTGTGTTTGGCTTTATATGTATAGCTATATTTTTCTTGGGAAGTAGGCCATAGTTTTCATCCCAGCCCTCAAGGAGTCCACAACTCCAAAAAGTTGAAGAATGGCTACCTCGGAGCACCTCTGCAAATCCTCAGATTTGCTCTAAAAACAAACAAACAAACAAACAAACTGTGTTTCTTCTTTTCAATGTATTTCCCTGAGCCTACTACACAAAGGAATTTCAACAGTCCAGGGTCTTTTTTGTAACAAAAGAGGCTCCAAATTTCCCTCAGTGCTTTCCTATGGTCAGAATTCCAGGATCCCGGTTATTTGAGCACCACAGCTAATTTCCCAGCTGTGGCACTTCCCCACTTCTTTCCTTTATCCTTGTTCAGACAGTTATGCTGTGCTTTTCCTACACTACTTGATTACTCCTCTTTTGAAAGTCTGACTGATAAACTGTTCCCAGGCCCTTTATCTCAAGCCTTTCATTCTCTGCCTGACTGAGCAGGTAGTTTCCTGATACTGGGACCAGAGCCAATCAGTTCTCTTTTGAAAAAAATTCCCAAAAGGGAAACCCAAACCTATTGAGAAATATGAAAAATGTAGAACCATTTTATTCCTGTCATCTATGTTTATCAATTCAGAGCTTCAAGTTAGACATGTAAAATGATTCAGAGAAAAGGGAATGAAATGTTTGAATCCACAGTCAGATTTCAGGGCTATAAGTGAACTCATCCAATTCAACAAACAAGTCCACCAAACACCCACAAATTTCATCAAAGTCTTAAAACTAGTTAGTTGCAAAATCAAGAGGGTTTTTTCCTCCAAATCATTCTCTATCACCAACTCCAAGACATACACACATTCTTTTCTTACTTGAATCAGCATTTTTCTTTTTTTTTTTTTAATGCTATCCCTCCCCCAGCCCCCCACCCCCCAACAGGCCCCAGTGATCAATGTTCCCTGCCCTGTGTCCAAATGATCTCATTGTTCAATTCCCACCTATGAGTGAGAACATGCGGTGTTTTGTTTTCTGCCCTTGTGATAGTTTGCTGAGAATGATGGTTTCCAGCTTCATCCATGTCCCTGCAAAGGACATGAACTCATCCTTTTTTATAGCTGCATAGTATTCCATGGTATATATGTGCCACATTTTCTTAATCCAGTCTATCATTGATGGACATTTGGGTTGGTTCCAAGTCTTTGCTATTGAGAGCATTTTTCTAATTCTATATACCAAAGCTTCTTAGCCACAAAAACAGGAACATGTCAACTCATCTTGCATGGCAGCAATTTTCCTGACTTTGGGCCTAAACTGGATAATGCAAATCATATATACAGACTTAACTGTGTAGCACCCAGTCTAAAAATATTTATAGTTATACAAAAGAGAGAAGTAAATAAAAACCAAAGTCATGGTCACATCTAACCAGAACAAAACTAAAGATTTGCCAGCTGGCTTCATGACGCAAGGTTTAGTAACTGACTATATCCTGGGCTCAGCAGTAGGCCCCTAGCCCCTCACTAAAGTATTAAATCTGCAAAGACAGCTCTATGCAGCAGGCTGGCAGTAGCTTCTGCCCATTATGAGGGTCAGCAGCCCTGCAAAGGCAAGGCAGAGACTCTTTGTTCAGCAGCTTCCTACCCTCATTTTCTTTCCAATAGGAAACAAACCACCCCAAAGGTCCCATCAACTCTGCCAAACCTCTCTGCTTCCCAACTGCAGCTTTACCAGAAGAGATAAAAAGGAGAAACTGCTTTTACTGTTTGGAAACAATCGTGGAGCTCATGTTCGGGAAAAAGTGAACACAGTGAGATCACACTTCTCCCTAGGTATTTGGGGTTATTTCTCACTGGTGTTATATGGATCTGGGAAAGTGAAATAGGGGACAAAAAATGAGATAACAGAAAAGGTCTCGATGCTAGGATTAAAGCTGAGTGGACAGGCCCGGTGCGGTGGCTCACGTCTGTGATCCCAGCACTTTGGGAGGCTGAGATGGGTGGATCACTTGAAGTCAAAAGTTCAAGACTAGCCTGGCCAACATGGTGAAACCCCATCTCTACTAAAAATACCAAAATCAGCCAGATATGGCGGCGGGCACCTGTAATCCCAGCTACTGGGGAAGCTGAGGCAGGAAAATCGCTTGAACATGGGAGGTTGCAGTGAGCCAAGATCATACCACTGCACTCCAGCCTGGGCAACAGAGAAAGACTCTGTTTCAAAAAAAAAACATTGAGTGGACAAGGAGGATATTCTAGTCAGACAGTCAGGGATCTTTAAGAAAGTGCTTGAGATGTGGTTATTCTACGTGGGTGGGAGGGGAATCACTACACGCTTTGAGAAGCAGAACTCTACTTGCTATCCACTTAGTTTTTCTTTCGTTTCGGTGACAGAATTTCTTCAAAAGCGCAATGAAGTTTCACTTCTCAGCTAGCACAGTGACCACCTCTTCCATGCTGTTTGAAGTTCTGGCTGTCTTGTGGGGTCCATTGTTACCACAGTAGAATCCAACCAAGGTGGGCATTGCCCCCAACTCCTGGTGTGACTAGCAACCCCATATAAATGGTTTTTCCCATTTCTTCACTTTGAAACCTCAGTCAATAGCTCAAGATCCTTACTATATAGAAGGAAGAAGAAAGGGAACTTCCTTTTTTAAACAACATTTACATAACACTAACATGGCTTTTATTCCAGACCTTTTTGTTAGTGATTTTCAAATATTAACTCATAACATTAAAAAATCCCAGGCTAGGGACTTTTGAATCCATTATTTACTCCTGTGTCTCTCAGAATATTTGGAAACTACTCATACCAGAATCACATGAATCTTGTGAACAGTGAAGCTGTCTACACCTTCTAAATCAATCCATACAACAACTGGGAGAGGTAAGTGTATTCACACCCATTTTTCTTTACAGATGAAGAAACTGAAACTCAGAAAAATTTATGTCCTACCGCAGGCCACATAGCTAGTAAGTCCCAGAGCCCCGATGGAAACGTGAGTCTGCCTGGCACTAGAGCTCATGCTCCTTCAGCAACAACATGGTACAGAATGAAATAATGTGGGAGAGGCTGGGCACGGTGGCTCACTCCTATAATCCCAGCACTTTGGGAGGCCGAGGCAGGTAGATCATGTGAGGTCAGGAGTTCAGACCAGCCTGGCCAACATGATGAAACCCCCCACTCTACTAAAAATACAAAAATTACCCAGGCGTGATGGCACATGCCTATATTCCCAGCTACTCAGGAGGCTGAGGCAGGAGAATCACTTGAACCTGGGAGGTGGAGGTTGTGGTGAGCCAAGACCGTGCCATTACACTCCAGCCTGGGCAATAAGAGCGAAACTCCATCTCGAAAAATAAAATAAAATGAAGAAACAATGCGGGAGGATGAACACATGGATGCTGCCTGCTACAACTTCAGCAGCAGAGTCTTGGACATCCACCTTGCGCAAGACATTCCTGAGTGGCACTGCTGTGTTTCTCACACAGCACCTTGGCCTCAGTAGACAACCATGGGACAAGGAAGACTGGGGACTGCATCAAGACCTGAGGTGAGACAGGAATGGAGTGGACAGCAGCTACAGAAGGTGGGAGCCGTATGAGTTCAGCTGTGGATCATCCAGGCAGAAGAACAGGATGTCACGATGCTCAAGAGTTAAGAAACTGGAGTGTCCCCAGAGATGACAAGCAATCTATGAAGAGACCTATTCAACAAAGTGGGTAGGGATGCAGAGAACAACAGAGAAATGAACAGAAAATAACAGAGCCCCATCACTGTGCCCAGTTTTCAGGACAGGCTGCGGTCCCTGGGGTGAGAGCAAAGTGACGGAGAAAAAGGCACGGCCGTCTCCAGAACTGAGACCTGGCCTTGGCCCCAGCAATAGGGCAGAAGCCCAGAAATCACAGCTGGATGCATGGTCGGGTTGGACCAGTGGCAAGGGGGCAGAGTCCTAGCACATTGTCTGGAAGGAGGCATTTCCCACTCTTCCGTGGACCACCATGCTCGCTGGGGAGGGTGAGGGGTAGCTTGGGTGCGCTGGGCTAAGCAAAGCTCACCAGATACTTTACTGATGTTTTTGCCAAGGCATTTGTATACTCAGATGAATTTTGATATCTCCAAAAAGGGGCCATAAGTCATTTCCCAAACATATTTGATCACAGTGTTACTGGCGGCGAATCCTTATGTGTCTGCAGCAACCTCAATTCTTGCCTCCTCAGAAGGAAGAATTCTACTAAGGGCCATAAGGCCAAAGGAGAGATTGAGGCAAGTTTTAGAGCAGGACTAGAAGTTTATTTAAAAGCTTTAGAGCAGGAATAAAAGGAAGTAAACTACATTTGGAAGAGGGCCAAGCAGGCGACCTGAAAGGCAAGTGCACTCTTTGACCTTTGACTTGGGGTTTTATACGTTGGCATGCTTCTGGGGTCTTGGCGTCTGTCCCTTTTCCCCGGATTCTTCCCTTGGGGTAGGCTGTCCGCATGCACGGTGGCCGTCCAGCACTTGGGAGGGGCCCCATGCACAGTGTGTTTACTGAAGTTGTACGCACGCTCCCTTGAGCTATTCTTCCTTTACCACGTGAGTGTTCCTATAAGGTCATATACCAATTAAACTCTGCCATTTCGCCTCTTAGTGCGCATGCTTGAGCCTACTCACCCAACGCCTGAGATCTTATCTGGAAGCTGCTGATCACCAGTTTCAGGTTTTTTCTATCTACTGAGAGACTGCCTTTCCCTGGCACTGGCTGTGACCAATTATTATTTTAGAAAGGCAGTTTAACAACCACCTGACCATCACTAGATGGTTGATGGTTGCCTGACATTCCTGGTGGGAAGTCGGGGGGGCCTCCCCTGCCCTGTTCATGTCTGACTAGCTACCTACTGTAACAACAGCATTCCTTTTTTGTTCTTTAACAGATCGTCTATGGTTATCTTCCAGGATATCAAAATAATATTTAAAAAGCAATGAGGTTGTAAGCTTTGGGTCTGTTAATAAAATAGATAAATAGATAATAAGGTAGTGTTTTTTAAATACACTCTTCACACTCAACATTGAAAATATGTCCTTAAAATGGAGCAATGCCGGGCCAGCAGGTGGGGATCCAGGAGTCCTAGCCACGCAGAGGGGACTGCAGGGCTGGAGACCAGGCAGGGCCAGACAGACACAAGGAGAATAATACATAGAAATGTGGTTCCTGGGCCAGGTGCAGTGGCTCATGCCTGTAATCCCAGCACTTTGGGAGGCCAACGCAAGCAGATCACTTGGGGTCAGGAGTTTGAGACCAGCCTGGCCAACATGGTGAAACCCCGTCTCTATTAAAAATACAAAAAAAACATATTAGCCAGGCATGATAATGAGTGCCTGTAATTCTAGCTTCTTGGGAGGCTGAGGCTGGAGAATTGCTTGAACCTGGGAGGCAGAGGCTGCAGTGAGATGAAATCATGCCATTGCACTCCAACCTGGGCAACAGAGTGAGACTTCGTCTCCAAAAAAAAAAAAAAAGTAGTTTCTGCTGTCAGATGTTTAGATGTTTACACTCCATAGCACTCTAGTCTTTTCAAAAAGGCAGCTGTGTCTTCTCTTTCACTTTATCCAGGCTATAGCAACATTTACATGACAGCTCTGCTGGTTTTCTCCTCCCCTTTTCATGGAGTCGGTCATTAATAATAAAATGTGGTATGTCCATACAGTAGAATATTGATCAGCAAAAAAAACCCTGCAAAGCACTGATACATGCTACACACAGATGAACCTCAGAAACTTCATGCTGAGTGAAAGAAGCCAGGCACAAAAGGCCACATACTGCGTGATTCCCCTTTATATAAAATGTCCAGAATAGGCAAATTCATAGAAATAGAAGTGACATGGATGGATGCAGGAACTAGAGGTGGGAAAGGAATGGGGAATGACTGTGAATGCACATGCTTTCTTCCAGGAGTGTGAAAATGCTCTAAAATTAGATTGTGGTGATAGCTGCACGACCCTGTGAATATAATAAAAGACATTGAATTGTATACCTTACATGGCATGTGAACTCATCTTGATAAAGCTATTTTAAAAAAGGTTACTGAAGGCTGAGTACGGTGGCTCACACCTGGAATCCCAGCACTTTGGGAGGCTGAGGAAGGTGGATCACCTGAGGTCAGGAGTTCGAGACCAGACTGGCCAACATGGCGAAACCCCGTCTCTACTAAAAATACAAAAATTAGCTGGGGGTGGTGGCAGGCACCTGTAATCCCAGCTACCCAGGAGGCTGAAGCAGGAGAATGGCTTGAACCCGGGAGGCAAAGGGTGCAGTGAGCCGAGATCACACCACTGCACTCCAGCCTGGATGTTTACTGAAGCTCTGTCCCTCCTCAAAAAATAAAATAAAATAAAAATAAAAAGGTTACTGGGTAGTTCCCCCACACCCAGCTTGCTAAGAGAGAGGTGCATCGGGCCTCCATCCCTGGGGCAAGGAGAGCCCTTCCTTTTTTTTTTTTTTTGAGACAGAGTCTCGCTCTGTCATCCAGGCTGAAGTGCAATGGCACGATCTCAGCTCACTGCAATCTCCACCTCCCGGGTACAAGCGATTCTTGTTCTTCAGCCTCCCAAGTCTCTGGGATTACAGGCTTGCACTACCATGCCCGGCTAATTTTTTGTATTTTTAGTAGAGACAGGGTTTTGCCATGTTGGCCAGGCTGGTCTTGAACTCCTGAGCTCAAGTGATCCACCCACTTCGGCCTCCAAAAGTGCTGGGATTACAGTCATGAGCCACCGCACCCAGCCTAGAGCCCTTTTTTCCTTCCTGCAATCCATCTTCTCTTTTCCTTCTGGTGGCAAAACTCCCTTGTGGAAAGCACACTTTTTTCTGCCACCTACTTCTCTCTTGACACACGTACAGCACCTCAGTTACTTCTAAGAAGAAAATGGCTTCTCAAAATGGGATTCTCTGATCTCCCTGAGTCTTTTAGCCCCGGTTTTGAAGAAATTGATACCCCCTTTTTGCCAAATTGCCAAAACTCTGAATGGGGGAAAAACAGCCCCCTTTTGGCTCTTCACTTGTTAACACTTAACTTTGCTCAAATAAAGTGATTTGCGCCAGGTGTGATGGCTCACACCTGTAATCCCAACACTTTGGGAGGCTGAGGCAGGAGGATTGCTTGAGGTTAGGAGTTTGAGGCCAGCATGGGCAACATAGGGAGACCCCCATCTCCTAAGAAGAAAGAAAGAGATTCCGTTCCAAGGCATCTGTGAGCCTGTGGAGTAGACACCATGAGCAAAGCTCACCCTCTCAAGTTGAAAAAACTTATGGACAAGAAGTTATCATTGAAGTTAAATGGTGGCAGACATGTTCAAGGAATATTGCAGAGATTTGAGCCCTTTATGAATCTTGTGATAGATGGATGCATGTAGATGGCAACTAGTGGGCAACAGAACAATATTGGAAAGGTGGTAATACAAGGAAAGAGTATCATCATGTTAGAAGCCTTGGCCGGGCGTGGTGGCTCATGCCTGTAATCCCAGCACTTTGGGAGGCCAAGGCAGGTAGATAACTGGTGGTCAGGAGTTCTAGACCAGCCTGGCCAACATGGTGAAACCCCGTCTTTACCGATAACACAAAAATTAGGTGGGCGTGGTGGTGGGCGCCTGTAATCCCAGCTACTCAGGAGGCTGAGGCAGGAGAATCGCTTGAACCCAGGAGGCAGAGTTTGCAGTGAGCCAAGATCGTGCCACTGCACTCCAGCCTGGGCAACAGAGTGAAACTCTGTCTCAAAAATAAATAAATAAATAAATAAATAAATAAATAAATAAATAAATAAATAAGTAAATGTTAGAAGCCTTGGAATGAGTATAAACAACGGCTGTTCAGCAGAGAAATCCACGTCCTCTCTCCAAAGAGCCCATTTTACTATGATGAAAAAATTAGGTCATGTACATTTTCATATTAGACTTTTTGTTAAATAAACTTGTGTAATAGAAAAAAAGAAAAAGAGAGAGAGGGAGGGGAGGGAGGGAGAGAGGGAAAGAAGGAAGGGAGGAAGGAAGACAGGGAGGGAGGGAAGAGAAAAGAAGGAAGGAAGGAAGGAGGGAGGGAAGGAGGGAGGGAAGGAAGGAAGGAAGGAGGGAGGGAAGGAGGGAGGGAAGGAAGGAAGGAAGGAGGGAGGGAAGGAGGGAGGGAAGGAAGGAAGGAAGGAGGGAGGGAAGGAGGGAGGGAAGGAAGGAAGGAGGGAAGGAAGGAAGGAAGGAAGGAAGGAAAGAAAGAAGGTGGAAGGAAGGAAGGAAAGAATGGACAGCCAAGGAATTAGGAAGAGGGCAGAGAGGAATAGATCCTCCCTTCCTCCCTGGGCCGTGCAGCTACAGGTGAGCAGATCCTGAATTTGGCAGGTGCACAGCAGTCGTGAGGGAATCACATGAGAAGCTCTTGGAGCCTCCAGGATGGTGGATTGGTGGCTGCTAAGTTTTTAATGTATGCATCCATCCAAAAATTCATGTTGGAACTTAAATCCCAAAGTGATGGTGGGAGATGATTAGGCGTGAGGACTCCATCCTTGTGAATGGGATTAATGCCTTTATAAAGAGACTTCAGAGAGCTGGCTGGTCATCCCGTGCCTTCTACCAATTGAGGACACAGCATTCATCCTCTCTGGAGAGCACAGCAACAAGGAAGCAGAGAGAGCAGTGAATCTGCCAGCACCTTGGCTTCAGACTTCCTAGCTTTTGGAGATGGATGAAGAAATAAACTTTTATCATTTATGAATTACTCCATCTGTGGTATTTTTCTATGGCAGCAGGAACAGACTAAGACAGGCCAAGAAAGAAAGAAAGAAAGAGAGACAGAGAAGAAAGAAAGAAAGAAAGAAAGAAAGAAAGAAAGAAAGAAAGAAAGAAAGAAAGAAAGAAAGAAAATCCACTTTTCGTAAAAGTAATAATTAATAAAATGTAAACAATTAAAAATATTTGACTCCTCAAAAATATCAAGTTCATTAAAACCAAGGAAAAACTGAGTCACTATCACAGTCCAAGGAGCACTGAAGACACCTGATAACTAAATGTAATGTGGTCTCTTGGAAGGATCCTCAAACCGAGAAAACATATTAGTGGAAAACTAGTGAAACCCAAATAAGGTCAGGAGTTTAGTTAACATGAATGCGCCAATGTGATTCTCTGTTTTCATCAATGCAACATGGCTATGTAAGTTGCCCACAGTGGAGGTAGTCAGGTGAAGGGCACACGAGAATTCTCCCTACTATCTTTGTAACTTTCCTGTATACCCAAAATTATTCCACAATAAAAGAGCAAAATTGAAAATTGAAAAAAATGTCTATGCACAAGCATAAGTCTAGTCCAAGCAGACTGTTATTATCTTTTTTTTTTTTTTTTTTTTGAGACAGAGTCTCGATCTGTCGCCCAGGCTGGAGTTCAGTGGCGCGATCTTAGCTCACTGCAAGCTTCGCCTCCTGGGTTCACGCCATTCTCCTGCCTCAGCCTCCTGAGTAGCTGGGACTACAGGCGCCCATCACTACGCCTGGCTAATTTTTTGTATTTTTAGTAGAGACGGGGTTTCACCATGTTAGCCAGGATGGTCTCGATCTCCTGACCTCGTGATCCGCCTGCCTCGGCCTCCCAAAGTGCTGGGATTACAGGCGTGAGCCACTGCACCCGGCCTGTTATTATCTTTTTAGCTGAATCGTGTCCTTTCTCCTGCTTTTCATGGATTAATTTAGTTTTCGTAAGGCCTTCTCCATAATCAGATGCAAGAAGCGTTTCTTCCCACTGGTTCCCAATGCCCCACCAAAACCTCTCTGCGGCCATGTCCTGCTCCTTTCCTTTCTACTGCATGAAAGAAGATTCCTTTTTGTTTGTTTGTTTGTTTGTTTTCCTTTTCCTACAGATTCTTCCCTGAGGCTGGGTGTGGTGGCTCACGCCTGTAATCCCAGCACTTTGGGAGGCCCAAGGCTCCCTGACAAAGGATCACCTGAGGTCAGGAGTTTGAGACCAGCCTGGTCAACCTGGTGAAACTGCATCTCTACTAAAAATACAAAAGTTAGCTGGGCATGGTGGTGGGTGCCCATAATCTCAGCTACTCGGAAGGCTGAGGCAGGACAATTGCTTGAACCCAGGAGGTGGAGGTGGCAGTGAGCCGAGATCACACTGCTGCACTCCAGGCTGGGTGACAGAGTGAGACTCTGTCTCAAAAAAATAAATTAATTAAATTAAATTTAAAAAAAATATTCTTCTCTTTAAACATCCAGAGAAAATTGAGACACTGTGGGACTATGGGCTTTAGTTTTCCTTGGAGTCAGGATCTGTTTCCGGGGGTGACTTCTACTCACTTCTAACTCTACCGCTTACACACACACACACTCTCACACACACACACCCCTTACAACTTCAATTATATGCTACTGTAAACATTATATAATCCCATCTGCATTTTACCAGACTTATCTTAAAGGTCAAACCACCCCCTAGCAACCTAAAACCTACAGGCAGAAACCATGAACTTATAGTGACATATTCTTGTACCTTTTTCTTTTTAAGCAAATGGATCATTTGAAGTGATACAAAGTAAAGAACAACAAGCAGAAAATGAATCATGTGGATTGAGACTGCACCTGTCAGCACATAGAGAGGAATGAAAAGTTGAAGCCAAATGTGTAAATGTCAGCATTTGTCTTTTCATTAAAAGAAAGACCTTTACTGTTAGCATCACTTTTCACACCAGTTTTCAAAATGTGGGTGAGAATATTTTCCAGTTCATATCAGAGCAGGCAAAACACCGCAACACTAAAGATAAAATGTTAACATCAAGATTTCCTGGAAATCAGTATTGATGGCATTCACACAGCTTTGCCAGACCATTAGAAATGTTAAGAACTTAGAAAACTCCTGTAATGCTGGGTGGAATCAAAATGAAAGGTTGTCAATCAATGAGAGACGAAGATGAGAGGCCCAGTGTGCTTTTCATGATTAACGGAAATTCTGATAGATAATACCAGGACTTTGGTTTTTAAAATTAAGAAATGGAAAACAGCAAACTCGTTGTCATTTCCTCTTCTGTATTCTTTGTCTGTTTTAAAACTGGCTTACCTAGATTTGAAAGAGTCTTCCTACCAGCAATTTAAATGTAGAAAAGTCTACTACAAAAAAAATGACCTACTTAGAATTTGGTGATATTTTAATAGAAACTGCAGAGGCCATCTCCACAACCATTTGAGTATCAGATGATGAAATGGGGCCGCAGATTTGTTGAATGACTTTTCCAGGGTGAGTTATCTAGTGAGTTGTTGGGATTCACTCAGGATGGTGGCAGAAATATTAAAAGGAAATATTACGGAAAGTTATAGGGAATAGTCACAAACCTCTTTGGAAGGCCGAAAGGTTACATAGCTTGTAATAATTGAAGAGGCTGAAGGCAGCCAGTTCTTACCTTAGAGAATTAGAATACTAGGGACAGTAGAGGCTTCCCCAATAAGTCTGTTTACCCTACCTCCGTTAACCAACTGTTGAGCCAGATGGCCCTCTCGCGGGGAGGTGGACCAGAAATACTGCCCCCTAATGGTATTTACTTTAAAACGCGGTACCTGAGCTTTAATCATTTGTAGAACTACTCTCTTAACCATGTTAATTATCCACAAGACTCAGAGCTTCTGTTGTTAATTGTATAGTAAACAAATGCCTGGAGGGCGAGCTGCTCCGGACCGGCCGGAGTGACAAACCTCTCTTGGTGTGTAGGGGTTCAGACACTCAGCAGGACTGGCAAAACAGAATATCTGTGTGTCAGTGTACATTTTATCCATCCGTCGTTTGGGTCAGGGTCTGTGGGCAGACCCCCGTAGCTAATGCCCTCTTGTGAGGAGCAATACCTCAGTGCGTGGAGAATCAGGACCCCAATCCAGGTCTTCTCACGATCTTCATGTAACCCACAAACTCTGTTTTGCTTATATCGCTTTGGATGAAAAAGGCAAAATGTTAGAATATGGAAAAATGGTATAGTAATTCACTATTATTTTCAAAGAAGAGGCATTCATAAATACAGGAAGATGGCCAAAGGAGAAACTGGAGATAATAGTTATCTGTCACTGAAAAATTAACTCTTCACTTATTATGTTATAAGCTGTTTATTTTGTCCTATTTGGTACAGAGAAAGAAGGAGCCAAGCTTTCAAAGCAAGATTGCATTTATATTAGAACCCAAGATCTTCTTCCCCTTAGCAACACTTCTCTCCCTGTATCTTTAGTATTATAGGTGAACTAAGTATGCAGAGAGTAAATATTTCATAATCTTAACACTTAGGCCGGGCGTGGTGGCTCACGCCCGTAATCCCAGCACTTTGGGAGACCAAGGCGGGTGGATCACGAGGTCAGGAGATTGAGACCATCCTGGCTAACACGGTGAAACCCCGACTCTACTAAAAATACAAAAAAATTAGCCGGACATGGTGGTGGGCTCCTGTGGTCCCAGCTACTCGGGACGCTGAGGCAGGAGAATGGCGTGAACCCGGGAGGCGGAGCTTGTAGTGAGCCGAGATCACGCCACTGCACTCGAGCCTGGGTGACAAAGCGAGACTCCGTCTCAAAAAAAAAAAAAAAAAAAAGACACTTGCTGCCAGAAATACTCAGAGAGGGAACTATTTTCATAAGAAAAAAAAAGTCATAATAAGTGGTTAAGATCACCATGAGCAAGGACAGGGAAACAAAAGAGAATGCTGAAGTGCTTTGCATTATAAAGCAACAGAAACTTGGGTATGATGAGAGAGGAGGGGAAGGAGAAACTGGTGACCATATAAATGCATACAAGCTAGGTGTGTCCCTGACACTCAGAACCCTTGGGGAAGAAAGACAGTGGGCCTAGTAGAGCCCCACTTAGCACACTGAGTGACAGCCTAAGGCACAAAGCAATCCCAGCATACACTGTATACACATTCATTATGGCCTGTGGTAAGTGAAAGATGGTTCCACGTTTGGCCAGTGGGGAGAATTGTGTGGTTTACACCAGCAGTCCTCAACCTTTTTGGCACCAGGGACTGGTTTTTTGGAAGATGATTTTTCCACGGACCAGTGAGGGTTCAGTGGGGGATGATTTCAGGATGACTCAAGTGCATTACATTTATTATGAACTTTATTTCTGTTATTATTACATTGTAATATAATGAAATAATTATACAACTCACCATATTGTAGAATCACTGGAAGCCCTCAGCTTGTTTTTCTGCAATTAGATAGTTTCACCTGGGGGTGATGGGAGACAGTGACAGATCACTGGGCATTAGATTCTCATAAGGAGCGCGCAACCCAGATCCTTACATGAGCAGTTCACAATAGGGTTTGTGCTCTTATGAGACTCTAATGCTGCAGCTGATCTGACAAGAGGCAGAGCTCAGGCGGTAATGTGAGCAATAGGGAGTTGTGGTAAATACAGATGAAGCTTCACTCACTCAACTGCTGCTCACCTCCTGCTGTGTGGCCTGGTTCCCAGCAGGCCACAGACTGGTACTGTTCCACAGCCCGGGGATTGGGGACCCCTGGTTTACACGACTTGGCCAGGTGACTGATAAGTACAAACTTCATCACACAATATGACCTGGCCCCTTTGTCACATGGAACAAGGAGCAAGTAAATATGACTCCTGCAGTTTCAAATTCCCTCTCTTCCTTTGTGTTCTGGTTTTGTTTGTTTGCTTTGCACTTTGAGTGTTATTGTGATTCTGGAGATCTCAAGGAGAAAACTGCCTAGAGAAGGGTCTCAATAGGCCGGGTGTGATGGCTCGTGCCTGTAATCCCAGCCCTTTGGGAGGCTGAGTCTGGTGGATCATGAGGTCAGGAGTTCAAGACCCACCTGACCAACATGGTGAAACCTCATCTCTACTAAAAAAAAAAAAAGAGAGAGAGAGAGAAGTCCTCAGTAATGACCCAGAAGGCCTTCACCAAGTAGTGGAGAAACTTTTTTTTTTTTTTGAGACAGACTTTCACTCTTGTTGCCCAGTCTGGAGTGCAATGGGGCAATCTCATCTCACTGCCACCTCTGCCTCCCGGGTTCAAGCAATTCTCCTGCCTCAGCCTCCCAAGTAGCTGGCATTACAGGTGGGCACCACCACACCTGGCTAATTTTGTATTTTTAGTAGAGACGAGGTTTCACCATGTTGGTCAGGCTAGTCTCGAACTCCTGACCTCAGGTGATCCACCTGCCTTGGCCTCCCAAAATGCTGGGATTACAGATGTGAGCCACTGCGCCTGGCTAGTGGAGAAACTTCTAAGAGTAGACTTAACTTATAAGAATGTCGGCCTGGGAGAAAAAGGAGGAAAGCTACAGATAACCTGACAAAATCCTTCACTTCATAATGAAGAACCAGAGGCTGAAGACAGCAAGTATTTGGCCTCAGAGAAGTTAGCTGGTTAGCATTTGAGCAGATCTCCTACGATTCATGCCACTGCTGAAGAAAACTAGATTTACCCATTTTAAAACATGCCTCCGCCTGCATGAGGCCATCGACCACATTCTCCAGGGCATTAACTGTTTCCAGCAAGGAGGAGGTAAAATACTCCTCCAGAACCCAGCAGTCTTTTTCTTCAGCAGAATCGTGTTCCCCGTGGAACTGTTGTAGGCAAAACAGAACTTTGACGCAGCCCAAAGCTCAATCGATTCATGATCAGTTAAACAAGGAGAAAGAAGGAAATCTCAGACCCGAGGAAACTCTAGGGAAAACACCTATGATACAACACTGGGGAAAACTAGCAGAAGTCATCATGACAATGTTTTTTTTTATTATTATTATTATTATTATTATTATTATTATTATTATTATTTGAAACGGGGTTTTGCTCTGTTGCCCAGGCTGGAATTCAGTGGCACAGTCTCAGCTCACTGCAACCTCCACCTCCTGAGTTCAAGTGATTCTCCTGCCTCAGCCTCCCAGGTAGCTGGGATTACAGACGCATGCCACCACACCAGGCTAATTTTTGTATGTTTAGTAGAGATGAAGTTTCACCATGTTGGCCAGGCTGGTCTCAAACTCCTGACCTCAAGTGATCCACCTGCCTCAGCCTCCCAAAGTGCTGGGATTACAGGTATGAGCCACTGTGCCCAGCCTATTCTTAAAATACATAAAATTAAAATATGAATTATAATAAAAAGCTGCTATTCAAGGTCAGGCCCAGTGGCTCATACTTGTAATCCCAGCACTTTGGGAGGCCAAGGCAGGCGGATCACGAGGTCAGGAGTTCGAGACCAATCTGGCCAACATGGTGAAACCCGTCTCTACTAAAGATACAAAAAATTAGCCAGGCATGGTGGCGTACGCCTGTAATCCCAGCTACTCAGGAGGCTGAGGCAGGAGAATTGCTTGAACCTGGGAGGCAGAGGTTGCAGTGAGCCAAGGTCGTGCCATTGCACGTTAGCCTGGGTGACAGGGCTAGACCCGGTCTCAAAAAAAAAAAAAAAAGCTGCTATTCAAATAAAACGTATTTTTAGCAAACAAATGTTTTATTGGCTAACGGGTTGAATTCCTCAATAATTATAAAGGAATCATTTTCTTTGACCAAATAACCCTTCCCACAGCCAAAACATTTGCTTTGAGGGAAGTTATATCAGCTTTATATTTTGCAAATATTTTCTGATTCTATGAGGTTTTGCCCCAGACTAAACGCAATCCTCTGAGTCATCTAATTTGTGTTAAAGGAGAATGTGCTGTGGTTGGCTGAATAAAAGACCCCAAAGATATCTAGGTCTTAATCCCTGGAACCTGTGAATGTTACCTTCCATAAGTGGACTTTGCAGATGTGATAAAGGTTTTTGTTGTTGTTGTTGTTTGACAAGAGTCTGGCTCTGTCACCAGGCTAGAGTGCGGTGGTGTGATCTCGGCTCACTACAACCTCCACCTCCTGGATTCAAGTGATTCTCCTGCCTCAGCCTCCTGAGTAGCTGGGACTACAGACATGTGCCACCAGACCCAGCTAATTTTTTTTGTATTTTTAGTAGAGATGGGGTTTCACCATGTTGCCCAGGCTGGTCCCGAACTCCTGGCCTCAAGTGATCTGCCTGCCTCAACCTCCCAAAGTCCTGGGATTACAGGCATGAGCCACTGAGCCCAGATGATTAAGGATGTTAATGGAAAGATGGAAAGAGTATTCTGGATTATCAGGGTGGGACTCAAATGTAATCAGAAGTGGCCTCATCGGACAGAAACAGATCAAGATTTGACTACAGAGGAGGAAGTAGATGTCACAATGGAAGCAAAGGTTGGAATGATTTGAGGAAGAGGTTTTAAGTCAAGGAGTGCACAAAGCCTCCAGTAGCCAAAAAAGGCAAGGAGGCGAACTCTCCCTTGAGAACCTCCAAAGGGAACCAGACCTGTGAACACCTTGACTTTAGCCCAGTGAGCCTGGTTCTGAACTTCTGGCCTTTGGAACTGTAAGAGAATCAGTGTGCTGTTTTAGGCCACCAAATTTGTGTTTATTTGATACAGAACAAAAGGAAAGTAATTCCGCTGGTAAATGCGATTAATTTCCACATGGTGAGCCCCAGTGTGTTTTCATTTAAAGATAAAAGAATGAAGACAAACTTTTGACAAGTCGAAAGCGTCAGAGTGGGTACAGAGCACAGGGCAAGCCCCTCCCCTCCAATTTGGCCCCAGAAGCCTCACTCAGAATCTGTTTGCACTCTATCCAGAATATATGCTTCTGGGGCCTAAAGAATTTTCACATTAATAAAATGAGCCTAGGGCCAGGCGAGGTGGCTCATGCCTGTAATCCTAGCATTTTGGGAGGCTGAAGCAGGTGGATCACTTGAAGCCAGGAGGTTGAGACCAGCCTGGCCAACATGGTAAAACCCCGTCTCTACTAAAAATACAAAAATTAGCCAGGTGTAGTGACGTGCGCCTATAGTCCCAGCTACTCGGAATGCTGAGGCATGAGAATCACTTGAACTCGGGAGACAGAGGTTGCAGTGAGCCGAGATGATGCCACTGCACTCCAGCTTGGGTGATAGAGTCAGACTCCGTCTCAAAAATTAAATAAATAAATGAGTTTAGAGTATAATAATGTTATTGATCAACAACAAATCTCATATGAGCAATTTCCAACAATTTTTATATACTCTTTTATTTATTGTTTTATTTATTTTTAATTGACAAGTAAAAATTGTATGTATTTATGGTGTATAACATGTTTTGCTATATGCATACATTGTGAAATGCCTAAATCAGCTATTAAACATATAACATTACCTAGCATACTTATCATTTTTGTGTTGAGGACACTTGAAATCTACTCAGCAATTTTCAAGTATACAATATATTGTGATTAACTCTTGTCACTATGATATGCAATAGACTGCGCGAATTTAGTCCTCCTGTCTAAATGAAATTTTGTGTTTACCTTTAACCAACATAGATAATCAGAAGCAAATAAAAAACATCAACAGAATCCAGCAATACCGATTCTTCTCATGGATGACCTTTTTTTTTCTTTCTGACGATGTCTCACTCTGTCACCCAGGCTGGAGTGCAGTGGCGAGATCTCGGCTCAGGTATAGACCCCAAGACCATCCTGCTGGGGGCAGGCAGGTAAAGCTGCAGTCCGGGAAGCCTAGAGGCCCTGCAGCTCCTGAAAAGGAGACTCTGGGGAAGGAGGCACGTCCCGTGCCCTACGATAAACTAAGGCCTGCTTGAGGGGAATCACACTGCCTTTAGCCTGCAACTGTATCTAGTGGCTTCCCGGCAGTAAGACGGTAACCTTGTCTGGGCCGCAGAATGCAGTTTTCAGCGCTCAGGAGCCTGGAGGGGTAAATGGGGGAGGGGAACCCTGGGAGGAACGGGATTCCATGGAGGGCAAGGGGTCTGCGGGAGACCCCCGGACATCTGCCCGGAGCGCCAGGGCTTGCTTCTGTAAAAGCACACTCCGTGAGCCAGGGCCTCCTCGTTTCCTGCCTCCTGGAGCTGGCGCCGCCAGAGGGGACCCAGGCAGCCGCGCCCCGAGCCCAGGATTCCCGTCCCATGGGGCCTGCCCTGTGCACCAAGGGGGTTTAGCAGCGTCCTCTAGCACCGCCACCCCGGCCGCTTGCTGTGACCAGCAAAACTGTCCGAGACACAGCTGGTTGTCTCCTGGGGGGCGGAATGGCCCCTGGTTGAGGATCCCGCTATAAGGCTCGGAACAGCCAAAGAGTGATTGGAACGATCTTTTTCCTGGTGTCTGTAGCCTGCTTCTCCCACTCTGTCCATTTCGCATCACGTTCATTCGCCAAGTGCTGACAGCTTTGCCTTCTAAATATTTCTTGAACCTGTGCTCTCCCCACTCCGTCACCGCTGGGGTCCTGGTGACTTGGGAACTTGCAGGCTCTTTCCTGGCGGCTCTGCATTGGTCTCCCTGGGCCTTGTCCCCCACATCCATTTTCCTCACAGTCACTAGGGACTTTATACAAACTGTAACTCTCCCCAGGTCACTGCCATGATTGACTGATTATGACTGATCGATATATATCTATATCTATATCTATATCTATATCTATCTATCTATATATATATATATATATATATATATATATATTATATATATATTAGACAGAGTCTCGCTCTGTTGCCCAGGCTGAAGTGCAGTGGCATGATCTCAGCTCACTGCAACCTCCGTCTCCCAGGTTCAAGTGATTCTTCTGCCTCAGCCTCCCGAGTAGCTAGGACTACAGGCGTGCGCCACCATGCCCAGCTAATTTTTGTATTTTTAGTAGAGACGGGGTTTCACTATGTTGGCCAGGCTGGTCTCGAATTCCTGACCTCAGGTGATCCGACCGCCTCAGCCTTCCAAAGTGCTGGGATTACAGGCACGAGCCACCACGCCCGGCCGACTGATCAATTTTCCATACAAGGTCTGGCCCTGTCTCCCAGGCTGGAGTGCAAGGCTCACTGCAACCTCAATCTCCTGGGCTCAAGCAATCCTCCCACCTCAGCCTCCTAAGTAGCTGGGACCACAGGCATGCTACCACACCCAGCTAATATGTGTGTGTGTGTGTGTGGTGTTTCATTTTTGTGGAGACGGGGGCGTCTCATTATGTTGCCTAGGCTGGTCTAGAACTCCTGGCCTCAAGCGATTCCCTTGCCTCATCCTCCCAAAGTGTTGGGATTGCAGGTGTCAGCCACCACGCCTGGCCGACTGCCGTGATTAAAAGCTCTTCAGTGGCTTTCCATCAGCCTCAGAATAAAGTCCAATCCCCTTACTAGGAGCTCTCCCGTCATCTGGTCCCAGCTGACCTCTCCACTCAATCTCCTAACACATCATTCTTTGCTCTTTAAAAAAAAAAAAGAAAAGAAATTCTTTTTATTTTTTACTCCTCTTGCTATCATTCCCAGTTGTCTCTTGCTCCTCATGCATGGAGCAGTAACTGCTGTTTTTGTGCCTTGGCGAGTGCTGCTGTCTCTCCCTGGAATGTCTTTCCTGATTTCTGCTTCAAGTTCACATCCTCCAGGGAGCCGGCTCCTGGCTGGCCTGGGCTCACCTCCATTGTTGCGTGTATCGCTTTTGACCACCAGGTGGTAGCACAAGGCAGTGTTTAAGCGCTCGGGCCCAGGAGCCCAGCTGCCTGACCCCAAATGCCAGCTCTGCCAAGGACTGAATGACCCTGGACAAAACACGGAATGCCTCTGTGCGCCTTGTTTTCTTTATCTACAAAATGGAAATAATTAACTGTCTACTTCATAAAGTTGCTATGTGGATTATATGAGCTAATATGTGAAAAGTTCTCAGAAAGTCTCCTGGTGAAAGATCAATACAAGCTACTTGTTATATTTTTTGTGTGTCAGTCTCTTCCAGAAGACTGATGAATACTTCATATTTTAAACATGAATAACAGAAATCTCACTTTAAAGCGGTCTCTTAACACTATCCTTGGGGTTTCACGTTTTCCAAGTTATTTGAGAAGTTTCCTGGCCATTTGTACTACCCCATCTGTGAATTACTTGTTCAAATCCTTTGCTTTTTAATTCCCCCAACAGAGAGGACTGTTGTAGAGCTCAGTTTTGATCACTGGTCTCTCCCTCTCCTCATAGTCTCAGGCCTCTCCTCTTCCTGTGACGGCGTGGACTGTGTTTCAGGACCATTGTTCTTTTCTACATTTGACTATTTAAGGTAAGCATATTGTCCTGCTACTTGAAGTAGATAAATCAGCAGCTATGTACTTTTTCCAGCCAATAAAAGAAATCACATATTAAGTAGGGAACAGATAAAGAATGATGTTATTACATGTGTATTGTTTAATTTTCTCCACTCAAATTCCAATTATAAAAGAAGAGGGAATTACTAAGATAACTCAAAACCATATGCTGCAGGTTTTGAGGTTACTTAATGACACAGAGACCTCCAGAGCCACATGATACTGGGGTAGTGCTTTCACTGACAACCACCACAAAAAAACAAATCTTTTCTTTAAGGGTAGTTTCTGGTAGAATCTACATGTCTATATGTTCAAGGATGCTCATTGCAGCATTGTTTACAATATCAAAAAATTAGACACAACATAAATGCCCATTATTGGTGACATAAATAAATTGTGGGAGCCAGGCACAATGGCATGCACCTGTAGCCCCAGCTACTTGAGATGCCCAGGCAGGAGGATCACTTGAGCCCAAGAGTTCGAGTCCAGTTTAGGCCATATATAGCAAGACCTCACCTTAAAAAATAATTGTGAGCTGGGTGCGGTGGCTCACTCCAGTAATCCCAGCACTTTGGGAGGCTGAGGCAGGCAGATCACTGGAGGTTAGGAGTTCGAGACCAGCCTGGTCAACATGGTGAAACCCTGTCTCTACTAAAAATACAAAAATTAGCTGGGTGTGGCGGCACATGCCTGTAATCCCAGCTACTCAGGAGGCTGAAGTAGGAGGATCACTTGAACCTGAGAGGCAGAGGTTGCAGTGAGCCAAGTGGTGCCACTGCACTCCAGCCCGGGTGATAGAGTGAGACTCCGTCTCAAAAAAAATAAAATAAATTACAGTAAACATTTAAAAATTTTTAAAAATATTGTGGTAAATCTATAAGATGGAACACTTTGCAAAAATTGCTAAAAGATACGTGTAGACAACAGAAATGACATGCAGTACTGTAATAATAAGTAAGAAAAGCAAGGCTGGGTGTGGTGGCTCACGCCTGTAATCCCAGAATTTTGGGAGGCCGAAGCGGGTAGATTGCCTGAGCTCAGGAGTTCGAGACCAGCCTGGGCAACACAGTGAAACCCTGTCTCTACTAAAATATAAAAAATTAGCCAGGGATGGTGGCATGCACCTGTAATCCCAGCTGCTCGGGAGGCTGAGGCAGAAGAATCACTTGAACCCAGGAGGCAGAGGTGGCAGTGAGCTGAGATCGCACCATTGCACTCCAGCCTGGGTGACAGAGCAAGACTCTGTCTCAAAAAAAAAAAAAAAAAAGAAAAGAAAGTTGCACAAAAAATATATAGCATATAGAACAAAAGTCTCAATTTGCAAATAGCAACTTACATTTGTACATGCTTAGGAAAAACCTGAAGGCATAGCCACCAAATGCAAAAGTGGTCACCTTTAGGTGATGAGATTCACTGTGACTGTCTGCTTTCTACTTTGTCCAGTTCCAGAGAATAAATTTCTCCATCACCATAATCTATTTGTGCAATATAAAATTAATATAAGTTTAGGCCAGGCATGGTGGCTCTCGCCTGTAATCCCAACACTTTGGGAAGCCGAGGCAGGTGGATCACCTGAGGTCAGGAGTTCAAGACCAGCCTGGCCAACATGGTGAAACCCCGTCTCTACTAAATATATAAAAATTAGGCAGATGTGGTGGCACGTGCCTATAACCCCAGCTACTCAGGAGGCTAAGGCAGGATAATTGCTTGAACCCAGGAGGTGGAGGTTGCAGTCTGCCGAGATCATCGTGCCACTGCACTCCAGCCTGAGCGACAGAGCAAGACTGTCTCAAAAATAATAATAATAATAATAATAATAATTAAAAGTCTAGACAGAGTGGCAGAGAGATGGGTGTGTGCAGTCTGTGTAAAACTGTGCTGTCTTGTGGTCTCAGTACAAAATCATAGTTTTATTCCTTGTTTCATGATTTTCTAGGAAAAAAAGAAAAAAGAAACAAAATCAGTTAACCAAGAAAACAATAATGAGCAATAGGAATCTTCACTGCACTCTCTTAGCAAAGTTCAAAATGGGCAGCAAATTGTAGGAGCCAGAGAAAAGCACTATCAACATACTCATCCCTTGGTCTCACTGTGCCTCCCCGTCAGAGCATGGCAGAGGTCCTCATCTCTCCCAGGGCTCCCAAAACTCCCCCCAAATTCCCAAAGAACTCAGTCTTGGCTTTCTTCTCTTAGGATCCCACCTTCCCCACCCCACCCCCACCCCCGCCAATCTAATCCTTCCTTGATCTTCCAATATAAATTGAATTTTTTTTTTTTTTTTGAGACGGAGTCTTGCTCTGTCACCCAGGCTGGAGTGCAATGGCGTGGTCTCAGCTCACTGCAACCTCCGTCCCCCAGGTTCAAGGGATTCTCCTGCCTTAGCCTCCTGAGTAGCTGGGATTACAGACGCCCGCCACCACGCCCGGCTAACTTTTATATTTTTAGTAGAGACGAGGTTTCACCATGTTGGCCAGACTTGTCTCGAACTGACCAGGTGATCCACCCACCTTGGACTCCCAGTGTGCTGGGATTATAGGCATGAGCCACTGCACCTGGCCTAAATTGATTTTTTCTTTCTGGGCTTCCTTCAGTCCTCCACTCTGAGAGCTGATAGGTAAACCCAAAAACTATGGGGTGGAGGGGAGGATATGCATATTTTTGTGTGAATATCATTTATTTACATAACATGTGCTATATCTTATATAAGACACTATATAGTCTATGGCCATAGTACTCTGAACATGCCCGATTTCATCTGTTTGAGGAAGCTAAGCAAGGTCGGGCCTGGTTAGTACTCAGACAGAAGGTACTGTATACCCACATGTACGTGCCAGGAGAATGATCCCCATTCAGTAGTTTTCCTTAGACATAAGCAAGATGTAGCTGGGCCCGATGGCTCACGCCTGTAATCCCAGAACTTTGGGAGGCCAAGGAGGGTAGATGGATGGATCATCTGAGGTCAAGAGTTCGAGACCAGCCTGGCCAACATGGTGAAACCCATCTCTACTAAAAATACAAAAAATTAGCTGAGCATGGTCGTGGGTGCCTATAATCCCAGCTACTTGAGAGGCTGAGGCAGGAGAATTGCTTTAACCCAGGAGGCGGAGGTTGCAGTGAGCCAAGATTGTGCCACTGCACTCCAGCCTGGGCAACAGAGCGAGACTCTGTGTCAAGAAAGAAAGAGAGAAAGAAAGAAGGAAAGAAAGAAAGAAGGAAGGAAAGAAAGAAAGAAAGAGAGAGAGAGACAGAGAAAGAGAGAGAGAGAAAGAAAGAAAGAGAGAGAGAGAAGGAAGGAAGGAAGGAAGGAAAGAAAGAAAGAAAGAAAGAAAGAAAAGAAAGAAAGAAAGAAAGAAAGAGAAAGAAAGAAGGAAAGAAAGAAGTAAGTGAGATGCAAAAGGCTAAGTGCAAGACAAGAAAACAAGGGACTTTCTGTGTTATTTGTTAATGTTTGACTTAAGATACAAACACACACATACGCACATTTCCACGAAATACCATGTGCTTCTTCAAAGACAGAGCAGTAGCTATCAACCGTGTTAATCATTGAAGAAGCCATTATTCTCCCTATAAAAATAGAGTCTGGAGATGTAGCAATAAAGTTGTAATTATAGCCAGTTGTTAAACTTTTACCCTTTAGTCTGGGGAAATGGCTATAAAGTTGTATTTATAGCTAATTATTGAACTTTGCCTTTTCCTGGATCTGGCATACTTCACTCTCTTGTGCTATGTGCAAGAGTCAGCACAGAAATGTTGGATGATTACCTAGTGGGCCCTGAAACCTGATTTTGCATAATTATTACTCAAGTGGATTGGTATTCTTCATGCTATCCATGCAGCCAGCTTTCTTCTCTAGACCAAAACTTGTGCAGAACATCACAAAAATGCTCCAGCCCCAACTAGGAACTGTGCCTGACATTCCTTCAAAGGCAAACAGTTCCCAGTTGAGAGTAAAATGTTAAATGAAAATGTGTCTGGCACCTGTCCTCTTTAGTACATTTACACAGCTTTTAATAACTGACTTCTGCTATCAAGACTTTTCCTGGAGTGGCTTTTGAAAAAGAAAAGGAACACACGAGCCAGTGAACCCAGAGGAAGAGCCTTCCCCCACGCACCACCCTAAGCCGCAGAACAAGGACAATGGCAAGGACATCAAGGACACCTTGATCTTCTTCATCAACTGCTTCAGGCTCACCCAGCAAGGCCCCTTTTTTGGACTCTCGCTAACTCATAAAATAGCATCATGAGGTTGCACTGCATCCACGTGGAGATGTCAACTACACACATGGAGAGGTCAGCATCCCACGTGCTGAAAGCTGGCCTGGGGGTAGCAGAAAGTGTATTCCAGGCTGAGAAACAAACCATCTAACCAGCAGAGATGGTGGATGAAAGTGTGTGGGTTAATGTAAACATGGCTCGAATGAAGGGGAATGTTAGACACTGAGTTTAGAAAAAGAGCTGGCATAAGATTTGGGAAGCCCTTGAAGGCCACACCAGGGCCTCAGTATCTGCGTGTTTGGGAACTAGGACTGCTGATCCAATTTCTGCAAACATTAGGTCACTCTTGTTTTGTTTTTCTTTCTACTAATTTGTAACTGATTAGCATAGGCTAGTCCCAGCCCTGGGGATATAGTGCTAAACCAGACAGATTTCCATGATATTTGCACCAAATATGGAGGAAAACAGATCATAAATGGCAAATATATATAATGTCAATGTGCAAGGAATACAATGATGACAGTAATGGGGCAGAGGGCTCCGTGAGACCTGACAGAGGGATAAGGAGCCAGAAGTGCAAAATAGGGGTAAAGTGCACTCTAAACTGATGAAACAGTAGGTGCAAAGGCCCTGAGGCAAGGAAGATTGAGAAGAGATGAGCTGCAGTCCAGCGCAGAGGGGTGCACTGAAAGCTGGTAGTTGAGGACTAGATTACGTCAGAGTTTGTAGGCTGTGGTAAAGAGAAGCACAGAGCTGGGCACGGTAGCTCACGTCCGTAATCCCAGCACTTTGGGAGGCCGAGGCGGGTGGATCACTTGAGGTCAGGAGTTCGAGACCAGCCTGGCCAACATGGTGAAACCCTGTCTCTACTAAAAATACAAAAATTAGCCGGGCATGGTGGTGGGCCCCTATAGTCCCAGCTACTAGGGAGACTGAGACAGGAGAATCACTTGAACCTGGGAGGCGGAGCTTGCAGTGAGCTGAGATCCTGCCACGGCACTTCAGCCTGGGTGACAGAATGAGACTTTGTCTCGAAAAAAAAAAAAAAAAAATAGTCCAGGTGTGGTGGCTCATGCCTGTAATCCCAGCACTTTTTTGGGAGGCCAAGGCAGGCAGATCATTTGAGGTCAGGGGTTCAAGACCAGCCTGACCAACATGGTGAAATCCTGTCTCTACTAAAAACACAAAAATTGTAGGACGAGGTGGCCGAGTGGTTAAGATGATAGACTGCTAAAAATACAAAAATTAGCCTGGCATGGTGGCGGGTGCCTGTAATCCCAGCTACTTGGGAGCCTGAGGCAGGAGAATCGCTTGAACTTGGCAGGCAGAGATTGCAGTGAACCGAGACTGCACCACTGCACTCCAGCCTGGGCAATAGAGCGAGACTCAGTCTCAAAAAGAGAGAGAGAGAGAGAAGCACAGAAGCCTTCAAATGACGATGAATTCCAGAGGAGAAATGCTGATATCCATATGAAAACCATTGCCTCACTCCTCGTGTCACAGTTAAAGAGGCATGGAACAAGAGCAGGGTGAAAATGCACCCAGCAAAGCTGATGGGTGGGGTACCCGGCTGGGACCTTACAATGGCTGTACCTAGGGAGAGCTGCATCCGTCTGAGGTCCGTGTAGGAATTCAGCGGGGTTAGAAAGAAGCCCAGAGGCATTCAGGCCTGAAACAGTGACTCAGGCTACCAAGCCCAGACAAGGCAGTTAGGCCAGAAGTTGTTATGCGTGCGTCTAATTGAAGAGACACCCTGAACAGGCTAAGTGTGAGCAACAAGGCTGTCTATTCACTCGGGTGCGAGCAGGCTGAGTCCAGAAAGAGAAGCAGCGGAGGGGTGGTGGGATTGGAGTTAGTTTTACAGGTAAGGGTTAAGTAGTGGAAAGTTACAGTTAGGAGTTTTTTCGGGAAGGGGAAGAATGTCACAAGGTGCATAGTCATGAGGTGGGGGGACGTCACAAGGCACAATATCACAAGGTTGATTGATTAGTTAGGGTAGGGCGGGAACATAACACAATGGTGGAATTTTGCAAGGTTGGTTATCAGTTAAGGCAGGAAGTAGCTGTTTCTCCTTCTTTAGTGGTTCTGCTATTGATCCAGGCTTTGTGACTCCAGGAAGCCTGTACGTGTGGGTCACAGGGGTCACAATGGCTCTACTGTGGTGAAGCCTGTTCAGAGGACCTTACAGAAGGGATCTTTTTTTTTTTTTTTTTTTGAGACAGAGTTTTTGCTCTTGTTGCCCAGGCTGGAGTGCAATGGCGCAGTCTCAGCTCACTGCAACCTCCGCCTCCTGGATTCAAGCAATTCTCATGCCTCAGCCTCCCAAGTAGCTGGGATTACAGGTGCCCGGCACCACGACTGGCTAATTTTTGTATTTTTAGTAGAGATGGGGTTTCACCATGTTGGCCAGGATGGTCTCGAACTCCTGACCTCAGGTGATCCACCCGCCTCGACCTCCCAAATTGCTGGGATTATAGGCGTGAGCCACCACACCCGCCCATTTTTTTTTTTCTTTAAACTAACTCCCAAAGCAAGCCAACTCTTAAATCCTCTGACAAGGGTATCCTCTTAAAAGCAATTACTTAATTATTTAGTTAATTAAAATAAACTCTACTTACTGAAAGATCTAACAATTATGAAAGCTTTCCCTGGCTGGGTGCAGTGGCTCACACCTGTAAACCCAGCACTTTGGGAGGCCGAGGCAGGCAGATCACCTGAGTTTAGGAGTTCAAGACCAGCCTGGCCAACATGGTAAAACCCCGTTTCTACTAAAAATACAGAAATTAGCCAGACGTGGTGGCAGGCACCTGTAATCCCAGCTACTCGGGAGGCTAAGGAAAGAGAATCACTTGAACCCAGGAGGCAGAGGTTGCAGTGAGCCAAGATCACACCATTGCACGCCAGCCTGGGGGACAAGAGTGAGATTTCATCTCAAAAAAAAAAAAAAAGAAAGTGTTCCTTGGTCAGCACTGGATTAGAAGAAATAGAATTTGAACAACCTTAACGTCTACGGGGATTGAGCCAGATGGGTTCAGATTTATTGCAGAGACGAACCTGGCAAAAAGACCAGAGTCGAGGCCACCTGTGGATGTGATGGGATCCTGCCACTTGTCACCCCTCAAAACTCTGCTCTCGGCCAATGCCAGGAAGGCCATCCCTCCCATTAATTAGCACATAGTAGGCATGGCGCGGTGGCTCACGCCTGTAATCCCAGCACTTTGGGGGGCCGAGGCAGGCGGATCACGAGGTCAGGAGAAACCCTGTCTCTAATAAAAATACAAAAAATTAGCCGGGCGAGGTGGCGGGCGCCTGTAGTCCCATCTACTCGGGAGGCTGAGGCAGGAGAATGGCGTGAACCTGGGAGGTGGAGCTTGCAGTGAGCCAAGATCGCGCCACTGCACTCCAGCCTGGGCGACAAAGCAAGACTCTGTCTAAAAATAAATAAATAAATAAAAAATCAGCACATGGTAATCACAGGAGTGTTCAACAGTACTAGCACCCCATGCACAGAGTACGTCCCCTGGGCCTGGGCCAGGCACCTCTCAAAGCTCTCTGCAAGGGACATACACAATTTTCTCTCCAGAACAACGTTGTTGGAAGATATTACTGTCCCCATTTTACAGATGAGCAAAGTAACACAGAGGTTCGTTATCTCTGCTTAATACATATGAACAAGCAATTGCCAGAAAAAGGAGCAGTGATGAGGAATTTACATGAGGAAATGAGCCTGGGATCCCTGACACTCAAGGAAGTGCCTCATGCTCCTTCCAGATTGGCAAGAGAAATACCCAGTGTTAACAAGAGTGAGAAATGGGCAATTCAGATGCCATTAGCACGAGTTCAAATTGTAGCAACTTAGGTGAGCCTATCAGAATTTAAATTTCAACCTGAGACATCCATTTTTAGCATCTACCATAGAGAAATATTCAGGAATCTAAAGCAGAAATTCTTTAACTTCATTCCTTCTTGACCTGGTCCTCTTAGCTCTCAGACCTCATCTCTTGCCATTTGCTACCCTGTCTCTACTAAAGCACCTCTCTGCTTCTTATAGAAGGCAGTGTCATAAAACGCATGGTTGGGGTTTGTCCCTTGTTTCTGGCACAGAACTCATAAGACCTTTAAAATTTGCTGAGTGACAGAAGCGTCTTTTGTGCCTGGGCGAGATGGCTCACGCTTGTAATCCCAGCACTTTGGGAGGCCAAGGCAGGCGAATCTCAAAGAAAAAAGTGTCTTTTGTTATTTGTAAGAGGCCCCTTTCAATCCTACCTGCGTTTATGCTAATAAGGTTACTTAGGGAAGAACCCCTAGATGGCCTCAGGATGGGGCTGGCCACCAGCAAGACTAAGTGATTAGATGGTGGGAACTTTTTTTTTTTTGAGACAGAGTCTTGCTCTGTCGCCCAGGCTGCAGTGTAGTGGTGCAGCTTGCTGCAACCTCCACCTCCCAGGTTCCAGTGATTCTCCTGCCTCAGCCTCCTGGGTAGCTGGGATTACAGGCATGCACAACCATGCCTGGCTAATTTTTGTATTTTTAGTAGAGACAAGGTTTCACCATGTTGGCCCGGCTGGTCTTGAACTCCTAACCTCACGTGATCTGCCCTCCTCAGCCTCCCAAAATGCTGGGATTACAGGTGTGAGCCACCACGCCCAGCCACCGTATCTTATGTAAAGTGCTGATTTACTGAGGACAAGACGAATGCGTAATTGACTATTTCCTTACCTACTCCTTTTCTCTTGCAACATGTGGATTACCGTACCCTCCCTATTTCCCCTCCAGCTCACTTTTCCCCTTTAAATATTGGAGCTCTCAAATGTATCGTTGGAGAAAGGCACAAGCCACAGGCTGCTTCTGTGATTCCATGTTTTTTTCTTCCGGGCATGTCCTTAATCTTGGCAAAATAAACTTCTAAACTGATTGAGGTCCGTATCAGATACCTTTTAGTTAACACTACAAAACACAAGACAGTCTCCTACAACAAAGAATTATCCAGCCCACAAAGTCAGTAGAGCCAAGACTGAGAAACCCTGACATAAAAAGAGAGAGCTGGCTGGGCACAATGGCTCACGCCTGTAATCCCAATACTTTGAGAGGCCGAGGCAGGAGGATCACTTGAGGTCAGAAGTTGGAGACCAGTCTGGACAACATGATGAAACCCTCTCTCTACTAAAAATAGAGAAATTAGCTGGGTGTGGTGGCGGAGGCAGGAGGATCACTTGAGGTCAGAAGTCAGAGACCAGTCTGGACAACATGATGAAACCCTGTCTCTACTAAAAAGAGAAAAATTAGCTGGGTGTGGTGGCAGGCGCCTGTAATACCAGCTACTTGGGAGGCTGAGGCATGAGAATCACCTGGGAGGCAGAGGTTGCAGTGAGCTGAGATTGTGCCACTGCACTCCAGCCTGGGCAACAGAGCAAGACTCTCAAAAAATGAACAAAGCGTAAGGTAGATCTACACAAACTGGCCTGGAAAGAGCTCTAAAGCAAAATGCTAATTGAAAAATAATCAACTTTCTGAAAAATAACTACATCTTGATTCCGCTGCTATATTGAAAAAAAAAAAAGCCCGCTAAGTTATGTTTCTAAACGTGCAAGTATCTATATGTGCAGGAGTTTTTGTCCCTGGGTAGTTGGAGCATTCACCAACCCAGAAGCTCTCAGAATCTTTTTGTTCAAAAGGTGGATAGAGCTCCATCTCCAGCCCTGGTCCACTCCCTGGAGGTCAGAGGGCAGAGCTGAAAGTGCCCACTCTCTAATCACTTAGTCTTGCTGGTGGCCAGCCCCATCCTGTCATGACTGTGACTATAGGAGCAGAAATGAGATTAGTGGTGAGATGAAGACACATCTTGCTTTACATTCCATATACTTTTTTATTTTTTGAATTTGCCATGCTTGTATCCATATATTACCTGTGTCATTAAAAAAAGTTTGGGCCTGGTGCAGTGGCTCACGCCTGTAATCCCAGTACTTTGGGAGGCCAAGGCGGGTGGATCACTTGAGATCAGGAGTTCTAGACCAGCTTGACCAACATGGTGAAACCCCATCTCTACTAAAAATACAAAATTAACCTGGCATGGTGGCACATGCCTATAATCCCAGCTACTTGGGAAGTGGAAGCAGGAGAATTGCTTGAACCTGGGAGGCAGAGGTTGCAGTGAGCCGAGATCGTGCCATTGCACTCCAGCCTAGGCAATAAGAGTGAAACTCTGTCTCAAAAAAAAAAAAAGTTTGTCTTAGGTAACAACAGATCATTTTAATCAGTTCTTCAAAATCAACACTAATTTTAAATTCTTTAGTTTAAATTAATCGCAGTCATTCCTCCCTAAGGTGATAGTCACAACTGATTCAGATTTGAGTGGGGGAGGGGTGGGGGCGGGGTTCCTGAAACTCCTTAATCATACGTTTCCAAGCAGTTTCTTGGGTTGGGTTATTTCTGCATGAACCAATGTCATTATGACTTTTTCCCTGGAAAAAAAGAAATAGTACAAAATTTTAAATGTACAAAAAGGTCAAAGAGTGAAAAGTAAACTTTCCTCCACCCCTCACCCCATCCTTCAGCCACCAATTCCCCTCCCTTACCATTGTCTTGAGTATCTTTTTTTTTAATTGAATAGAGATGGGATCTTACTATGCTGCCCAGGTTGGTCTCAAAATCCTGGCCTCGAGCAATCTTCCAGCCCCAGCATCCCAAAGTCCTGGAATTACAGGTGTGAGCCACTGCGCGCCCTGCCTTGAGTATCTTTTTAAAGATATTCTGGCTGGGTGCGGTGGCTCACACCTGGAATCCCAGCACTTTGGGAGGCCGAGGCAGGAGAATCCCCTGAGATCAGGAGTTCAAGACCAGCCTGGCCAACATGATGAAACCCCGTCTCTACTAAAAATACCAAAAATTGGCCGGGCGTAGTGGCGGGCACCTGTAATCCCAGCTACTCAGGAGGCTGAGACGGGAGAATCGCTTGAACCCAGGAGGCAGAGGTTACAGTGAGCCAAGATCATGCCATTGCACTCCAGCCTGGGCAACAAGAGCAAAACTCCGTCTCAAAAAAAAAAAAAAAGAAAGAAAGAAAGAAAGAAAAGAAAAGAAAAAGATATTCTATGCACATACAGACCCCTGTGACAGCTGAGTATACCATTCTACTTCTTACCTTGATTTCCTCATCAATATGACCTAAAAATAATACATAGGCAGCTGCCTCCTTCTCATTTGTTACTATAATTTATTTCTTTTCACACGTGTGCCAAACTTAACTAAGTCTTCCTTTGTTGGGTCATTACGTTGTTTCAAACATTTTTCTTCTACAAACAATACAACAAATATTCTTGCTCACAGGTATTGTCCCCATGTAGGAGTAGATATGGGATGTATATATAATATGCCAACTCTTCCTACTTTTATTCTTAGAGATTAATTCGTCTGGGGCTCCCCTAATTCTATGTGTTTTGTTCAAAGTACTCCACCTTTGTGGATTTACAATAATGAGATGTGTTATGGACTGAAGTGTGAACCCTGCCTCCCACCAAAATTCATATGTTGAAGCTCTAACCCCTAATGTGACTATATTTGGAGATGGGGCCTCTTAGGATGTAATTAAATTCAATGAGGCCCTTAAGGTGGGACCCTAATTCAGTATGGCCAGTGTTCCCATGAGAAGAAAAAGGCAGGCCGGAAGCAGTGGCTCACGCCTGTAATCCCAGCACTTTGGGAGACCGAGGTGGGCAGATCAGGAGGTCAGGAGTTCGAGACCAGCCTGGCCAACATGGTGAAACCCTGTCTTTACTAAAAATACAAAAATTAGCTGGGTGTGGTGGCGGGCACCTGTAATCCCAGCTACTCAGGAGGCTGAGGCAGAAGAATCGTTTGAACCTGGGAGGCGGAGGTTGCATTGAGCTGAGATCATGCCATTGCACTCCATCCTGGGTGACAGGGCAAGACTCTGTCTCAAAAAAGAAAGAAAAGAAGAAAGAAAGAAAAGAAAGAAAGAAAGAAAAAGAAAGAGAGAAAGAAAGAAAGGAAGAAAGAAAGAAAGGAAGGAAGGAAGGAGAGAGAGAGAAAGAAGGAAAGAAAGAAAGAAGGAAGGAAGGAAAGAAAGAAAGAAAGAAAAGAAAGAAAGAAAAAGAAAGAAAGAGGCACCAGAGATGAGTGGACACAGAGAAAACGCTGTATGAGGACATGGCAGGAGGGTCATCTGCAAGCCAAGAAGAGAAGACTCAGAAAAAACCAACCCTGCTGTATAACCACCCAATGGGTTTACCTTGCCAGCTGCCTAGACAGAGCCAATTTATCAAGACAGGGAAATTGCAATGGAGAAAGTAATTTATGCAGAGCTGGCTGTGCGGGAGACCGGAGTTTTATTACTACCCAAATCAGTCTCCCAGAGCATTCAAGCATTCAGGGATCAGAGTTTTTAAAGATAATTTGGCGGGTAGGGGTTTGGGAAGTGGGGAGTTCTGATTGGTCAGGTTGGAGATGGAATCATAGGGGGTCGAAGTGAGTTTTTCCTGTGTGTTTGTTTGTTTGTTTGTTTGAGATGGAGTTTCCCTCTTGTTGTCCAGGCTGGAGTGCAATGGTGCGATCTCGGCTCACTGCAACCTCCGTCTCCCAGGTTCAAGCGATTCTCCTGTCTCAACCTCCCAAGTAGCTGGGATTACAAGCTCGCAACACCACACCCAGCTAATATTGTAGTTTTATTAGAGACAGGGTTTTGCCACGTTGGTCAGGTTGGTCTCAAACTCCTGACCTCAAGTGATCCGCCCACCTCGGCCTCCCAAAGTGCTGGGATTACAGGAGTGAGCCACCACGCCCAGCCCGAAGTGACTTTTTCTTGATGTTCTCTGTTGCTGGGTGGGAAGGCAGAACTGGTTGAGCTAGGTTACCAGTCTGGATGGTATCAGCTAATCCATATAGTGCAGGGTCTGCAAAATATCACAAGCACTGATCTTAGGTTTTAAAATAGTGATATTATCCCCAAGAACAATTTGGGGAGGTTTGGACTCTTGGAGCCAGAGGCTGCGTGACCCCTATCTGTAATTTCTAATCTTGTAGCTAATTTGTTAGTCTTGCAAAGGCAGACTAGTCCCCAGGCAAGAAGGGGGTCTTTTAGGGAAAGGGCTATTATCAATTTTATTTCAGAGTCAAACCATGAACGGAATTCCTTCCTAAAGTTAGTTCGGCCTATGCCCAGGAATGAACAAGGACAGCTTGAAGGTTAGAAGCAAGATGGAGTCGGCTTTCACTGCCATAATTTACTCAATTGTAACTTTGCAAAGGCGGTTTCACTGGCATCTTGATCTTATACTTCCAGCCTCCAGACTGTGAGAAAATAAATTTCTATTGTTTAAGCCTCCCCAGCCTGTGTGTTTTGTTATAGCAGCCCTAGCAGACAAATACAATATGCTATTGTTGGTAGATAATGTGCTTACAAAAAGTTAGTTAAGAAATTGTTTACTATGTTATACTGTATTTCTGAGTAATTCACCTTTGCTTTTTGGGGGTTTGGTTTTTTATTTTTGAGATGGAGTTTCACTCTGTCGCCCAGGCTGGAGTGCAGTGGTGTGATCTCAGCTCACAGCAACCTCTCTGCCACCTCTCTGCCTCCTCCACCCACTTGTTCTTCTATGTATACTTCATTTGCATAGAATTATAACTTTGTAACTTCACCCTAGCCAACCAATTGCTGCCAAAAAAGCAACCTATCAGACATTTGCACAGAAGTGTGACCTATGTAACTTCACTTCAGCCTCTGTTCGGCTGCTGTCCACAACCAATCAGACTGATTGTTGGCTACCACTTCATTTACATGAGGTGAGTATGAAGTGGCCAATGGGAAATTTCTAGGCGGTATTTGAACGCAAGAAGATTCTGTATCTGGGCCCTTGACCCACTGCTTGGCTAGAACCCACACTGTGGAGTGTACTTTTCATTTTCAGTAAATCCCTGCTTTCATTCTTTTGTTGCTTCATTCTTTTTTTTGCTTTGCTGGGCAATTTGTCCAGTTCTTTGTTCAAAATGACAAGAACCTGGACAATTTTCAGTCATGACCCTCTAGCGGTGACAAAAACAACCATTATTTGTCCATGTCCACCTTCTTACACCATACACTTACCCTTTTCACAAATAGCTCACTAGCCAGCCAGCACAAACACACACGAGGACTTTTTTTAAAATATTTGAGACAGTCATTCTCTATTGCCCAGGCTGCAGGGCAGTGGCATGACCTTGGCTCAGCTCACTGCAACCTCCGCCTCCTGGGTTCAGGCAATTCTCTTGCCTCAGTCTCCCGAGTAGCTGGGATTACAGGTGTCCACCACCACACCCAGTTATTTTTGTAATTTTAGTAGAGACAGGGCTTCACCATGTTGGTCAAGTTGGTCTCAAACTCCTGACCTCAAGTGATCCGCCCACCTAGGCCTCCCAAAGTGCTGGGACTACAGGTGTGAGCCACTGGATATTCTTCATATAAGTACATACAGAAGATCTTGATGCCTTTGCTTTGTCTGGATTGAAGTGCCTAAAGGACTTTCTAATGGTAATACTCTGACCTGTGAGAACCTCTGGTAGAAGCCAAGGAGCATACAGTAAACACAAGGGTGAAGTCCCTGTAATCACAGTTGACCCAAAGATCGGGAAGGAACAGACACAGTGAGGCAGAGGCAAGCCTTAACAACGGAAACAATGTATTTGAGAACATATGCTCCAAAAACTACTAGATTTTACAAAATCATGTGTTAAGTCACAAAGTTTAGACTGTGTATGTGTTATACATACATACATATGTATATACATATAACATATGGATATGTAAAAATTGTATTGTAACATATATAATCTGAGGTATATGTATCTGTTATATATAAGTAACATATGTATAACCTATATATATGAATTTCATGTATAACGTAAGTATACGATAATGAATACAAGTAACATATACAAACATATATATAACCTATATTATATATAATATATATGGTTTTATTTTATTTTATTTTATTTTATTTTATTTTATTGAGATAGAGTCTTTCTCTGTCGCCCAGGCTGGAGTGCAGTGGCATAATCTTGGCTCACTGCAACCTCTGCCTCCAGGTGTTCAAGCGATTCTCCTGCCTTAGCCTCCCGAGTAGCTGAGATAACAGGCACGTACCACCATGCTGAGCTACTTTTTGTATTTTTAGTAGAGATGGGGTTTCACCATGTTGGCCAGGCTGGTCTCAAACTCCTGCCCTCAAGTAATCCTCCTGCCTCAGCCTCCCGAAGTGCTGGGATTACAAGCATGAGCCACCAAGCCTGACCTATATGTAGATATAGTATATATAATATATATAACATTTGCTCATTCTAACAATATTTAGTGGCAAACTATACATGTGCCGAGCCCTGTGATCCCTATAATGTGTGTTGTTAGTCTACAATCTTCATCCAAACGTTCTTAAAATGAATGCAAAAAATCAACATTCAATAAGTAGGAGGTGGCTCACACCTGTAGTTACAGCACTTTGGGAGGATAAGGTAGGAAAATTATCTGAGGCCACGATGTTGAGTCCAGCCTGGACAACAGAGCAGGACCCTTTCTCGACAAAAAAAAATTTACATTAGGCGGGCATGGTGGTGCATGCCTGTAGTTCCACCTGCTTGGGAGGCTAAAGCAGGAGGATTGCTTGAGCCCAGGAGGTCAAGGCTGCACTCCAGCCTGGGTGACAGTGAGACCCTGTCTTGAAAGGAAAGAAGGAAGGAAAGAAAAAGAGAAAAGCAAGGAAGAAAGGAAGGAAGGAGGGAGGGAGGGGGGAGGGAAGGAAAGGAAGGAAGGAAGGAAGGAAGGATTCATTTAAGTAGACTAAAAAAGCAATTTTTGGCTGGGTGTGATGGCTCATGCCTGTAATCCCAGCACTTTGGGAGGCCTAGATGGGTGGATCACTTGAGGTCAGGAGCTCGAGACCAGCCTGGCCAATATGGTGAAACCTCATCTCTACTAAAAATACAAAAATTAGCCAGGTGTGGTAGCACATGACTAGTCTCAGCTACTTGGGAGGCTGAGGTGAGAGAATCGCTTAAACCTGGGAGGCGGAGGTTGCAGTGAGCTGAGATCCCACCACTGCATTCCAGCCTGAGCAACAGAGGAAGACTTCGTCTGAAAAAAATAATTAAAAATAAATAAATAAATAAAATAAAAAAGCAGGCCAGGCACAGTGGCTCACGCCTGTAATCCCAGCACTTTGGGAGGCTGAGGCAGGCAGATCATTTGAGGACAGGAGTTCGAGACCAGCCTGGCCAACATGGTGAAACTTCCAGCTCTACTAAAAATATACGAATTAACCAGGCATGGTGGCGCATGCCTGTAATCCCAGCTACTCAGGAGGCTGAGACAGCAGAACTGCTTGGGCTCAGGAGACAGACGTTGCAGTGAGCAGAGATTGCGCCATTGCACTCCAGCCTGGGTGACAGCACAAGACTCCACCTAAAAAAAAAAAAAAAAGAAGGCAATTTTTTTTTCAAGCCTAGATCTTTTCGGGTCAGCCCAATGTAGCCAGTCAAGCAGATCTGCCTTTTCTCAAAATAACCATTTCACATTTCATCTGCAATAGAGTAAATACACCAAGATCAGGATCAGTGATATATAAGGGAGTTATCATGCACATTTATTAGAAAGCATTTTTAGATTATCAACTCCCTTTCCTGCTACATCTTACAGAGTGAAACAAACAACTTTAAAGGAAATGGCCAGTTTCTGACCTAGTTGATCATATTTGATAAGAATTTTAAAATGGGGCCAGGCACAGCGGCACACACCTGTAATCCAAGCATGTTAGGAGGATCACTTGAGCCCAACTGTTTGAGACCATCCCGGGCAACACAGCAAGACCTCGATTCTATCACAAAATGTAAAAAGTGTGGTAGCATGCACCTGTGATCTCAGCTACTCAGGAGGCCAAGGTGGGAGGATCGCTTGAGCCCAGGAGGTTGAGACTTTAGTCAGTAATGATGGTGCCACTGCACTCCAGCCTGGGCAACATTGCAAGACCTTGTTTGAAAAAAACAAGATAAAATAAAATAAAAATAAAGAATAAACTGGACTACCTTGTACAATTTCCCAAATCTCTAAGAAAAGAAGAATAGAAGTCCCAGTGCATTGTTAAATCACCATTGTCATCTTGCCTGTTTTGTCATCTCAGACATTCCCCTCATTTGTTTGGTTTGTATTATGCCTTAACTCCCCACAAATACTCTTGCCATTCCCACTCTGCTGTTGTCTTGGGCCCTCGTTGCTTTGCCCAGGATTTCTGACACTGCTCCGTTCTCCCAGTGAACCGATTAATTCTGCACATTGCTGTCCAGGTAAGTGTCCCCTCTCAAAAGCCTTCCCTGGCCCATAGCATTGCTGTGTGTGCAGCGCCCCCTGCGGCAGTTATGTGCTTTGAACAAGTTAATAACTTCTCTGTGCCATTTCCCTCTCTGCAACATGACACATGTATGTGCTTAGAAGAATGCCTGTCCCCTTTTCACTCTGTCACCCACGCTGCAGTACAGTGGCACTATTATGGCTACTGCAGCCTCAACCTCCCAGGCTCAAGTGATCCTCTCACCTCAGCCTTTCAAGTAGCTGGGACTACAGCTGCACACCATCACGCCCAGTTAATTTGTGTATTTTTTTGTAGACACTAGGTCTCACTATGTTGCCCAGACTGGTCTTGAACTCCTGGGCTCAAGTGATCCTCCCAGCACTTTGGGAGACTGAGGCGGGTGGATCACTGAGGGCCAAGAGTTCGAGACCACTCTGGCCAACACAGCGAAACCCCGTCTTTACTAAAAATACAAAAATTAGTCAGGCGTGGTGGCGCAAGCCTGTGATCCCAGCTACTCGGGAGGCTGAGGCATGAGTATCACTTGAACCCAGGAGGCAGAGGTTGCAGTGAGCCAAGATCATGCCACTGCACTCCAGCCTGGGTGAGACATTGAGACTCTGTCTAAAAAACAAAACAAAACAAAAACCAAAGTGCTGAGATTGCAGGCATGAGCCACCACGCCTGGCCAGAATACCTGGTTTTTAAGGGCAATGCAAATGCCAGTTACTGTTGCTGTTGTCCGTGCTGTTATTCTTAACCCCTCAGCCTTCCAAATTGTAGGACAGCCTTCCTGTCATTGTTGACTTGTAACTATTTATATTAGCCTACTGTAGGTCAAATTCATGATTTGTCCCATGTATGTCTTGAACTTTTCCATTCTCACATTTTTGCCCTTCTCGAAACATCTGCCCCAACCACCTCCACCTGTCAAAACCTTACTAATTCTTCAAAACACACTCCCAAATGTCCCTTCCTTCTTGAAGTGATCCGAGTTCCTTTGAATTACACCCATTCCCCATCCAGCAATGTGGAGTTGTTCCTGCCCATGACATACACATCAACATAGAACTTTTAACACGTTTGTTATTCTTCTACCTCATGTTTGTGGTTATTTGTGTATAAATGGAAGTAAACCACACAAGGGCATAATTATATGTGTATCCTTAATGGCCTCCAACCCACATAAAATCATGATTAATGGTAGTTTAATGAAAAATATCTATAAGAATAAAACTAAGGGAAACTGTTCAGAGTTCACTTTTGCATTTTATTATGAAATTTTTCATGAAGAATGGTTGATTAATGAGTACAAAAATACAGTTAAAAGAACAATACCTAGTGCTCAATAAATCAGTAGAGTGACTATAGTAAACAATAAACTATTACCCATTTCAAAACAGTTAATAGAGAATAATTTGAATGTTCCCAGCATAAAAGAAAAAGATTTAAGGTGATTAATATCCCAATTACCCTGATTTGATTATTACACATTATGTAAATTTATTAAAATATCACATGTATCCCCCCCAAATATCTACATCTATTATGTATCAATTTTTTTAAGTAAAAAAATATAGATGGGTTACTACCAAAGGGAAAAAAGATTTTTTGGTGATATAATCAAAATTATAGCACTAAAATGAAGACCATGAATTAGTAAAACAAAAAAAGAAAATTTTAGGAGAACACCTAGAAAAGACTCTATGGCCCAGAAAAGACAGAGCATATGTGGAACACACAAGAAGACCTAATGCCTAGAGAGAAAAGAGTTCAAAGAAGAAAGCATGGTCAAAATCATGATCCTGCTTTGCTGAGCTCAAAACTCAAAATGTCCTGCATCTTTGTGCTTGAATGACATTGTACCAGTTGCCCATGTGACTACCTTAATAATAGGAAGAATTACTTAAACTACAGAGATGAGAACCAAGCAGAAAAGTGCCATGAAGTCTGGGTGACAGGGAGACAGCAGGGAGCACACGGGATGGGATGGAGGAAAGCCACAGCAAGGGGAGCAAGCTGCCTCCCTGCGGCACCTGCAGACCCGCAGTCTTACCAACAGCATGAGTGGCTACAGCCCCTGCCCAGAGGCTGGGTTCCCACCTAGCAGCAGCATTGCTTCTGGCAGCAGCACTTCTGCTGACAGCATCCCTTCTGCTGGCAACAGCCCTTCCCATAGCCACAGCCACACGAGCTGCAGGTGCGGCGGCAGCAGCAGATCACGGGAGTGCTGCAGCAGCCTCCACAGCAGCCACGGCAGCAGGGGCAGCAGCTGGAGCAGCAGCCCACCCGGTAGCACCTGCAGGTGGTGCAGCTGCCACAGCCACCACCGCAGCCACCACCGCCGCAGCCACCACCGCAGCCACCACCACAGCCACCACTGCAGCCACCACAGCCACCACCGCAGCCACCACACCCACAGCAACCCATGGTGTCAGTAGAGAGGACTGAGGAGAAGCGAGGATAGAGGGCTCAGGAGAGATGAAGAGGTCTGATGCCGCCTTCTGTCCGGGGAAGCCCTTATATAGCAACTCCAGCAAGCCAAGCCCAATATGTGGCCCATTTCTTGTTGTTGTTTATCCTATTTCTTGTTGTTGTTTATGAGATCTCATAAAAGATCTCATGAGTTGTCTTACGCCCTACCTTGTGAACATCTTAACAAGCTAATATTGCTAAATTTAACTTTTGCTCATCTCTTAAACCTCTGTTTGGATGAGAACACACCTCTAAGATGTTTGTGTTTGCAAGAACTTAAATGTGTGTTAGGGCTTAAAATAGTGCCCGACACATTGTAAGTATTCAATAGGTATCTTTTGAATTAAATAAATGCCTAGAACATTTAAGAATAATCTTCATTTCTTTATAATCATGAGAGTCTGAATCCAGAGCCAGGTAAAAAGTCTTGTGTCTCTGTTGATACTTCTCAGTTGTCACAGGTTGGACAAAACATTGTTTTTCTCTCTGTTGGAATTCATCACACAGTCTTATGATATTAAAAAAAAACCTTCTTGGCTGGGCACGGTGGCTCACGCCTGCAATCCCAGCACTTTGGGATGCCGAGGCGGGTGGATCACCTGAGGTCGGGAGTTCAAGACCAGCCTGACCAACATGGAGAAACCCCATCTCTACCAAAAATACGAAATTAGCCAGGTATGGTGGCACATGCCTGTAATCCTAGCTACTTGGGAGGCTGAGGCAGGAGAATCACTTGAACCCAGGAGGTGGAGGTCACGGTGAGCTGAGATCATGCCATTGCACTCCAGCCTGGGAGACAGAGGGAGACTCTGTTTCAAAAAAAAAAAATTAGACCAGCTACTCAGGAGGCTGAGGCAGGAGAATCACTTGAACCTGGGAGGCAGAGGTTGCAGTGAGCCAAGATTGTGCCATTGCACTCCAGCCTGGGTGACAGAGTGAAATTCCATCTAAAAAAAAGAAAGAAACAGAGTAGGCATTTCTGAATGTATTACCTTGCACCTTATATCTCACCTTAAAACACAAATATTCTCTTTTCTAGCTCCTTGGGATTTTTCATTCACCAGAAGAATTGCTTGATCATAAAAAATTCCAAAAAAAATATTGTGCTATGTGAAATGCTAAAAACGCAATTATTTAGGGCCTACTCCTAAGTCATCTCCCAAGGGTGAGGTTTCTGTTTGTTGTTTATCTGTTAAATAATTGGGAAAACAAAAGCAACAAAGTTTACATTTGGTGGCTGGCCTTCTCTCGTGCCTCTCTCACGTTTAAGACCCATGGGGAGGCTCCAGGCTTAGGCCTGCCCACGCACTAATGGAATGTTTATTTGGAATGATCCCATTCGGTCCAACTGACTCTACCTGTCAGGCCTCCATTTCCTGCCCCAGGTAGCCCGTGGGTGTGAGTAAGTCAGTAGGGTAAGGTTCTTGCCTGACTATCTCCAGAGTTAAAGGCCTGCCCGGCTAATCTCTATTCTCCAGACAACGCACAGAAGAGGCCCATGCGGTGGAGACCCCGCAGTCCCTCTTGGAACTTACGCTGCAGGTTCTGATCAACAACCACCAGGCTCTGCAGGGGGCTGCATGTCCCCCAGGATGTCGGTGTCCGTGGTTTTACAACTGGCACCTCTTTCATAAGCTGACTTTTTGAAAGCAGAAGAAAGGCTTAAGACACCCTCCCTTGATCTACCTCTCACAGGTGTGGGGCTATGAGGAGTCCTCCTGCTCTCTGTTTTGTCTGCCCAGTGCCCTACATGAGACACTCGTATAATGTCTATGATGCCCACAGTAGAGACATAAGGGCCAGACTCCCTCAGTTGGTTCCTGCTACTTCCAGACCTGCCTGCCCTGCTGTATGAGATGGCTGTCCTTTTTGTTTCATTTTGTTCCTTGATTTTTTGAGACAGGGTCCTGCTCAGTCACACAGACTAGAGTGCAATGGTGCAATCATAGCTCACTGCAGCCTCAGGCTCCTTGGGTTCAAGTGCTTCTCCATCTTCAGCCTCCCAGTAGCTGGGACTATAGACCCATGCCACCAGGTTCAGCTACAGACGGCTGACTCTGGACTCTGTCTGGGGACCTTGTTTTTGTGCTCTTCTCCCTTTTCTTTTTAGATGGAGTTTCACTCAGTCGCCCAGGGTGAAGTGCAGTGGCACAATCTTCACTCACTACAACCTCTGCCTCCTAGGTTCAAGCAATTCTCATGCCTCAGCCTCCCAAGTAGCTGGGATTACAGACGTGCACCACCACACCTGGCTAATTTTTGTATTTTTAGCAGAGACAGGGTTTCACCATGTTGGCCAGGCTGGTCTCGAATTCCCGACATCAGGTGATCCACCCACCTCAGCCTTCCAAAATGTTGGGAGTGTAGGCATGATCCACCACTCCCGGCCTGTGGTGTGCTTTTGACATCACAGCTAAGAAGTATTAATGACCTCAGTAACCCCTAACCAGGGAGAGCAGCGCTCCTAATTCTTCTACTTTCCTGGACCCATGTGTCTTCCAACACATACACAATAGCTTTGGGGCTGGGCTGGGAGATGTCAGGCAAAAACAGCAGCAGTGACAGCATGACAATGGCTGCCCTCCCCTCTCTGTGGAATGCAGATGTCTGATTTTTCAATTGGCCAAAATCTTCAATGTCTCAGGGTTCCTGTAGGCTGAGAGTGAAGTTATTTGGGGGAAGTATCAGGGGATTCTTGGGCTCAAGTTTGCTCAGGCCATAGGTTTCAGTAAGTAATTCACCCTAATCTTATTCTCTGCAAGTGTTCAGCATTTATTATTATTATTATTATCATTATTTGAGACGGAGTCTCACTCTGTTGCCCAGGCTGGAGTGTAGTGGCGCGATTTCAGCTCACCGTAACCTCCACCTCCCAGATTCAAGTGATTCTCTTGCCTCAATCTCCTGAGTAGCTGGGACCACAGGCACGCAATACCACACCTGGTTAATTTTTGTGTTTTTTTAAGTAGAGACACGGTTTCACTACGTAGGCCAGGCTGGTCTTGAACTCCTGACTTCAGGTAATCCACCCGCCTCATCCTCCTAAAGTGCTGGGATTACAGGTGTGAGCCACATCACCCAGCATGTCTTCAGAATTCTTATAGCTCATGCCCAGAACATCTTTGCTCAGGGAATTAGACCACATCTACAACCATTGCTTAGATTCCCAGGGAAACACAACCTAGATGGGACACCTGCCTCAAAACACGTTCACAACAGAGTTGAGGGTTGTTCCAAAATGCACGCTATGGATAGTAACAGCACTTTCCCAAACACTTCAGAAGGTGCCACACCTAGACATCAGCAGCTGCCTCTACCTCTTTCCTGAGTCCACCTGTTGTCATGTCAGGTTATGGAAATTGGCATAGAACATTGAAAAAGAAAAATGGGGAAAATTGAGTGGTTTTTCTCTCCTCTAAATTTTTTTTTCTGAATTTAGAATAATAAATATAAGTTCATTATAAACAATTTTAAAATACAGAAAAACGTAAAGGAGAAAATTAATAGTGCCTGTAATAACCACTTTTACCATTTTGTCGTATTTTCTTCCATCATTTTCCTATGCCTTTTAAAAATGGAGATGGGGTCTTGCTATGTTGTCCAGGCTGGTCTTCAGCTCCTGGGCTCAAGCAGTCCTCCTGTCTTGGCCTCCCGAAATGCTGAGATTACAGGCATAAGCCACTTCACATTGCTCCATCATTTTTCTATGTTTTGTTTTTTTCCAATATTTGTATTTTGTAGAATCTTAAACCCACAGAAAATTTGCAAGAATATTATAGTAAAATCCTGTATACCATTTACTTAAGTTAACCAGTAGTTAACATTTTGCCATACATTTCATTTTAGTTCTCTCTCTTTCATTTTATTTTATTTTATTTTATATTACATTTTTGTAGAGATGGGGTCTGGCTATGTTGCCCATACTGGTCTTGAACTCCTGGCCTCAAACCATCCATCCACTTCAGCCTTCCAAAGCATTGAGATTACAGAAGTGGGCCACTGCACCCAGCCTTCTCTCTCCCATTTGAATGAAAGTAAGTTGAAGAGGAATACTACAAATTTTAGTAAGTGTCTCCCAAAAGGGAGATTCTCCTATAGAACTACAATACTATTATCACACTTGAGAGATTTAAAAGTGACACGTTTTTATGTAATGTTTAACCAATCTTAAATTTCCCTAATTATCCCAAGAATGTCCTATAATTTGGAATTGCATTTTTAATAATTTTTCATGTCAGATCCAATCAAAGATGTATTTTTATTGAACTTTAATCTAGAACGGTTTTCCAGCATTTTATTTTTGTCCTGGAGAGTTGTTTTGCAAAATAACCCTCAACAGAGATTTGGCTTATTGTTTCCTCGTGGTCAGGTTCTGGTTAAACGTTTTTGCAGAAATATTACACAGTTGATGTGTTTTCCTCAGTGCATCACATCAACAAGTGTGTGATGTTAATTGATCCCATTTCTAGTGATATTAAATTTTATCACCCAATTAACATGATGTCCACCAGATTTTGCCATTGCTAATCTACTGTTTTCTTTTCTTTTTTTTTTTAATTATTTGTTTTTTCTTTGAGATGGAGTTTTGCTCTTGTCACTCAGGCTGGAGTGCAATGGCGCCATCTCAGCTCACTGCAATGGCGCCATCTCAGCTCACTGCGACCTCCACCTCCCAGGTTCAAGTGATTCTCCTGCCTCAGTCTCCCGAGTAGCTGGGATTACAGGCATGTGCCACCACGCCCAGCTAATTTTTATATTTTTAGTAGAGATGGGGTTTCACCATATTGGCTGGGCTGGTCTCAAACTCCCGACCTCAGGTGGTCTGACCACCTCGGCCTCCCAGAGTGCTGGTTATACAGGCATGAGCCACAGCACCTGGGTTCTTTTTTCTTTTAATTAACATAGACTATTACCTTGATTTTTTTTTTTTTTTTTTTTTTTGAAATGGAGTCTTGCTCTGTCGCCCAAGCTAGAGTGCAATAGCGCCATCTGGGCTCAGCCTCCCGTGTAGCTGGGATTACAGGCACGTGCCACGATGCCTGGCTAAATTTTTGTATTTTTAGTAGAGAGAGGGTTTCACCATTTTGGCCAGGCTGATCTTGAATTCCTGACCTCAGGTGATCTGCCCACCTTGGCCTCTCAAAGTACTGGGATTACAGATGTGAGCCATCATGCCCGGCTATTTCCTTGAATTTATATGGCAAAATTAAAAATATTGTGAATATATAATTTTGTATCCCGGTTTTTAACTTAACATTTAATCATATACAATTACCCTCATTATTAAATATTTGCTTTTCAGAAACTGTTTCTTAATGACCACATAAACGCCAATTATGTATGTAACTTCTGTAAATTACCTCATATTCACCACTAAGCTCCCTAAGCAATTAAACATTTAGCTAACCATCTGGAAGAATAAACCTGGATACCAACCACCACCACCACAACAATAACAAAATGACAAAAATGGGTTTTTTCCTTCTTTTTTTTTTTTGAGACAGGGTGTCAATCTGTCACCCAGGCTAGAGTGACAGTGGCACCATCATAGCTCGCTGCACCCTCGAACTCCTGGGTTCAAACAGTCCTCCTGCCTAATCCTCCCAAGTAGGTAGGATATCAGGCATGAATCACCACACTCAGCTAATTTTTATTTTTATTTTTTTGTAGAGACAGGGTCTCACTGTGTTGCCCAGGCTGGTCTTGAACTCTTGGCCTCAAGCGATCCTCATGCCTCAGCCTCCCAAAGTGCTGACATTACAGTTGGGAGCCACTCTACTCAGTGTTTTTGGTTTTTTGTTTTTTTACTTATTTTGAAATTATAATAGACTTTTGGTTGCAAAAATAGCATAGAGAGGGCCCACGTACTCTTAGTCCAGCTTCCGTCAAGGATAACATCTTACACAACTAGAGTATGACATAAAATGATTTTTTAAGTAAAACCCTTGCATCATGCCATAAAACCCTTGCATCATGCCAAATCTCCATAAATTCCGGATTAAGTATTGAAATATAAAAAAGTAAGGCAATAGAGGTAGTATAAAAAATATGGGAGAATAGTATTATATTCCTGGGCTGTGGAATACCTTGCTTAATATGGCACCAATACCAAAAATCATACGCATTGGGGTGATCAGACCCAACACCAGGTCGCGCGGGCAACAAAGTCTGGCGGAGTCAAAGGATTGAGAAAAAGACAGTTTGAGAAGTAAAGTGGGACCAGGGTGCCATCGCGATTATGGAGGCGGCGAAGGCCCCGAGCTCTAGGAGCCCACGCTATTTATTGGTAATCCAACAAAGAAACCGGCAGTGAGAATGTGGGGGTCAAAAGGGCAGACACATGATCCACAGCTGTGATAGTTTAGTGTTTATATGGACCATGTTCTGCTACTTGAGATAATGCGAATACGATTGATCTGGGAGCCTAGGAGGGCTAGAAGCAAGGAGCCAGCAAGTCTAGACACATTCCAGAGGACATTATTTCAGACATGCAAGCCCTGCCTCAGTTTTTTCCCCAACACTCAGCTTTTTCCCAACAATATGGAAAAAAATTGAGAGATGTGACTTATAAAATGTTTAAATTTCTGACAAAAACAAAGCTTCAAAATTTCTGAAACTGGGGAAAATATATATGCATATAGGACAAAAGATTAATATCTTTATATGTAAGGAACTTTTATAAATTCACATAGGGAAATATGTAAAGGAAGAATCAGGCATTTTAAAAAGAAATACAAATAAGAGCTCCTTGAAAAATGAATGATTCCAGGCTGGGCACGGTGGCTCATGTCTATAATACCAGCATTTTGGGAGGCCTAGGCGGGCAGATCACTTGAGGTCAGGAGTTCAAGACTAGCCTGATCAACCTGGTGAAACACCACTCTACTAAAAATACAGAAGTTAGCCAGGTGTGGTGGTGGGCACTTGTAGTCCCAGCTACTTGGGAGGCTGAGGCAGGATAATCGCTTGAACCCGGAGGGCAGAGGTCGCAGTGAGCCAAGATCACGCCACTGCACTGCAGCCTAGGTGACAGAGTGAGACTTCATCTCGAAATCTCGAAAAAAAAAAGAAAGAAAGAAAAGAAAAGAAAAATGAATGATTCCAAGCCAGGCATGGTGGCTCACGCCTGTAATCCCAACACTTTGGGAGGCCAAGGCGGGTGGATCACTTGAGATCAGGAGTTTGAGGCCAGCCTGAGCAACACAGCAAAACCCCATCTCTAACTAAAAATATAGAAAATCAACCAGATGTGGTAGCATGTGCCTGAAGTCCCAGCTACTTAAGAGGCTGAGGCATGAGAATTGCTTGAATCCAGGAGGCAGAGGTTGCAGTGAGCCAGGATTCTGCCTCTATACTCCAGTTTGGGTGAGAGCAAGACTCTGTCTCAAAATAAAAAATAAATAAATAAAATGATTCCAGATTTGGGGCATAAAATGTACGGGATAAGCCTGGAATATCTTGTCACACCAGAAAACAAGGAAGCTACCAAAGGGTAATGGGTTCATATCAAGACAACAATTTAAGCATCAAAAAGAAAAATGGCTACAGTGAGCTAAAACACATAAATTTTTTTTAAATCTATGAGTTCATAATAATAGCAAATTTTTAAGAAATCCTCATTGGTCATCTTTGGAAGATGCTAAGAAATTAACACATTATTTTGAAATAGATATTTTTAATGGTAGGAGGAGAATTAGGCATTTATTCTTCTTTTCCTAAATGAACTGTACCTCAGAGTAAGCAAAGAGTTGAGGAGGGGACATTTCTTTTCTTTTCTTTGTTTTCTTTTTTTTTTTTTTTTTTTTTTAGTATTAGAGACAGTGTCTCACTATGTTGCTCATGCTGATCTCAAAGTCCTGGCCTCAAGTGATCCTCCTACCTTGGCCTCCCAAGGTGCTGGGATTATAGGTGTGAGCCACCCCACCCAGCCCACATTTCTTTCTATAAAGGTATTCCAACAAATAGATGAGGAAAAAGTAGAATATCAATCACCATTTTGCAACCCAAATGAATTAATGGATGTAGGCAGTGACTAACAGCAGGTGCCACTATCATTCAAAGAGAGACAATTAGAATTATATGCTTCCTGGTGGAGGAACCCAACACCACACATGAAGCATTCTTGTCCAAAAATAGAAACTGAATCTTAATAAGCCTCTAGATCTAATTACATGGGGATGCAATTATCAAAATTCAAAATTTGACCATGGAAAACTCACAGGAGAAACACAATTCAAGGAGAGAGAAAGAGAGGGAGATGGAGGGGGAACTACAGATTAAGAGAGTCATTCAGGCCGGGCACGGTGGCTCACGCCTGTAATCCCAACACTTTGGGAGCCCAAGACGGGCAGATCACTTCAGGTCAGGAGTTCAAGACCAGCCTAGCCAACATGATGAAACCCCATCTCTACTAAAAATACTAAAAATTAGCTGGGCATGGTGGCATACACCTGTAATCCCAGCCATTCGGGAAGCTGAGGCAGGAGAATCACTTGAACCTAGGAGGTGGAGGCTGCAGTGAGTCGATATTGTGCCACTGTACTCCGGCCTGGGTGACAGAGTGAGACTCTGTCTCAAAAAATAAATCAATTGATTAATTTAAAAAAATAGAGTAGAGTTGCATTTCCATTGAATTTTCCCAATATCCCTGGGCAATACAGTGAGACCCCATCTCTACAAAAAATTAGCTAGGTGTGGTGGCATGCACCTGTGGTCTCAGCTACTCGAGAGGCTGAAGTGAAAGGATCACCTGAGCCCAGGAGGTTGAGGCTGTAGTGAGCCGTGAGCAAGCCACTGCACTCCTGCCTGGGTGACACAGCAAGAGTCTGTCTCAAAGAAAAAAAAAAATTCCTTCAATAATGATGGCTGGATTCACCTGCATCTTTTTTGCTGGAATTTTATCCCTCTGGTAGTGACCTCTGCACTATGTACTCTCTGAGCTCATCTTTCTCTGAGAGTTTCCTGGGGTGCCAGGTCACACATCTAGGCAGGCAGAGACTACCCGCTACCGCACCACATCACACGCAGCATTGCTCTGCTTCTGGCCTCTTCATCAGGGAGCCTGCTGTCTTCCTGTCATCAGCTCTCAGGGGTCCCAGGTCTGCTGGGCTGACCCAACTCTCCTAGCATCCACTGCTTTCACCCCATTCCAACTAAGCTCCCCTTCTCTGTTCTCTATCCCAAGAGTGGAACAGGGTCTTCCTTTAGTTCCCTACAACCTTTCAGAACCCAGATCATAATTATTGGCAAGTCTCTAGTAAAGGTTCAAAGACAACCCAGAGTAGTTTAAAGTCATGGTCAAATACAACCTCTGGGTGCCTCTTACAAGTACTTAACCTCTATCCCATGCTGCCTGCATTGGGCAGCACCAGCCAGCTCCCTCCTCCCAAGGAATGCCCTCAAGCATCTTTGCTCCCCTTGGAGTCTGGTCAGGAACCACAGTTCAACTGCAATGAAAGGAGGAGGATGCCCCAACCTTTGGGAGGGCTTCACCCCCTTTTCAGTTCCCAGATCTGCCTCAGCTCCAGGTGATGGACAGCTAAAACATCTGCTCCCTTCAGGGTCTCCCACCCCTCTCCTACCCACACCAGAGTGGGCTTGTCCCCTGCCCAAGTTCACAGCTGGACAATTACTCAGGACTCAATAAACCAACATTATTACCTCCTGATACTTGGAGTATTTCATTTCAAGCATTGCACGTGTGGGATATGAATATTACTTCTTTGTTGAAATGTGTCAAACTCTGTCCTATTTGTGATTTCAGTCCCTCATTCAGCAGGAGGTTAAAATCAAACTGTGGCATCTTTTGTAGAGACCTGAAGTCAGTACTCCAGACCAGTTGTGAGCATCGGCTTAAATAAAAGCACACACACTCCCCACCCTCCAGGCAGGGAGCCACCTGAGTCTAAGCAGAGAAAAAAACACATCTATCCTAACGGCTCCATATCAACACGACAGAAATATATTCCAAATTGGCATGACCGAATGGAAACGGTGTCTGCCTCTGCATAAGCAAGGGGCAAATACTTATCTGCTTGTGGACCCAAACCAAAGGAACTGCACCTTGAAGGTAATGGATGTCTCCACATCTGAGAAGAATGAGAAGAATGCTGCTTTCAACTTTTATATAAAACCTCTCCTGCTCTCACCAAAGTTTTACAGGGGACACAATTATAGAAGGGAAGACAGTTAACAACTGAAAATTTACATGTTAGAAACTGAACACTTGAAATTCCCACCAGCAATCCCTACTCACACCCCAAAAAAGCACATGATTTTCTTGCAGATATGCCCTTTATTTTGGGGGATGAGGCAGGGGTTGAGACAGGTCTTGCTCTGTCTCCCAGGCTGGAGTTCAGTGACGCGCTCATAAGTCATTGCAGCCTTGACCTCCCAGGCTCAAGCAATCCTCCCACCTTAGCCTCCTGAGTAGATGGCACCACAAGCGCGCACCCACCATGCCTGGCCAACACCTTTTCTAGTTAATCTCAATAAACAGCAACTCCATCCTTTTGGCTGCACAGGCCAAAAATACGTTGGTGCCACCTTGACTCCTATTTTCCTCTCACACCCTACACTGGATGTATCAGCAAATCCACTTGACATTACCAGAGCTGAATCCTCTCTTGACCTACGCCCCTACCCCACAGGTTCAGGCTGCCTCACCCCTACCCAGCAAGAGCTTCCTCAAGATGGCCCAGGTCCTACCTTGGACCCTCCTGTGGTCAATTCTCAAGGCACTGTTTGGAGTAATCCTTTTATAAAGGAAGGCAGAGGATCCCTTCCCAGCTTCCCTGCTTTTCTCACAGTCAAAGCTGGTTTACAGTGACCTAAAATTGTCCCCGAGAAATGCCAACAACACCCTCTCCATTACTTCACTGAACTCGGTACTCCTGACACTCCCATTAAGTGGGTGCTGGTTGAACTGCCTTTTCACTGTTCCCTTCCCACTTTCTGGAGTGTTCTTGCCCCAGAGAACTGGATAGTTCACTTCTTCATCACTTTCTAGTCTTTGATGGAATGTCAGGTTCTACCTGAGTCCTATTTGGACCACCCAATTGGAAATTGAAATCCCATCCACCATTCCTTCAATCCCAATCTCTCATACTGTGCTCTATTTTTTTTTATAATGGTTACCACATTTTAACATATGCCATTTTTTTCTTTTTCTTTTTTTAATTTATTATTATTATACTTTAAGTTCTAGGGTACACGTACACAAAGTGTAGGTTTGTTACATATGTATACATCTGCCATGTTGGTGTGCTGCATCCATTAACTCGTCATTTACATTAGGTATATCTCCTAACGCTATCCCTCCCCCAGCCCCCCACCCCACAACAGGCCCCATTGTGTGATGTTCCCCATCCTGTATCCAAGTTTTCTCATTGTTCAATTTCCACCTATGAGTGAGAACATGCGGTGTTTGGTTTTCTGTCCTTGCAAAAGTTTGCTCAGAATGATGGTTTCCAGCTTCATCCATGTCCCTACAAGGGACATTAACTCATCCTTTTTTATGGCTGCATAGTATTCCATGGTGTATATGTGCCACATTTTCTTAATCCAGTCTATCATTGTTGGACATTTGGGTTGGTTCCAAGTCTTTGCTATTGTGAATAGTGCCGCAATAAACATACGTGTGTATGTGTCTTTATAGCAGCATGAATTATAATCCTTTGGGTATATACCCAGTAATGGGATGGCTGGGTCAAATGGTATTTCTAGTTCTAGATCCTTGAGGAATCGCCACACTGTCTTCCACAATGGTTGAACTAGTTTACACTCCCACCAACAGTGTAAAAGCGTTCTTATTTCTCCACATCCTCTTCAGCACCTGATGTTATCCTGACTTTTTAATGATTGCCATTCTAACTGGTGTGAGATATCTCATTGTGGTTTTGATTTGCATTTCTCTGATGGCCAGTGATGATGAGCTTTTTTTCATGTGTCTGTTGGCTGCATAAATGTTGTCTTTTGAGAAGTGTCTGTTCATATCCTTTCCCCACTTTTTGATGGGTTTGTTTGATTTTTTCTTGTAAATTTGTTTGAGTTCTTTGTAGATTCTGGGTATTAGCCTTTTGTCAGATGGGTAGATTGCAAACATTTTCTCCCATTCTGTAGGCTGCCTGTTCACTCTGATGGTAGTTTCTTTTGCTGTGCAGAAGCTCTTTAGTTTAATTAGATCCCATTTCTCAATTTTGGCTTTTGTTGCCATTGCTTTTGATGCTTTAGACATGAAGTCCTTGCCTATGCCTATGTCCTGAATGGTAATGCTTAGGTTTTCTTCTAGGGTTTTTATGGTTTTAGGTCTGACATTTAAGTCTTTAATCCATCTTGAATTAATTTTTGTAGAAGGTGTAAGGAAGGGATCCAGTTTCAGCTTTCTATATATGGCCAGCCAGTTTTCCAAGCACCATTTATTAAATAGGGAATCCTTTCCCCATTTCTTGTTTTCATCAGGTTTGTCAAAGATCAGATGGTTGTAGATGTGTGGTATTATTTCTGAGGGCTCTGTTCTGTTCCATTGGTCTATATCTCTGTTTTGGTACCAGTACCATGCTGTTTTGGTTACTGTAGCCTTGTAGTGTAGTTTGAAGTCAGGTAGCGTGATGCTTCCAGCTTTGTTCTTTTGACTTAGGATTGTCTTGGCAATGCGGGCTCTTTTTTGGTTCCATATGAACTTTAAAGTAGTTTTTTCCAGTTCTGTGAAGAAACTCATTGGTAGCTTGATGGGGATGGCATTGAATCTATAAATTACCTTGGGCAGTATGGCCATTTCACAATATTGATTCTTCCTACCCATGAGCATGGAATGTTCTTCTATTTGTTTGTGTCCTCTTTTATTTTGTTGAGCAGTGGTTTGTAATTCTCCTTGAAGAGGTCCTTCACATCCCTTGTAAGTTGGATTCCTAGGTATTTTATTCTCTTTGCAGCAATTGTGAATGGGAGTTCACTCATGATTTGGCTCTCTGTCTGTTATTGGTGTATAAGAATGCTTGTGATTTTTGTACATTGATTTTGTATCCTGAGACTTTGCTGAAGTTGCCTATCAGCTTAAGGAGATTTTGGGCTGAGATGATGGGGTTTTCTAACTATATAATCATGTCATCTGCAAACAGGGACAATTTGACTTCCTTTTTTCCTAATTGAATACCCTTTATTTCTTTCTCCTGCCTGATTGCCCTGGCCAGAACTTCCAACACTATGTTGAATAGGAGTGGTGAGAGATGGCATCCCTGTCTTGTGCCAGTTTTCAAAGAGAATGCTTCCAGTTTTTGCCCATTCAGTATGATATTGACTGTGGGTTTGTCATAAATGGCTCTTATTATTTTGAGATATGTCCCATCAATACCTAATTTATTGAGAGTTTTTAGCATGAAAGGCTCTTGAATTTTGTCGAAAGCCTTTTCTGCATCTATTGAGATAATCATGTGGTTTTTGTCTTTGGTTCTGTTTATATGATGGATTACGTGTATTGATTTGCATATGTTGAACCAGCCTTGCATCCCAGGGATGAAGCCCACTTGATCATGGTGGATAAAATTTTTGATGTACTGCTGCATTCAGTTTGCCAGAACATATACCATTTTTTAAGGGGCAGAGGAAACAATGGTTTGTGTGCCCTTTTGGTTCATAGAACACTTTAAACATAGCCTTCTTTATTTAATTTGTTAATTATTTTAATGATGTAACTGTTCAGGACTTTGACAGTATGATCTAACATAAGGCTCCTCCTGCCCAACCTGTCCTCCTGCCCTCCTACACCCAAGGTAGTCCTTGCCCTAAAGCTTGTGTTCAGCCAGGAGTGGTGGCTCACACCTGTAATCCCAACATTTTGGGAGGCAGAGGCAGGAGGATTGCTTGAGCTCAGGAATTTGAGATTGGGCAACATAGCAAGAACTAATTGCTATTAAACTTAAAAGTTAGCCAGGCGTGGCGGAGCATACTTGTAGTCTCAGCTACTCAGGAGGCTGAGGCAGGAGGATCACTTGAACCTAGGAGATCAAGGCTACAGTGAGCCATAATCGTGACACCACACTACAGCCTGGGCAACAGAATAAGACCCTGTCTCAAAAACAAAAACAGAAAAAGCTTGTGTTTGTTATTCCTTTGCATTTCTTTGGACATGGTTTTACTACATCCACTTACATTCCATTTCTGTTTATTTACTCTCCAGATGATAGGAAGTCCCGTTGTTTCCAGGTTTTTGCTATTTTTGACAGTGCTACTGTGAGCATTCTTGTATGTATCTATAGAATTTACACACACTTAGGAATGAAATTCCTGAGTCTTGTGGAAATAAATGACAACCCACCAAATTAGTCCAGGTAAAGGCTATTTAATTATGCTTGCCATAGCAAAGTGATGGTTTGCCACAGCATCCCCTCTGTTTTCGTGGACACTCAAAGGCAGGCGGAGGAGTGGGAAAGCTTTATACCAGAAGAAGGGAAGGTTTCAGGTATGCCCAGATGAGAGGCTTTTGGTATGGGACATTGCAGACAGACTAACTAGAAGCAGGGCATCTTATGTGATTCATTAGGAGTGCATATTCGACTCTCTCTAATTGGTCTTATATTGGAAAAAGGGAATAAGAATTAGGGAAACTGCCAGTTATTACTCAAATCCTGGCCATCTGGGGCTTGTTTTCACGTGTCCTACTGTGCCCACCGCAGTGTCTGATGCAAAGTTTGTGATTGCCAGATATATGCTGAAACAAATTCATCTACTTTATATTATTACCTGGTTCTTTTGATCCACATATTGATGCTGAAACTGACAGGCAATAACAAGAAATAACCACCAAGTCAGCACTGTAGCCCCTCATCTTTTAGGTCCCTACAGAAACACACTTGAGTCAGGCAAGAAGTGCCCATTTTTCCTTGACTCTTATGAAACTCTCATAACAGCCTCTCTTTGGAAGCATCCGTGGTGTTACTATTTAATGCAGACTTTGAACTTGCCCCTGGACTAGCATCTTCTACGGTTCTTTTCACTGTAGCATTTCTGAGGTATCTACTTTCTGTGAGTGCTTCCAAGAATGGAAGAGAAAGAGAAGAGACCTCTGTGGTCCAGGAGCAAGAATCAGTAAATTACCTTTCTCAGGCCCAGGGTGGCTGCCAACACCACGGAGAAGTCTTCTGTCCCTTTCTCCATCCCTTGCTTTCAACAGGGAAGAGAGTTGAGCTCAAAATTCTAATGGATATCTCATTTAATAAAGGACACTACATTCAGAAGATGGGTTTTTCAACATACACCATATGTGGCTTCACTTTCAGGGGACTTACAGATGTGGTATGAAAGCCACCCCTTGTGAACTCTGTATTTTTTTGTTCTTATAATATTCTTACTTACTTGTGATAGAATATAATTAAAGTAGGGCTAAGCGCAGTGGCTCACGCCTGTAATCCCAAAACTTTGGGAGGCCAAGGCCAACTCACCTGAGGTTGGGAGTTCGAGACCAGCCTGGCCAACAAAGTGAAACCCCATCTCTGCTAAACATACAAAAATTAGCCAGGTGTGGTAGTGGGCACTGGTAATCCCAGCTACTCAGGAGGCAGAGGCGGGAGAATCGCTTGAACCCAGGAGGCGGAGGTGGCAGTCAGCCGAGATCACGCCACTGCACTCCAGCCTGGGCAACAGAGTGAGACTCCATCTCAAAAAAAAAAAGGAAAAAAATATATATATACAAAATTAAAGTGGATATAGTGCCTTAGCAGGTCACAACTTTTACTAATAGATTTATTCCAGTATGGCCACATTAGTATTTTGTGACCATAATCTACCAGAAAGACAATTAACTAGTACTGATGATGAATTTTTTTTAATTTCATTGAACTGTAATTAAATTTTAGTCTGTTAATAGAACCAAAACCAAAATAACCAAGACCTAAATAGCTTTAGGTATTGAATTTCATCTGGCTATAGATGCTGAGGTTAAACTCTGTTAGAAAATTTGAATCTAAGGGTAGAGAGAAAGTGATGAAATAAGATCTCATTGATAGTTTTCTGAATCTTTTTTCTAATTCAGATAGAAGCCAACAAACTTTTACCACTGTGTGAAAACCTGTTAGGAACAGATTATTCATGATTTCTTCTCTTTTCTTTTCTTTTTTTTTTTTTTTGACAGAGTCTCACTCTGTTGCCCAGGCTGGAGTTCAGCGGTATGATCTCAGCTCACTGCAACCCTCACCTCCCAGGTTCAAAGTGATTCTCCTGCCTCAATCTCCCAAGCAGCTGGGACCACAGGCACACACCACCACACCCAGCTAATTTTTTGTATTTTTAGTAGAGATGGGTTTCACCATGTTGACCAGGCTGGTCTCGAAGTCCTGGCCTTAAAAGTCACCCACCTCAGCCTCCCAAAGTGCTGGAATTACAGGTGTGAGCCACTGCACCCAGTTTATTAGTGATTATTCTTTTCTTTCTTTCTTTTTTTTTTTTTTTTGAGATGGAGTCTCGCTTTGTCACACAGGCTGGAGTGCAGTGGTGCCATCTCAGCTCACTGCAACCTCCACCTCCCGGGTTCAAGTGATTCTCCTGCCTCAGCCTCGCAAGTAGCTGGGACTACAGGCACCCATCACCATACCTGGCTAATTTTTGTATTTTTAGTAAAGACAGGGTTTCACCATATTGGTCAGGCTGGTCTCGAACTCCTGAACTCCGCCCGCCTCGGCCTCCCAAAGTGCTTTAATTACAGGCGTGAGCCACCGCACCCAGTCTGTTAGTTATTATTCTAAAGCCATCACAAACAAACATACGGAGTGTTAGTTTTCTAGATTTCATCGCATCTTTCCTTTAGACACATTAGAAGAATGAAAGAAAGAAGGAGATGTCCATGAATCTTTAATGCCAATTTTATGTGGTTAATTGGGAAAATATTGTCTCAGGTTTACAGAAACAGAAAGCAGGAGCAGACATGCAGGATACAGAAACTACAGAAAGGAGGGAAAAGGAATGGAAACAAACATTTCAACAGTAAAATTTCAAGAAAACATAGCATTAAAAATATCCCTCTGTTTTTTTTTGGACTCATACTTTGATTGGTGATTGATAGAGAAGGTTTGTGTTGGTGGTTTTCACGTGCAGGCAGGATCTCAGAGACCAGGGAATGTGGATAAAACTTCTTGTGACTTTCAAATCAGAGAAGCCTGGCAGGAGGGAGAGAAAATTTACCAACAGGACAGTTCGTTACCTGCAGCATCTTCCCAGAGGCCGGGGGCCCGCCTAGCAGCAGCATTGCTTCTGGCAGCAGCCTTTCTGCTGGCAACAGCCCTTCCCACAGCCGCAGCCACATGAGCCGCAGGTGCGGCGGCAGCAGCAGATCACAGGTGTGCTGCAGCAGCCCCCACAGCAGCCGCGGCAGCAGGGGCAGCAGCTGGAGCAGCAGCCCACCCGGTAGCACCTGCAGGTGGTGCAGCTGCCACAGCCACCACCGCAGCCACCACCGCAGCCACCACCGCAGCCACCACAGCCACCACCGCAGCCACCACAACTTCCACAACCACAGCAACCCATGGTGTCAGTAAAGAGGACTCAGGTGAAGTGAGGAAGGAGGACTTGAGAGGTGAGGAGGTCTGATGCCTCCTTCTGCTGGGGGAGGCCCTTATGTACCAACTCTGGGAAGAGGAGAGGGAAGACACATGACCACTTCCTAGTTATTGTTTGGGTCAACTGTCATGGGAGGATCTCATAATATATTATTTACTGCCCTTTGGAATGGGAGCTAGGTTTATGAGATTACTTGTTTTGTTTATTTTCTGAGTCGAATGTCCTAAAAATTCCAGTAAGACCTCCTGAGAGCCATGGGAAAGGGGGTATTATCAACAGTTTTGGACACACTCAGAAAGCCCATATAGTACAACAGCAATGCTTGAATGGATGGTCCAACGTTCGAACAATGAATAAACATTATCAGGAGGCTATTCCTGTATAGTGCCCAGAAATTCTCTTACCAAAGACTGGAGAAATGGCAGGTGTCTCAGGCACATATGTCATTGCCAACTGCAGAAGCAGCCGGATACTCTCACTGGAGATTGTCCCCCTGAGAATGGAAGATTTTGCTCCCCACCACACAGTTATAAAGCCTGGCTCTATGTTTCATTATTCAGTATATTTAACGTTGTGTTGGCCAGGTGTGGTGGCTCATGCCTGTAATCGCAGCATTTTGGGAGACCAAGGCGGGTGGATCACCTGAGGTCAGGAGTTCGAGACCAGCCTGGCCAACATGGTGAACCCCCATCTCTACTAAAAAAAATACAGAAAGTTAGCTGGGCATGGTGGTGCATACCTGTAGTCCCAGCTACTTTGGAGGCTGAGGCAGGAGAATCACTTGAACCTGGGAGGCAGAGGTTGCAGCGAGCCAAGATTGCATCACTATACTCCAGCCTGGGTGACGGAGTGAGACTCTGGCTCAAGAAATAAACAAATAAATAAAATAACATTGTGTGATTGCTTATAAAGCACAAGTAAACCTTCGCAATGATACATCTTTTTTGATACAATTCACATGGCATTTAAAATAAGAAAGCATTTTGTAATTAGAATAAAGTATAAGTTTGGGGGCTTGAAAAGTTTTATCAATTACTGTCCAAGAGGAAAATCTACATGAAACATTATGTGGCTGACAACGGCAAATAGATCAAGAGAAATAAAAGCAAAAAGTTAAAAAAATAAAAGAGAGAGAGAGAATTAAATCCAATACTTTAGAAAAATAAAAGACTGCTTCAGGAAATGTAATTATATAGACTATTTGAGTTGAGCGAGCAATATTTATATTATAATAATCAAGTTACCATTGGTTATAGATATTACAAAAACTAGTAATACAAATATATTAGGAGTGACACAAGAGAGTTAAATCCCCATCCATCTTAACAGAAACTAACATTGGCAATTAAGAAATAAGGGAATTAGCTGGGCAGGGTGGCTCACGCCTGTAATCCCAGCACTTTGGGAGGCCGAGGTGGGCGGATCACGAGGTCAGGGGATCGAGACTATCCTGGCTAACACGGTGAAACCCCGTCTCTACTGAAAATACAAAAAATTAGCCAGGCATGGTGGCGGGCGCCTGTAGTCCCAGCTACTCGGGAGGCTGAGGCAGGAGAATGGCGTGACCCCGGGAGACAGAGCTTGCAGTGAGCCAAGATAGTGCCACTGCACTCCAGCCTGGGTGACAGAGTGAGACTCTGTCTCAAAAACAAAACAAAACAAAACAAAAAAACAAGCAAAAATGTCTTCGGATGTTGCTAAGTGTCTCCTGGGGGCAAAATTGCCCCTCATTGAGATCCACTGCTCTACAGAAATCTAAGGGATTTCTGTAGAAATCCCCACATCATAGCACTGTGGAAAAGGATGCCAGTTTAGGAATAGCCTTTGAAGGCTGCAAAAGGACTTTACATGAAGTTCTTCTTTTCTTTTAATTTTTTGGAGACAATTCCTAGGACATATGATTCTTTTTTTCTTCTTTGAGACCAAGTCTCATTCTGTTGCCCAGGCTGTCGAACCTCTGCCTCCCGGATTCAAGCCATTCTCGTGCCTCAGCCTTCCGCATAGCTGGGACGGCAGACATGAGCCACCACCTGGTTAATTTTTGTATTTTTTGTAGAGACAGGGTTTCACCATGTTAGTCAGGCTGGTCTCAAACTCCTGACCTCAGGTGATCTGCCTGTCTCAGCTTCCCAAAGTGCCGGGATTACAGGCATGAGCTACCACGCCCGGCAGGACGTATGATTCTGAAGGGGCTAAGTACCCAGGGTGGTGAAAGAAGACAAGAGTGAGCCTTGATGAAAACTATGGACTTTGGGTGATTATGATGTCTCACTGTAGGTTCACCAGTTGTAACAAATGTACCACCCTGGCATGGGATGTCAGTAGTGAAGGAGGTTGTGTTGGGGAGGACAGGGAATATATGGGAACTCTGTACTTTCAGCTCAATTATTATTATTATTATATTGCTATTATTTTTTGAGACAGAGTCTCACTCTGTCACCCAGGCTGGAGTGCAGTGGCTCGATCTCGGCTCACTGCAGCCTCTGTCTGTCGAGTTCAAGCAATTCTCTTGCCTCAGCCTCCCAAGTAGCTGGGACTACAGGTGCCCACTACCACGCCCAGCTAATTTTTGTATTTTTTAGTAGAGACGGGGTTTCACCATGTTGACCAGGCTGGCCTGGAACTCCAGACCTCAAGTGATCCACCCACCTCAGCCTCCCAAAGTGCTGGGATTACAGGTGTGAGCCACTGCACCCGGCCCTCAGCTCAATTTAGATGTGAACCAAAAATTGCTCTAAAAAATAAGGTCTTTTAAAAGTTTATGCATTATTTACCCTAAGCTAAGGAAACTGGGTCACATAGGGATCATGGCTTTTTTAGGGACATGAAACCAGCTGGTGGCAGAGGCTCTTAGCTACCTCATCCACTAATCCATGAGTATAGGACAAGAGGGGAACATGAGCCAGTGTGGGAAGCTCACTTTGAAATACACCGTGACCATCAACCCAAGATGGGTATCTTTCCCATATTTTGACTTGTGAATTAACAGCAAAAGTAAGTCTGAAAACAGGTGAGAAAGCCTTCTGAGATGTTAGCCAAGGGACCTTATGACATGTGAAGCTTTGAGTGTTTCCTTCATGAGGGATCTCACCTTCTCTTGCATTCTGCAGACACCACCTGAAAACAGAAAAGCCTTCCTTTAGAGGAGGGGGAAACCAAGGGAAAGATCCTCTCGGCGCCAAGGGATCCTGATTAATGGAAGATAGGAGATGGGCTTTCATCAAATGAGACTCATAGATCACACTTGAAAACTGCTAGGTTAAAACAAGACTAAATATTTAAGAAACAATTAGAAGCATAACCTGAGGAAGAAGTAAATGTGAAAATAAGCAATTTTATGAAGTCAGAGGTGTTCAATGAGGAAATACACTCAGGGTCTTGTGAAATTCCTCCAGGGAAGCTGGAGGAAACAAGGAAGTGGCCACCTGCCACATGTTAGGCCTGGAAGGGGTATTTAAGAGCCCCTGAAGCAAAGAACATCAGACCTCCTCACCTCTGCTGAGTCCTTCCTCGTCACTTCACCTGAGTCCTCTCTACTGACACCATGGGTTGCTGTGGGTGTGGTGGCTGCGGTGGTGGCTGCGGTGGCTGCGGTGGTGGCTGCAGTGGTGGCTGTGGTGGTGGCTGCGGTGGTGGCTGTGGCAGCTGCACCACCTGCAGGTGCTACCGGGTGGGCTGCTGCTCCAGCTGCTGCCCCTGCTGCCGCGGCTGCTGTGGAGGCTGCTGCAGCACGCCCGTGATCTGTTGCTGCCGCCGCACCTGCCACTCATGTGGCTGCGGCTGTGGCTGTGGGAAGGGCTGTTGCCAGCAGAAGGGCTGCTGTCAGCAGAAGGGCTGCTGCAAGAAGCAATGCTGCTGCTAGGCGGGCCAGCCTGGCTCTGCCTCTAGCCTAAGAAACGCTGAGGCTTTGCTCACAGAATTTGGTGAAACTTTCCTTCACCCTTCCTTTCTGCTTCTGTCCTGCCTCATCTGCCTGGATGCGTTGGAACTGCTCATGCTGTCCCTTGTAGTCTGAAGTGTCAGGATTGTTTTTCCTCCTTTGTGGTGGTATGTCTACTTCAATTCCTTCTCCCTGTATCTTCCAAGACTTAACATTATGCTATTATGCTATTGTGCTATTATGCTATTATTCTCCATCATTTTCGTAATCTTGTTTTCTTTTGGAAAAAAAGATAAAAGATTAGCATATGTTATCAACATAAGGGGTGGAAGCACAGCCACCCATGTCAAAAATATATTTGTATTCTGAGCTTAACAAAATAAAATCGTGAGAACTAATATTTCATTTTTTTGAAAAAAATTCTTATGATGGATTTATTGTTGTTTCATATTGCACATTCACTAACTTCTTTCCTGTTTCTGTGTCCCTGTTAAAAAAAAAAAGGCTACTCTTCCTTAATAAAAATAATAATCTCTCCATATTCTCAGGCATCTCTGTGTTCTGTAAGATGTACACCTTGCATTGGTGAGGCCAACAAAGCAAAAGACAACGGGTGATATGTAAAGATTTGGGATGGGTTTCAGTTAGTGGATGCCAGGTCCCATACTATGCTGTAGCAGATTTTACAATAAAGATAAAAAATTAGGAGTAAATTCCAACCTTTGGTCATCAGTGTCACTGACAGAAATTCCTGTGCTCGTCTACACATCTTCCCAGGATGTGGGTCCGTGTTGGGGTCAATGCAGTTTCCCCTTCAGCCTCCAAAGGTTCACTGAAAATCAACTCACAAAAAAGGTACATTCATTACAGAAAAGGCATACACCCAGAATTTTAGGAGGCGGCTGAGGCTGGTGGATGACTTGAGGCCAGGAGTTTGAAACCATCCTGGCCAACACTGTGAAACCCCATCTCTACTAAAAATACAAAAATTAGCTGGGTGTGGTGGCACATGTCTGTAATCCCAGCTACTCGGGAGACTGAGGCACACAAGAATTGCTTGAACTGGGAGACGGAGGTTGCAGTGAGCTGAGATGGCATCACTGCAATCCACCCTGGAAGATTAAAAAAGAAAAAAAAGGTAAAGTCATAGAAATATATTAATGTTTGCACAGGGAGAATCACTGAGTGTACCCACCTCCCAACAGGGTTCAGAAGCTTATACACTGTGGGGGAAAGAAAGATAGATCAGATTGTTACCGTGCCTATATAGAAAAAGGAAGACATAAGAAACTGCATTTTGTTCTGTACTAAGAAAAATTATTCTGCCTTGAGTGCTGTTAATCTGTAACCCTAACCCCAACTCTGTGCTCGCAGAAACATGTGCTGTATTGACTCAAGGTTTAATGGATTTAGGGCTGTGCAGGACGTGCTTTGGTAAAAATGTGTTTGCAGGCAGTATGCTTGGTAAAAGTCATCGCCATTCTCCAGTCTCGAGTACCCAGGGACACCATGCACTGCGGAAGGCCGCAGGGACCTCTGCCCAAGAAAGCCTGGGTATGGTCCAAGGTTTTCCCCACTGAGACAGCCTGAGATATGGCCTCGTGGGAAGGGAAAGACCTGACCATCCCCCAGCCCGACATCCATAAAGGGTCTGTGCTAAGGAGAATTAGTGAAAGAGGAAGGCCTCTGTGCAGTTGAGATATGAGGAAGGCATCTGTCTCCTGCTCATCCCTGGGAATGGAATGTCTCGGTGTAAAACCCGATTGTACATTCTATTTACTGACATAAGAGAAAACACCTTATGGCTGGAGATGAGACATGCTGTTGGCAATACTGCTCTTTACTGCACTGAGATGTTTGTGTAAAGTCAAACATAATTCTGGCCTACGTGCACATCGAGGCACAGCACTTTTCCTTAAACTTATTTATGACACAGAGTCCTTGGCTCATATTTTCCTGCTGACCCTCTCCCCACCATTACCCCATAGTCCTGCCACATCCCCCTCGCCGAGAAGGTAGAGAGAGTGATCAATAAATGCTGAGGGAACTCAGAGACCAGAGCCGGCGCGGGTCCTCCGTATGCTGAGCGCCGGTCCCCTGGGCCCAGTGTTCTTTCTCTATACTTTGTCTCTGTGTCGTATTTCTTTTCTCAGTCTCTCGTCCCACCAAGAGATGAACGAGAAATACCCACAGGTGTGGAGAGGCTGGCCCCCTTCAATCTACCAGCCTGGCTAAACACATTATGGGAGGAGGAAGAAGAGGAATTCTGCTGAAGGACAATAAAGGATCAGGTACTGAGATTAATTTGTAAGTAGTTCTCTTTGACTGTGAGAGGGTCTATTCAAGTGTGGTTACATTCTTACTCTTACAAGGAGGGGAAGGAAAAACCATAGTTCCCCTTGGTGGGTCTAGATCTTAGGCAGACAGAAGACTTCAGCTTCTTCAGAAGAGACCTTGTCGGGGAGATCAGACAGACCCTTAGGCTTCTGCAGTTCGGTATCTCAAGGCACTGTATTTTGTGTTATCGGTTTATGAGCTCCAACATCTGCAACTGATTTATGATTGGGAGTGTTGGATGGTCCCAGTACGGCAGGTCACAGCTTCTCTCCAACTCTCTATGTGTTTTTTACTCATTCACTCAGCAAATATGTGGCTGCTCTATTAGGCCAGTTATCCAGCCAAGATAGAAATCTAAAGATAAGGCCAGGTGCGGTGGCTCACACCTATAATCCCAGCACTTTGGGAGATCGAGGCGGGCAGATCACCTGAGGTCAGGAGTTTGAGACTAGCCTGACTAACATGGTGAAACCCTGTCTCTACTAAAAATACAAAAATTAGCTGGCCGTAGTGGCAGGTGCGTGTAATCCCAGCTACTCGGGAGGCTGAGGCAGGAGAATCCCCTGAACCCAGGAGGCAGAGGTTGCAGTGAGCCAAGATCGACCCATTACACTACAGCCTGGGCAACACAGTGAGACTCCATCTCAAAAAAAAAAAAAAAAAAAAACTAAACAAATATTTGCCTTCAAAGAGTTAACATTTAAGAGTGAAACAGATAAATTAGCCTACTTGCAGTAATCCTAATGTGAGATTTTCTTTGCCTGGCCACCTTTTCTCCACTCCTATATCAACTATTCAAATAGACTTTTTTTTTTTTTTTTTTTTTTTTTTGAGACAGAGTCTCACTCTGTCACCCAGGCTGGAGTGCAGTGGCGTGATCTCGGCTCACTGCAACCTCCACCTCCTGGGTTCAAGCGATTCTTCTGCCTCAGCCTCCCAAGTAGCTGGGATTACAGGGGTGTGCCGCCACGCCTGGCTAATTTTTGCATTTTTCGTAGAGATGGGGTTTCGCCATGTTGGCCAGGCTAGTCTCGAACTCCTGACCTCAGGTGATCTACTCACCTGGGATTACAGGCGTGAGCTACCATGCCTGGCCTTGTATAGGTTTTCATGGACATAATTGCAGCCACATTTTTTAGTAACAGTGCAAGAGGAAGTATAATAGGGAGGTACACAGTGTTGAGCAACTCCCTAATACACTATGGCTCCCTCTCCTACTGTTCTCATTCAGCCTCCCTGTAGGTTCTTTCCCAAGTTGGAGCTCCAAGCCTCAGGCTTAGTCATCTTCTCCATCCTCTTCTCAGTGGGATCCACGGCACTTACCACTTTCTAACACACTATAAAATTCACTAACTCATCATGTTTACTATTTATGTTCCCTCTATATACCCCATCCCAAGCTAGAATGTAAATTACAAGGCAGAGATTTTTAGCTTTGTTCACGAATGTATCCCAAGCACCTAGGACAGTGTCTGGCACATAGTTACTCAATAAATAACTTCTTAATGAACAAATGATTTTTTTTTCTTTTTTGTGTATGGGTTTATTTGAGACAGGGTCTGGCTCTGTCACTCAGGCTGGAGTGCAATGGTGTGATCTCAGCTCATTGCAACCTCCACCTCTTTAGGCTCAAGCCAATCTCCCACTTCAGCCTCCCAAGTAGCTGGGACTACAGACGCATGCTACCACGTCTGGGTAATTTTTGTATTTTTGTAGAGACAGGGTCTCACTGTGTTGCCCAGGCTGGTCTTGAACTCCTGGGCTCAAGCGATGCACCCACCTCGGCTCCCCAAAGTGCTATATTACAGGCATTAGCCACTGTGCCCAGTCAGAATAAATGATTTTAAAACAATTTTGTATTATGGAAAATAAACATATACAAAAATGGAAAATAGTGCAATCAGTTTCTAAGAACTACTGCCCAAGTCAACAATAATCAACACACAGCCAATCTTTTGTCATCTATGACCCCATCCACAGCCTTCTCCCCACACAGTCGTATGGGATCAAACTCAAATGTCATGTCATGTAATCTGCAAATGTGTCATTTATGTTTCTATGCATGAATGAATGAATTCCTCAATATCTCTCTCTGATTTAGACTGTGGCTATGAGATATTAGAGAATCAGAGTAAACTTCTCAAGGTCCAATTTGAACTCATTTTCTTCAAGAGGTGTGAAGGAAATCATGACACCTTCAGCCTTTAAGAAAATTTCACAATATTCTTTGGGAGGACCCAGCAATTTGCAAGGTTGCACAATGAGCAGGGCACTCCTACACCTAAGGTTCAGCTCAGGACTTTTCACAAATCATAGGAAGATGAAAATAGAAAACGCAGAGTCGTAGGACAGAGAACCAAGACACCTCGGGGTGTTTTAATCCATTTCACTTCCACTGGTAGCCCTTAGAAGCCACGCAGTGTTTATCTTTAGGGAGGGTTTTTCAAGTCCACCAAGAGATGAACAGAAATAAAAATATTTTTTCCATTTTAACCAATAAGAACCTTGTAATGCTTTAAAAAAATTCTCTGTTTAATAAGAAGTTTCACTTTAATATATAAACTCTTTGCAGGCTAAGCGTAGTGGCTCATGCCTGTAATCCCAACACTTTGGGCGGGCAAGGCAGGAGGATCCTTTGAGCCCAGGAGTTCAAGACCAGCCTGGGCAAGATAGTGAGACTCTGTCTCTACCAAAAAAAAAAAACAAAAAAATTAATGTGACGTGGTGGCACCCACCTGCAAGCCCAGCTACTTGGGAGGCTGAGGCAGGAGGATCAGTGTGCCTGGGAGATTGAGGTTGCAGTGAGCTGGGGTTGCACCACTGCACTCCAGCCTGGGAGATAAAGTGAGACTTTGTCAAAAAAAAAAAAAAAAGAAAGAAAGAAAGAGAAAAGAAAAGAAAAGAGGCCAGGTGGCCGGGTGCTGTGGCTCACACCTGTAATCCTAGCACTTTGGGAGGCCGAGGCGGGTGGATCACCTGAGGTCAGGAGTTTGAGACCAGCCTGGACAACATGGTGAAACCCCATCTCTACTAAAAATACAAAAATTAGCTGGGTGTGGTGACGGGCGCCTGTAATCCCAGCTACTAGGGAGGCTGAGGCAGAAGAATTGCTGGAACCCGGGAGGTGGAGGTTGCAGTGAGCCAAGATCGTGCCATTGCACTCCAGCCCGGGGCCAACAACAGCGAGGCTCCATCTCAAAAAAAAAAAGAAAGAAAGAAAGAAAGAAAAAAGACCAGGCGCGGTGGCTCACGCCTGTAATCTCAGCACTTTGAGAGGCCGAGGCAGGCGGATCACGAGGCCAGGAGTTCGAGATGAGCCTGGCCAATATGGTGAAACCAAACCCCGTCTCTACTAAAAACACAAAAATTAACTGGGCGTTAATTTTTGGAGGCTGAGGCAGGAGAATCGCTTGAACCCGGGAGGCGGAGGGTTGTAGTGAGCCGAGATCGCGCCACTGCACTCCATCCTGGGCGACAGAGGGAGACTCTGTCTCAAAAAAAAAAAAAAGAAAGAAAGAAAAGAGAAAAGAAAAGAAAAAGAAGAAGAAAAGAAAAAATTGTTTGTATCAGATTTTCAAAGTGCCAGGAAACCATCCCACTCTACCTCCTTTAAAAAAAAAAAGTGCAGAGTGATTATAACCACTGGCTCTGGAGCCAGGAGCCCCAACTAAAACCCAGGCTTCTCTATTTACTAGGCCTACTTCCTTCCGCCTCACTTTCTTCATGTGTAGAGTGGGGGTGACAGCCAGCCAGCCCTCTCTCCTAAGCTTTTGGAGAGAAATAAATGGATTCATAAGAAAGGACATATTTGTAAATAAAGCAAACGATCGCTGTTGGATTCAGGCCCTCTTGCTTCATTATGCTGAATGTCAGTGTATTACTTAAGTTGTTCCTTTCAGCAGAGTTGACTGTTTCTGCCCAGAAAACCGGCCCTGGGCCAGGAAAATCTGGGCTTCCACACTGGGATGAAAGGTCTGGACGCCCGGATTCGCATATGCAAAGCGTGGGGGCGTGGCCCCGGGCTCCGGGCCAGGCAGGCTCCGCCCCCTTCCCACCAAGAGCGCCTGGATCCATCCGACAGCCGCGGGTGCGTGGTCGTGCGGCAAGTGAGCGATTTGGTGAACAGACACTCCCTTCTGTAGGTAAGAATATCTCGGGGGGCGAATTAATTGAAGAAGCACCGTCATCCCTCGGTCTTAGCAGTGTCGCCTCTCTCTTCCCGGGTTTGGAGAGCTGGGGGCGGGTTCCTGGCTCTGCGGGCCTGGGCTACACTCTGAGCCGCGTGAGGAGCTCTCCCCCTACGCCGCAGCCCGCGTGCTGGGATTCACCCAAGTGGGTTTGTCTGGAATTCCCATTTGCAGCCTTCTGGAAGCGCAGATTAAATAAAATCATGATTCCCGTAAAGTGCCAGCACCTCCTATGGTTACATCCCACGTTCACAGATTTTAACTGAAAAGGCATTTTAGCATAGAATTCCAAATTCCAATCCAAGGATGGAGAAAAGGTCCTTCCTAGTGGGAAAAAGGAAGGTGAGTTTGAATTTAAGAGAGCAGGGGCTTTTTTGGGAACCACTTGAAATTTAGTTAATTGAAACTAAAAGAAAACGCAACTACACCTTACAAAAACACTGCTGGAAAGGATACCTAAGTCATCAAATAATAAATAGTGTGACAGCTGTTTACCAAATCAATGTCGCTGCCGCAAATGTGCAAAAGGTTGGGACTTTCGGAGTGCTTCAAGTTTGAAAAAGGTAAAGGAATAATGTTTTCTAAAAGTACTCTCAGGCCAGGCGCAGTGGCTCACGCCTGTAATCCCAGCACTTTGGGAGGCTGAGCGGGGCGGATTGCTTGAGGTCAGGAATTCGAGACCAGCTTGGCCCTGGGATGAAACCCCGTCTCTACTAAAAAGGCAAAAATTAGCCGGGCATGGTGGCGGGTGCCTGTAATCCCAGCTACACTGGAGGCTGAGGCTGAAGAATGGCTTGAACTTGGGAGGCGAAGGTTGCAGTGAGCCAAGATTGCACCACTGCACTCCAGCCTGGGCGACCCAGCAAGATTCTGCCTCAAAAAAAAAAAAAAAAAAAAAAAAAAAGCACTCTCATGTGTTTTGCTCCTATCAATATTGAAACATTGGTGTCTCCTGTGGCAAAAGGTGTTTTTTTCATCGAGGCACATATATTAAATAGACCAAAACATAACTTCCCAAATATCTTATAAGATTATCCTAGTAGTAGCTGAAATGGACAAAAATACCAATTTCCTTCAGTCATTATTGCTAATAGACCAACAACACTCTTTTAAGGTTGTGTAATGGTAAATGCATACACATTTATTTAACATGCACACAGGGAGAATCAGAGTGATTGATTACCCACCCTGCAACATGTCTCAGAAGCTTATAGACTACCCTGGCAAATGAGGTTACGGGAGGGAGCCGAAGAGCATCCAGCAGAAGTGGATGGGCTTCTGCTAGGGAGCATGAATGGGTCAGGGGAGAGAATAAGCTACATTATCTTGTGAATGGGTCTGTTCAGGTGTGGGGTATATTCTTGGTCTTACAGGGAAGGGAAAAGAAACAGTTGTTCCTTTTGGTGGGTCTGGATCTTAGGCAGACAAAGGTTTTTTTGAGCTGGGAGCCGGGAAGGTCAGAGAGACCTTGAGGTCTCCAGCATGTCAAAGCCCCATATTTTGGGGTATCGGCTTCTGAGTCCCGGCACTTATTAGTGACGAAACTGATGAGTCTGTAGTAGCCAGATCAAAGAAGAACCCAAAGAATGGGTACATTCGTAGATCAGGAATATTGAATAATGAAATATAGATCAGGAATATTGAAACTGGTTTTCCATGGGGGAAAGGAAGACTGTTGTCCTTCATGGGATAAACCTTATTTGCATGTCTATAGACAATAATTACTTAACATTGCCATCAGTTGTTAAAATTTACAGAGTTGTAAAATAGCTCAAATGACCTCTAATTTTTCTTTAATCCAGTTTTTTCCCTACAACACCACCTTCTCTCAGTGCATTTAATCAGAAACTTTCACTGCATCTCAAGGATTAGATGTCAGCTGACTTTCCTTTTTTGTTTTGTTTTGTTTGGGGTTTTTGAAATTTTTTTTTTTTTTTTTTTTTTTTGAGACGGAGTCTCGCTCTTGTTGCCCAGGCTGGAGTGCAGTGGCTGGGATCTCGGCTCACCGCAGCCTTGACTTTCCCTGTTCAAGCAATCTTCCCACTTCAGTCTCCCAACTACCTGGCACTATAGGCACACACCACCATGCCTAGCTAATTTTTGTATTTTTTATAGAGGTGAGGTCTCGCTATTTTGCCCAGGCTGGGCTCAGTTGACTTTCTAAGCCGTTTTATGTTTTTCTTAGTTTTATGGTTTTCTTAGGCATATTCCTCCTGCTCTCCCTAAGACTAGATTGATCTGAACATAGACATAACAGAATAAACAGAATTTGGAAGGAAATGATTAATTTACCAGCAAACACCTCATGCAAATTAAAAGGAATGGTACCATATATGATAAAATAAAATCTGAAGCATCTTAAAGATCACTTGGGCTGGGTGCGGTGGCTCACACCTGTAATCCCAGCACTTTGGGAGGCCAAGGCAGGCGGATTTCTTGAGGCCAGGAGTTCAAGAGTAGCCTGGCCAACATGGCAAAGCCCCATCTTTACTAAAAATAAAATTTTAAAAATATCACTTGTTTCTGCTCTTACAAAAACAAACAACAGAACTATTCTGGCCCACATACTGAATATCTGGGTCTAGTTTACGTCTTTGGAAGTTGTGTGGCATGCTTTATTTCAGCAAAGATTTTTTTTTGGGGGGGGTGTGGGGTTTGACATAAAGGATTATAGATGGGTGATAAGGCTACTTTGTAGTTTTTTGAGAGTCTAGGTCACTTAGCACAAAATTCTATAGAAGCTAAATTAGGTGACTTTAGTAAGAATAGTCAGGGCAAGGCCAGGCACGGCGGCTCACACCTGTAATCCCAGCACTTTGAGTGGCTGAGGCGGGTGGAGCACTTGAGGTCAGGAGTTCAAAACCAGCCTGACCAACAAGGCAAAACCCTGTCTCTACTAAAAATACAAAAATTAGCCAGGCCTGGTGGCGGGTGCCTGTGGTCTCAGCTACTCAGGAGACTGAGGTGGGAGAATCGCTTGAACCCAGGAGGCAGTGGTTGCGGTGAGTGGGGAGATTGTGCCACTACACTCCAGACTCCAGCCTGGGTGACAGAGGGAGACTCTGTCTCAAAAAAAAAAAAAAAAAAAAAAAGAATAGTCAGGGAAAGGTGTTATTCATGTATTTATCTCTCTAATCACTTGTATTTCAGAAAGATCTGGATCTGGGTGTCTGCTTTTTTTTTTTTTTTTTTTTGGATGGGATTTCAAATGTCATCGGCTGCAGAAGAGGGTGGGCCCCAGTACATAAAGCCACCAGAAGTGGATGGGCTTCTGCGTATAAAGCTATTGCTCTTGGCAGCTCTGTCTGAAGGAGGAGGACAAGAGACTCCAGGGTATGGAAAGGGATTTTCATAGTGGCGGGCAGCAGGAAGGAGCAGAAGTTGGACCTGAAGGCAGGAAGCCAGCTTGGTTCTAGAAAGAAAGAAACTGGGGGCACAGAAAAAAACAGGTAACTCAAGGGATCCTCCTGCCTCAGCTTCTGAGATTCAGATTCTATCTGTATTAACTGAAAAATGTTATATGTGGCCAGACTTACAAGGTTTATTGCCCTGTCCTAGCTTTGCGTTACGGGCACTGTTTTCATCAGAAATGTTCTGGGACAGACTCAGTTTCAAAGATCCTGTTCAGTTTTCCTATTATACGGAGGCCTTGCCCTGATGTGGACTTTAAATTTAAAATAGTCATTGCACCCCTAGAAAAGTCCAGAGCTACAGAGAGTTGTACACAGTAAAATGCTTTGGAGGAGGGAGAATAGGATGCATTTCTTTAAGTTGAGGTATAATCTACATACAAACAAAGATTTTAAGTGTTTATAATTGTATACACCCACATAACTATATCCCATCAAGATATAGGATATTTCATCAACCCAGAAAATTGCCTCCTGCCCTTTTACCATCAATTCTTACCCACCCCCACCTCCAAGATGACCGTAGTTGTGATTTCTATCAGCATGAAGTAGTTTCGGTTGTTTTGGACCTGGCGTAAATGAAATCTTCATGCTATGTCCTTTTTGTATCTGGATTCTTGTACACAGGATAATGTTTGAGACTGCTTTATTTTCTTCCGTGTATCAGTGATTTGTTTTGTTGTTTTTTTTTCAAATCATCTTTGTTGAAGTACATCTTTTTTTTCTTAATCTGTTTTCTGTTGCTTATAACAATACCTGAACGTGGGAAATTTAGAAAGAAAAGAGCTTTATTTCTTACAGTTATGGAGGCTGGGAAGTCCAAGGTTTAGGGGGCACTTCTTTCTAATATGGACTCTAAAGAATCCCAAGGTGGCGCAGGTATCACATGGTCAGAGGGCTAAGGCTGCAAGCTCAGGGCTTTCTCTTAGAAAACCACCAGTTCCCCTCCCATGATGACCCATTAATACATTAACCTTTGACTCCATTAATTCATGAATGAGCTAATTCATTCATGAGCACAGAGCCCTTATGATCTAATCACTCTTGAAAAGCCCCACCCCCTCTTTTTTTTTTTTTTTTTTTTTTACAACAGGGTCTCACTGTCCAGCCCAACCTGGAATGCAATGGTGCAATCATGGCTCACTGCAGCCTTGATATCCTGGGCTCAAGGGATTTTCCTGCCTCAGCTTCTCAGTAGCTAGGACTACAGGCATATACCACCATGCCCAGTCATTTACTTAATTTTTTTGTAGAACCGTGTTCTTGCTATCTTGACCAGTCTGATCTTGAACTCCCGGCCTCAAGCAATCCTGCCTCAGCCTCTCAAAGTGCTGGGATTATAGGTGTGAGCCACTGCACCCAGCCTGGGATTAAGATTTAACATGAGTTTTGAAGAGGACAGATATTCAAACCCTAGCAGTGTGGTTTACAAATAAGAAAATGTATATTATAAGTGTATAGTATGAATGCATGAGTTTGGACAAATGTTTGTAATCATCACCACAATCAAGGTGTAGAGTGTTTTGGTCACCCCAGGAAGTTCCCCTGCGCTCTATTGCAGTCACTCTCTTCCCTACCTCCCACCCCAGGCAACCACCAATCCGATTTCCATCACTACAGATAAGTTTTGCTTGTTTTAGGACTTTATATGTTAATGAAATCATACATTTTTTTGTGTCTGGATTCCTTGGCACAGCAAATTTTTCTTTTTATGTTCATTCACGTATTTGCAGTAGTTCACTCCTTTTTATTGCTAATTAGTATTGGTTGCCAAAATTTATCATTATTTATTCATTCCCCATTTAATGGACATTTAGTTGCTTCTCATTTTTTCACAAATATAAATATATGAACATTCTTGGATAGATTGCCAAATGATTTTCCAAAGGGTTGGTGCCATTTTACATTCGAACAAGCAATGTATATGGATTCACTTGCTGTAAATCTTTGCCAACATTTGGTATGCTGGCCTCTGTAGCCATTCTAGTGCTAGTTTTCTCTCCTAGTCTTAACTTAGGATTTCTGATTACTTATGTTGAGTATCTTTGCATGTGCTCTTGGCCAACCACATCTTTTGCAAAGTATTTAAATCTTTTGTTCATCTATTCTTATTGAGTTACAGGGGTTCTTTATTTTGGAGACAATTCTTTTATCAGATATTGCTTTTAAGACTATTTTCTCTTCAGTCTGTGGCTTCCCTTTCTAATTTCTTTGCCTTTGTGTGTGTGTGTCTGTGTGTGGTATTTTTTTGTACAGACAAAAAAAGGTGTTGTCCAGGCTGGTCTTGAACTCCCAGGCTCAAGTGACCCTCCTGCTTCAGCTTCCCAAAGTGCTGGGATTACAGTCGTGAGCCACTGCACCTGGTCCCTTGCCAGTTTCTTAACAGTACCTCTTGAGAAGCAGATGTGGCTTTTTTTTTTTTTTTTTTTTTTTTTTTGGAGACAGAGTTTCATTCTGTCGCCCAGGCTGGAGTGCAATAGCGGGATCTCGGCTCACTACAACCTCCACCTCCTGGGTTCAAGCGATTCTTCTACCTCAGCCTCCCGAGTAGCTGGGATTACAGGCTTGTGCCACCACGCCTGGGTAATTTTTGTATTTTTAGTAGAGACGGGGTTTCGCCATGTTGGCCAGGATGGTCTCAAACTCCTGACCTCAAGTAATCCACCTACCTCGGCCTCCCAAAATGCTGGGACTATAGGCATGAGCCACGGTGCCCAGCCTCCTTTCCATTCAGTTTCTTAACAGTACCTCTTGATAAGCAGATGTGGCTTTTTGATGAAATGCAATTTATCTTTTTTTTCTTTTAAGATTCTTTTTATTATTTCAAATATGTGCCAGTCCCTAGGTAACGAAGATCTGTTTCCTTCTGGATGGCATGCTGTGGTGTTAGTATTTGTTATGTCAAATTAGTTTTTGTGTATGGAGTGAGGCAGTGATCAGTAAGATGCATTTCAAGTAAGATGAAGTTACAGCCAGAATACAATAACTCCCTAGAAGTTGGTGGAACCACCTTCCAATTTTTATTTTATTTTATTATTTTATTTTATTTTATTTTATTTTATTTTTTTGAGACAGAGTCTCGCTCTGTCACCCAGGCCACAATGCAGTGGCACTATCTTGGCTTACTGCAGCCTCCACCTCCTGGGTTCAAGAGATTCTTGTGCCTCAGCCTCCCAAGTAGCTGGGAGTATAGGAACCCACCACCATGCCCAGCTAATTCTTTTGTATTTGTATTAGAGACGGGGTTTCACCATTTTGGCCAGGCTGGTCTCGAACTCCTGACCTGAGGTGATCTGCCTGTCTCAGCCTCCCAAAATGCTGGGATTAAAGGCGGGAGCCACCGCGCCTGGCCACCACCCACTAATTCTGACTGCAGCAGAACGACGGTGGTTAAGCAAGACCCTGGAATCCTTTCCCCTGCCTTCCTTCAGGACCATCTTGCCCTGACTTAAGCTGACTGCAGCCCTTTGCTTTATTTGAATGTTTTACTGAAAGTTATATTCTCTTCTATTTTAGTAATAAGCAGATTAAAAGGCATAATTAGTTTGTCTGCTCTGATATGTCAGCTAAAAGCAAATATTTTTGTTTTTAGTAATCAGACTTTGAGTTTGCTCTGTCTAGGGAAGGGCTTGACTCTAGCAGTGTTGAAAGCCTGGGAGGTGGGCTTTTTGGAAACTGTAACTGATATAACATAAAATGTATTTGGTCTTTAAGCTAAAACTTTTGGGAATTCCTGAGTAACAGGTGTCTTTTTATTCATAATGACCCTCTTTGATAACGTGTTTATGCTAATAAGATAGCTTGGAGTGGGGTCCATAGATAGTCTAAAAACTGGGGGGGAAGGAGCTGAAGATCATGCTCTGTAAGATTCGTTTTTCTTTTTTTTAATATTTAAAGAGATGGGGTCTCTATGTTGCCCAGGCGGGTCTTGAACTGGCTAATTTTTATATTTTTAGTACAGACCGAGTTTTGCCATGTTGGCCAGGCTGGTCTCGAACTCCTAACTTCAGGTGATCCACCCGTCTCGGCCTCCCAAAGTGCTGGGATTACAGGTGTAAGCCACCGCACCCAGCCTTATTTTGTATTTTTGTAGAGATGGAGTCTGGCAAACATATAATTACCAATTTATTGCTCTTCTGTTTGAAAGAAGTGTTTTGACTGCAGTAAAGTTCTAGCCTATTGTGAAAATCAGGCTAGCCCATTTCTCAGATGGCTGCCTGGCTAGACACCCTCTCTGAGATGGCTGGAATGATTAGTAGAAAGGAGTGGGCAGGAAGTAGGTGGAGAGTGGGGATTCTAGATCAGGGGTCCTATGGCCTGTTAAGAACGGGCCATTACAGCAGGAGGTGAGTGGCGGGCAAGCAAGCATTACCACCTGAGCTCCGTCTCCCGTCAGATCAGTGGCGGCATTAGATTCTCCTGGAAGTGCAAATCCTACTGTGAACTGTGCATGCAAGGGATCTAGGTTACGAGCTCCTTGTGAGAATCTAATGCCTGATGATCTGAGATGGAACAGTTTCATCCCAAAACCATTCCCCCTAACTCCTCCCCCATTTTTTCATGGAAAAATTGTCTTCCATGAAACGGGTTCCTGGTGCCAGGAAGGTTGGGTACCACTATTGTAGATAATTTCCTTCCAAATTACTGGCATCTGGGTTAATTCTGGCAGTATTGTCAGTACAACATGGACGAGGACTTGATAAAGTGATTTCTTTCCACCCACCCAATATCTTGTTCTTCTCCAGGCAGTCAGTTGTGGGAAACTTATCAGGTTTGAGGGAGTTACTTGCTTTCATCAGGTCACCTTGTCCCCTACCTCAGGGAGCCCCACAGCTCTGAGTGCTTTGGCTGTGGGAGAATTCCATCCTCTGGGTGTGCAAGTGGGTGTGTATGGGTGGAGGAATCTGACCAAATAAGGCTTTACCTTAGCTAGAAAATCACCCTGGCTTCAGGAAACCCACCAGTGCATGCCAGCTTTGCAGTTCTTTTGTTGTTGTTGTTTTTGGGACAGAGTCTCGCTCTGTCACCCAGGCTGGAGTGCATTTGCTCAATCTTGGCATTTGCAACCTCCACTTCCCAGGTACAAGTGATTCTCGTGCCTCAGTCTGCCAAGTAGCTGGAATTACAGGTGCCCGCCACCATGCCTGGCTAATTTTTGCATTTTTTAGTTTGAGACGGGGTTTCACCAATGTTGGCCAGGCTGATCTTGAACTCCTGACCTCAAGTCATCCACCCGCCTCAGCCTCCCAAAGTGCTGGGATTACAGGCATGAGGCACAGTGCCCGGCCTCAGTTTCTGCAGTTCTTGCTTTTTAACAGTTGTTTACCCTACAAAAATGGAAAATATACTTGGAAATATTTGTGGACATAGGGCTTTTAAGTATATGCACTTAGAGATAGATACAGACAACCTATGGATTAGGAAATAGGACACTATCCATGTCTGAAATTTAAATAAGGTCCAAATTAGCTTAGATCCAATATGATTCCCCAATGCATATATGAACAATACGTGAACATTGTTGTGTGCACAACTATGGAAAGGTCTTAATCCGCACAGTGACTCTGAGATAAGACTCACTGAAGGAAATACAGCAGCAAACCCAGGAGATGTGAGTTCCAATCTTCATTTGTAACTCACTCCAAATGAGATCCTAGCAATGAAGTAATTTTTTTTTGTTTCCCACTAAAAACAAATAAACAAAAACCTTAGTTTTTCTATGCTACAGAATTAGGATGACAAATGAACTTATCTTGCAGTCACTATAAGAACACTGACAGTTTCAGAGATAGTATTAAAAATCAACTAAACACTTATAATTATTGTGAAAGCATTTATCTATCAAAGAAGGTTAGCCTGCAGCCAGTTGGAAAGTTTTTTTTGTTGTTTTTTTGGTTTGTTTGTTTGTTTGTTTGTTTGTTTGTTTGATAGAGACAGGGTCTCACTATGTTGCCAGGCTCTCCTGGGCTCAAGCAATCCTCCCGCCTCAGCCTCCCAAAATGCTGGGATTACAGGCATGAGCCACCGTGTCCGGCTGCCAGGTGGAAAGAACAATTTAAGGAGATGGTTAAAAGTGGAAAAGCCAATAACATGGTAATAATTGAAATAAAAGAAGAAAGAAAAAATTGAACTCTGATACAAAGAGACTACAACTGTGTAATAGGTTGCATAAAAAGAAATTTTGCAAACATGTAATAGGTTGCAAGGCAGATAAAAACAAAAATCATGAGAAGCCACTCCTGCCAAATTCATTCATAGTCAAAATACAAGTTAACTTTTGTGGGAGATTAAAAAAAAGAAAACTAAGAGCATTTTAAAATGAAGTAGGATTAGGTATGCTAGCAAGAGAGTTTTTTTCAAAAGGCTGTGGCACCCCACGTACCCCAAAGAAGGGGAGCCAGCAGTAAACAATGTGGCCTTATGTGGAATACATGGCAATGGGCTCCAAATACAGATTCAGGCTGGGCGCGGTGGCTCACATGTGTAATCCTGGCACTTTGGGAGGCCAAGGCAAGTGGATCACCTGAGGTCAGGAGTTCAACACCAGCCTGGCCAACATGGTGAAATCCCGTCTCTACTAAAAATACAAAAAACTAGCCAGGCATGGTGGCAGGCACCTGTAATCTCAACTACTTGGGAGGCTGAAGCAGGAGAATTGCTTGAACCTGGGAGGCAGAGGTTGTAGTGAGCTGAAATTGCACCACTGGACTCCAGCCTGGGCAATAGAGTGAGACTCTGTCTCAAAAAAAATAGAGATTGAGAGAAGCTGGAGGCCAAACAGTAGAGAACTGAAGCATCCCTTGGTGGGACAGCTGTGGCTTTTTTCATAATATGAAAAATAATTATTTCCATTATTTTTTAAATTTGTTTTTTTTTATTATATTTTATTTTATTGTATATTTTTTGAGAACAGGGTCTTGCTCCGTTGCCCGGCTGGAGTGCAGTGGCACCATCTCAGCTCATTGCAACCTCCGCCTTCAGGTCTTCAGTGATCCTCCCACCTCAGCCTCCCAGGTAGCTGGGATTACAGGTGCGCATCACCATGCCTGGCTAACTTTGTATTTTTGTAGAGACAGGGTTTCACCGTGTCGCTCAGGCTAGTCTCGAACACCTGAGCTCAAGCGATCCACCTGACTTGGCCTCCCACAGTGGTAGTATTACAGGCATAAGCCACCGCGCCTGGCTGAAAAATAATTATTTTTCTACCAGCAAAAGAAGAAAGGAACCCATCAGTTCCAAGGCAACTGAAGTGACCACTTGCAATGCAAAGGTGTTGGCTCATTCAAAGTCAAAGATGTTGGCTGGATCAGCGCCTCTGTGTATCCCCACAGTGTCTGTGGCCATTTTCTTCAGGGCTCATGTGGTGTGCTGCAACAGGGTCAGGGGACAAGTGCACTCTGGTCTGCCGTGCAGGTGCAGCAGGGAGACCCGCCCAGGGTCACTGTAGCTCTGGAGTGGAGCAAAGGCCAAAGCTCAGGGTTCACCTCCTCAATCTGCTGTTGTAGCTAACACTGTGCCACTGTAAACTCTCTCCTGTGCGTCCAAGTCCACCAAGGTAAGGTCTGTTGTGGATTTAGCTGCTCTGAGTCTCTGCTAAAAAGAGCAGCTGATGAATTGACTCTTTCTTTCTACTTTCAGCATCTTCACTGCATGTTTCAAATCGTGAGAGCCTGATAGGCTGACTTTTGTTTAGGGAATGTGCCTTTTGTTGTTGTTATTAACACAGTCGTTCTCTGTTGCCCAGGTTGGGGTGCAGTGGCATGATCTCCACTCACTGCAACCTCCATCTCCCGGGTTCAAGTGATTCTCCTGCCTCAGCCACCCAAGTAGCTGGGATTACAGGCACCCACCACCGCAACCGACTAATTTTTGCGTTATTAGTAGAGATGGGGTTTCACTCTGTTGGCCAGGCTAGTCTTGAACTCCTGACCTCAGGTGATCCACCTGCCTCAGCCTCCCAAAGCGCTGGGATTACAAGCATGAGCCACTACACCCAGCCTTTTAAAATTTTTAATCTACCGTTTACACAGTGTTCTTGTACCTTTTTAAAAAGTGATAGAGCTTATAATAATGGGTGAAGATGACTGCTACAGGAGTAACTTTTAAAAGGACTATCTTGTGATTTGGAACACACAGAAAATGAAGGGGAAAGGTAAACATCTGGCTTTCACAGGTATGAACTCAGAAAATCAAGTCAATTCATGTCCTCACCTTAGAAGCAGTGGAAGCAAAGGGACGTTTAGAGCACTTTTTTAGAGGCGGATAATATGACGGGATCAAAATGGAATGATAAATGGAAAAAAGACAAAAGAACAGTCTATTCCAGAATAATACTTTGTTGTGGAGGAAGTGATCCTCCCAAACAGCACAGGTGGTTACTATGTTTATAAGGGACATGTGTTCATATTTAGTGCATTTTTTCTTCTGCATTTTTTTTTTTCAGACAGGATCTCACTCTGTCGCCCAGAGTGGAGTGCAGCAGCATGATTACAGCTCACTGCAGCCTCGAACTCCTGGGCTAAAGTCATCCTCTCACCTCAGCCTCCCAAGTAGCTAGGATTACAGGCATGCTTCACCACACCACGCTAAATCTTTGTTTGTTTGTTTTTTCATCAACTTTTATTTTAAGTTCTGGGGTACATGTGCAGGATGTGCAGGTTTGTTACACAGGTAAACGTTTGCCATGGTGGTTTGCTGCACAGATCAACTCATCACCTTGGTATAAGCCAAGCATCCATTAGCCATTCTTCCTCCCCCGCCTCCCCATTTCCCCGACAGACCCGAGGGCATGTTGTTCGCCCCATGTGTCCATGCGTTCTCATCATTCCATTCCCACTGGCCAGGTTGCCGAGAAAAATAAATGCTTTTACATTGTTGGTGGGAACGTAAATTACTTCAACCATTGTGGAAGACAGTGTGGCGATTCCTCAAAGATCTAGAAACAGAAATACCATTTGACCCATCATTCCTGTTACTGGGTATATACCCCCAAGAAATAGAAATTATTGTATTATAAAGATACATGAACATGTATACCTTTTTTTTTTTTTTAAGAGATAGGGCCTCGCTATGTTGTCCAGGCTGGTCTCAAACACCTGACCTCAAGCAGTCATCCTGCCCTGGCCTCCCAAAGTGTTGAGATGACAGGCATGATCCACTGAGCCCAGTCTTCCTCTACAACTTCTAACTTAGTACCGTGTCCTATAGTAAGATAGTGTACATTATGATTATATATTTGTATTTATATATTGCTGACCCAAACAGAAGTTTCAGAAAAAAAGCTTAGCCTTTCTCTGCAATGCATTCTGATAGTTAACATTTTTTGTACCATTAAAAAAATCCAACACTTTGGGAGGCTGAGGCGGGCGGATCACCTGAGGTCAGGAGTTTGAGACCAGCCTGGCCAACATGGCAAAACCCCATCTCTACTAAAAACACAAAAATTAGCCAGGCATGGTGGGTGCCTGTAATCCCAGCTACTCTGGAGGCTGAGGCAGGAGAATCACTTGAACCCAGGAAGCGGAGGTTGCAGTGAGCTGAAATCGTGCCACTGCACTCCAGCCTGGGCAAAACAGTGAGACTCCATCTCAAATAATAATAATAATAATGCTGTTTGCAACCCCATACTAAATTTCCTTGACACCACAATATGAAAAGCACTGTTTTAAAATAAACTGAAATTGGATTTTTATTTTTATTTTTGAGACAAGATCTCACTCTCACCCAGACTGGAGTGCAGTGGTGTGATCACAGCTCACCGACACCTTGATCTCCTGGCCTCAAGTGACCCTCCTGCCTCAGCCTCCCAAAGTGCTGGGCACCATGCTCAGTTTAGAATGGGAATTTTGAGGATATAGCCAGGCTGTCTCAAACAGAGGGTAAGAGGAAAGATAGCTGAACTTGGAATTAGGAAACTGAGACCAAGTCCAGGCTCTGATGTTTGTTAAAGGTGAAAATGAGCACAAATCTTACTACCTTTAGTCCTCCATTTCCCCATCTATCCAGTGACAACCATACCACCTCCATGTGCCTCACAGAATGCTCCAAGAAAAATTAAATCATTTTCAAAATGTAAAAATTATTTTAAAAGATTGCATAAGTAATTCAATTATCATAGTCCTAGTCGTAAATGGTAAAACACTTGGAGATCTGAGGACCTTTCTGTCCTGTAAGGCATGCAGCTAGGAAGTGAGATGCACTCACGAAAACCAGGCAGCACTTGAATTTATTCTCAGTGGTGAGGCGTGACTCATGCCCTTCCTTCTATAAGATTGTCTTCCCTAACTCCTGGATTCTTGCCTGTTCCTGACACTTCTCTCTTTTCACCCTTACCCTTCTTCAAGTAGACTGTAGTGGTTTGTTTATTCAATTCATTCAGCATCTTCCTTGAGTGCTATGTATTAGGTGCTATGCTAGGCACTTAAGACAATGTGGTGGACCAGGCAATACGCCCTGCCCTCCTGGGCTTGTACTTTAGTAGGGCATGTCTTATTATAGGTTTTTTTCTGCTTGACCATCCCAACTAAATCGATTTGGACAGCTGTATTAGAAACCTAAAGAAATAAAAAGATAGATAATCCAGCAGGCTTTTAGCAGCCTGTGGATCACTGTGGCATAGTCCTAGGTCTCAGATGCACAGAGAAGATGATGACCTGGATTTAGAGAACAAATCCGTGGTCAGCAAAGGTGGAGAGGAGGCTCTGGATATAGAGCCAGCAGATGCTACCCCAGCAAGACCACTCTTCAGAAGATGACCAAGCCTCAGTGATCACCTGTCCAGGACAGCCATTTCTATAAGATCATTAACAACGAAGACAGAAAGCACCAGCAAACCCAGCAGCATTCCAGGAAGAAGAGAAAGCCCTGTTTTCTGGACTAAGGGAGTAGGTTAACAGTCACTGTAATTTGCCTTTGGCAAAATTTTCACATTGTCAGCATTGCTCACTGATGCTGTAATCCTAGTTTCAAAATCTGATCGCTCTTGTCTCTCCACTGCTTAATCAAGGGCTTTGTTGACATAAACAGTGTTTACCCTATTGAACTTAAGAGAGGAATTATGCAGCTGTCGGGGTCACCTTGGGAAAGGGTAGGGTGAGTGGCAAGCCGCAATGATGTGACCTAGTAGGTCCTTCCTACCTCCCCAACCCCTAGTAAAGCTCCCCACCCACTGGATACCTGGAATTCCACCCAGGTAAGACTTGCTATTCCGGAATGAGAATGCTTTTCCTTCTCTCTCGTCTGCTTTCAAACTGCAATTGACCCTAAAAGCTCTATATATGTAACCATAATCTTTAGTGTGAATGTGTTTATAAATACACGTTTTTTCCCTCACTGTGGTTGTCATTAGGTTAATACCAGTAGCTGAGGGGGCCTCCAGAATGAGGGAGAGTGGAGTGGGTGAAAGATTCCTGATGGGAGTAGGGAGACCTGGATTCAGATCTTGATCATGTGGTTTGAAGCCAGTGTTTGGGCATCTTGGATCTTCCATATGCTCCTCTGGGAATGTGGGGAAATGATATCTGTCTTACAGTTATTATGTAGATTTAAGGAGATAGTATGCAGAAAAGCATCATACAACAAATTAGTTTCCTTCCTATAAATGTATCTCAGAGAACTTAGCCACATGCAGGACCATCAAAAATCTATAAACATTACAATAAGGCAAAGCTTGAGCTAAAATGTGGAGGAATTAGTGAATTTTCCTGTGCACATGATAATTCACATGAGATAGCAAGATGTTTTCAAATATAGCTGCCATACAATGATTGTTTTTTGTTTTTTGTTTCTTCTGTGCAGTGACAAATGAGATCCTCTATTGGGCTTTATGTCTAAAGCTTGCATTTCAAGCAATTTCCTCACTCGAGGTCAGGAGTTCAAGACCAGCCTGGCCAACATGGTGAAACCCCATCTCTACTAAAAATACAAAATTATCCAGTCATGGTGGCAGGCACCTGTAATCCCAGCTACTTGGGAGGCTGAGGCAGGAGAATGGCTTGAGCCCGGGAGGCACAGGTTGCAATGGGCTGAGATCATGCCACTGCACTTCAGCCTGGACAACAGAGCGACCCTCCATCTCAAAAAAAAAAAAAAAATCAGGTTTTCATCGCATCAAGGATGCTAAAAAGAATAAGCATCACTTAATTTTCTCTTTGTTTCCATTTGATCAGCCATGGATTGTTACAGAACTTCACTAAGCAGTTCCTGGATTTACCCCACTGTGATCCTCTGCTTATTTGGTTTTTTCTCCATGATGAGACCCTCAGAACCATTCCTTATCCCATATTTATCTGGACCAGATAAAAACCTGACCAGTGCAGAGGTAAGTTAACATACATACATATCTTAATGTGGTTTTTTAAATTTTATGGGACTTGAACAAGGATACAGGGCTTCCCTCAACTTGATATAAGATGAACACATTAAACTCAGTGAGCCTGATTTTCATAATATGTGTCCCATATAGAACTTTTCAAACTATTTCCTCTTCTTACTTGCAAAAAATTGCAGCCAAAACATATTACATGTGTTAACAAATTTTTAACTTGCATAGAGTCCTAACATTTGTGTTAATGATAGGAGACTTTCAGGTCTCCGTTGATTCTATTATACTAATCCTAAAATAGCATCACTGGCAGGCACAGGATCTAGATCTAAATAAACTCTCAGGCTGCTGAGGGATAAGCAGGATCTCATAAAAAATTGTGGTATTTCTTTATGACACTGTTTGCCAGCAGGTGAGCCATTAACAGCTTTATCTCCCAGCCCTTGCCTCCTTCTCTGGAATGCCAGTTTCTCTTACTTAAAAGAGCAACGCCTTTCTTTTTCTTTCTTTCTTTCTTTTTTTTTTTTTTTAATTGTTTTTGTTTGAGATGGAGTCTCACTCTGTTGTGCAGGCTAGAGTGCAACGGGGTGATTTTGGCTCACTGCAACCTCCGCCTCCCAGGTTCAAACAATTGTCCTACCTCAGCATCCCGAGTAGCTGGGACTACGGGCATGAGCCACCATGCTCGGCTAATTTTTGTATTTTTAGTAGAGACAGGGTTTCCCCATGTTGGCCAGGCTGGTCTCGAACTTCTGGCCTCAAGAGATCCACCCGCCTCGGCCTCCCAAAATGCTGGGATTACAGGCGTGAGCCACCGCCACCGGCCTCGCATTTCTTTATAAGAAGTACAACAAGAAAATGCACTGACCTAACTGCAAAATTACCCTGGGCTGATTTTACAATCTCCAGCCTTAGCCTTGAAAACACTGTGTAAAGTGTGTGGCTTCGCCTGCAAGGCTGATGGGTGCCTCGGGTGGTGAGGTGGCAAAGACAGAAAGGCAAGCTTCTTCTGTAGCATCAGATCACTTAGGGACAACCCTGTTTCCGAGTTGCTCAGGTTGAAGCATGCCACAATTAAGACAACAAAGGACAGATGCAGGGTCAGAAGCAACTCAATGAATCCACTGGGTTCTGCTTCTCGAGCCACTGTGGACCAGTTAACAGACCTTCCCTCCAAGGAGCAGCTCAGTTGTGTGGTCTTTGCTCTGTGGCCTCCTGCTTTCTCCAGCAACCTCAGTGATCCAGGTGTCAAGGTGGGTACGTTCAGTGATTTGAGAGGCTGCGGCACTCACCCATCCCTACAGATCAGCAACTCCAGTCCTTCCAACTGTGAAAATTGAGATCCCATGCATTTCTGACTAAATCTGTGAGATGATCCATATTAAATTGAGCCATAAACAAATCAGCAGAATTGTTAGGGGGAGCAGGGGGAAGGTTGGGAACCTAGCAAATTTGCCCATGAAGGAAAATGAGATACATTATTTGCTTCCACTCTATAATGTGGCAAAGTTATTTACTCTTTCCCTATTTTCCCATATCTTTCCAGATGTTGGAAGGGCTGAAATATTTGATGTAGTGATAGATCACATGAAAATAAAGGCTGTTGGATTCTTTTTGTTGTTGTTGTTCAGATGGAGTCTTGCTCTGTTGCCCAGGCTGGAGTACAGTGGCACAGTCTCGGCTCTCTGCAACCTCTGCCTCCTGGGTTCAAGCGATTCTCCTGCCTCAGCCTCCCAAGTAGCTGGGATTACAGGTGTCTGCCACCATTCATGGCTAATTTTTGTGTTTTTAGTTGTAGACGGGGTTTCATCATGTTGGCCAGGCTGGTCTCGAACTCCTGACCTCGTGATCTGCCTGCCTCGGCCTCCCAAGGTGCTGGGATTACAGGTGTGAGCCACCATGCCTGGCCTGGATTCTTTTAACATTGTGGTCTACTTGTCTAATGTTAATATTCAAACAAGAAGGAAATTATATTTTTTAAGAATCTTGGGCCGGGCACGGTGGCTCACGCCTATAATCCCAGCACTTTGGGAGGCCGAGGTGGGCGGATCACCTAAGTTCAGGAGTTCAAGATCAACCTGATCAACATGGTGAAACCCCGTCTCTTCTAAAATACAAAAATTAGCCAGGCATGATGGCGGGTGCCTGTAATCCCAGCTACTCAGGAGGCTGAGATGGGAGAATGGCTTGAACCTGGGAGATGGTGGTTGCAGTCAGCGAAGATCGGGCCACTGCACTCCAGCCTGGGCAGCTGAGCAAGACTCCACCTCAAAAAAAAAGAATCGGAAAATCTTAGAAGTGTCCAAAAACTTTTTAACTCATCTACTCAACTGTACATACTATCTAAACTTAATACATAATTCAGATTGCACAATAAGCCAATATATTTTTCTGCCGGGGTTTATCTAAGTGTGTACATTGGTTTTTACCAATGGGAAAGGAGACTATCTTTTCTTGTGATTTCCTTGAAAATCAGTTTTCTCATTATGTTTCTCCGTAATGCGAATAATTTCCAATTGGAGGCAGAATTTGAGATACAAACCACAGGTACCTTAGTAAAGTACCGGTGCTTCGTGGTCATGCAATTTACCAACTTTGCAGATAACAAATGAGATCTTCCCCGTTTGGACATACTCCTACCTGGTGCTGCTGCTGCCTGTGTTTGTCCTCACCGATTATGTCCGCTACAAGCCAGTCATCATCTTGCAAGGTATCAGTTTCATCATTACCTGGCTGCTGCTGTTGTTTGGCCAAGGAGTGAAGACCATGCAGGTTGTAGAGTTCTTCTATGGGATGGTCACCGCCGCCGAGGTGGCCTACTACGCCTACATATACAGCGTGGTCAGCCCCGAGCACTACCAGAGAGTGAGCGGCTACTGCAGGAGCGTCACGCTGGCCGCCTACACAGCAGGGTCGGTGCTGGCTCAACTCTTGGTATCCCTGGCGAACATGTCGTACTTTTACCTCAACGTCATATCCTTGGCCTCTGTCTCCGTGGCTTTCCTTTTCTCACTTTTCCTACCAATGCCCAAGAAAAGCATGTTTTTTCATGCAAAACCCAGCAGAGAAATAAAGAAGTCATCAAGCGTGAATCCAGTATTAGAGGAAACTCACGAAGGTGAAGCACCAGGCTGTGAAGAGCAGAAACCCACATCAGAAATACTCAGCACTTCAGGGAAGCTGAATAAGGGCCAGCTGAACAGCCTGAAACCAAGCAATGTGACTGTGGACGTTTTTGTGCAGTGGTTCCAAGATTTGAAGGAGTGCTACTCCTCAAAACGTCTTTTCTACTGGTCTCTATGGTGGGCTTTCGCCACAGCAGGTTTTAACCAGGTTTTGAACTATGTTCAAATCCTGTGGGATTACAAGGCGCCATCCCAAGATTCTTCCATCTATAATGGGGCCGTAGAAGCTATTGCAACCTTTGGAGGTAAGCAAATGTCACTTAATCTTCCTTTGTTGGCTTTACCCGCTTAAGTCCATTCCTCCAGGTACCGAACTTCATGGCAGCGAATTAGCTCTGTTCAGAAGGAAGCATAACTTTTTTCAGTCAAGAATGAAAGTCACGGCCGGGCATGGTGGCTTATGCCTGTAATCCCAGCACTTTGGGAAGCTGAGACGCGTGGATCACGATTTCAGGAGGTCGAGACCATCCTGGCTAATGCAGTGAAACCCCGTCTCTACTAAAAATACAAAAAATAAAATAGGTAGGCGTGGTGGCGGGCACCTGTAGTCCCAGCACTTTGGGAGGCCGAGGCTGGCGAATCACGAGGACAGGAGATGGAGACCATCCTGGCTAACACGGTGAAACCCCATCTCTACTAAAAATACAAAGAAATTAGCCGGTCATGGTGGCGGATGCCTGTAGTCCCAGCTACTTGGGAGGCTGAGGCAGGAGAATGGCATGAACCTGGGAGGCTGAGCTTGCAGTGAGCCTAGATCGTGCCACTGCACTCCAGCCTGGATGACAGAGCGAGACTCCTCTCAAAAAAATAAAAATAAAAATAAAAAGAATGAAAGTCACTGGAAAAATAAGAATACTGTGACTTTCTATTGTGTTGTAGTTACAAGTAACTTTTTTATTTTTTGAGACAGAGCCTCACTCTGTCACCAAGCTGGAATGCAGTGGTGCGATCTCAGCTCACTGCAACCTCTGCCTCCCAGGTTCAAGCTATTCTCCTGCCTCAGCCTCCTGAGTAGCTGGGACTACAGGCACGTGCCACCATGCCCAGCTAAATTTTTTTGTATTTTTAGTAGAGACGGGGTTTCACCATGTTGCCCAGGATGGTCTCAATCTCTTGACCTCATGATCTACCCGCCTCAGCCTCCAAAAGTGCTGGGATTACAGGCGTGAGCCACCACGCCCAGCCACAAGAAGTAACTCTTAGGAGCTCAGGGATTAGCACCAAACAATGAAATTCTAGTTGAATCCCTAAGATTCCAATTCATCATTAGCACAAAGGTTAATAACATGCCCTGTTCTTTTAGGATTATTTTTAATATCAAAATATATACATATATGTGTATATGTTTTCATTATTTTAGAAAATAAATTAAGGATTCCAAATTCTCACTGAGGGTTTTGTTAATACAGGATTTGAACTAGCTAGCATGCACCTATAACAATTCTAGGCTATACACCAACAACTTTCAAAAGCAGCTTTCTCATGGTATTTAAATGAGGGCTGGAAGAGATGTGAAAGTCAGGATTTTAATATCAGAGGGAAATCTGTCTTTGAAGTTTAATCTACAATAAATGTTTATTTCCTAGTAACTGGAAGCTTAAATGTCAAATGAGACTTTGAAGATATTTTTTAGGAAGTGAGAATTCGCCCCACCCTCATTTACAAAAAGTTTTAGAAAACCCGTGTGACCTCTATTTTATTATTATCTCCCTTTTGGGAAGCTTCAGTTTAACTCCTGGAAACCAGGACTGTGCCAGAATTGCTTCACTGAAATTATTGCTCCTACATTCCAAATCCATGGGGGGAAAAATAGTTATTTTTTTTTTCCTCTGTGGTCATGATCACATGTGGGAAAGTTAGTCATATGTCAATGTAGTAATTTGAAATCTAAATACCTTTTGTTTATTTATTTATTTTAGACAGAGTCTTACTCTGTCACCCAGGCTGGATTGCAGTGGCATGATTTCAGCTCATTGCAAACTCTGCCTCCAGGGTTCAAGTGATTCTCCTGCCTCAGCCTCCTGAGTAGCTGGGATTGCAGGTGCCCGCCACCATGCTGGCTAATTTTTGTATTTTTAGTAGAGCTGGAGTTTCACCATGTTGGCCAGGCTGGTCTCTAACTCCTGACCTCAAGTGATCCACCCCCTTCAGCCTCCCAAAGTGCTGGGATTACAGGAGTGCGCCACTGTCCCCAGCCCTAAATACCTTTTACCTTTGTTAAAGAGAACCACACAAAAGTGCTAACCCTAATTACTGTCAATTATTTCAATTTCTTGAACTCTGTAAGTCTATATAGATATTTTCACCCAAAGCTTCTCAAGTAAATTATGTCAGATGTTGAAGACTTTAGAGTGGAGATTGGAAATAAGACTAAGATTACTAAAGGTTCATAATAAAGACTAAAACTGGGTAGGGCAAGAAAAAAGACTAAAACTTTCAATGTAACACATCTGATACTCATCACTGAAAAAGACTTACAGCAAAAACTGAGAAAAGAAAGGCAAATAGAGAGGCCAGTGTATTCCCAGAGAATTTATTTCATCCTTTTCCATCCCTGCATGTTGTACTGAGTGACTAGGTTAATGTATCATTTCTCCTTACACTGCTGTGGTTAGGAACCTTTCTGGCCCCTCTGCAGAATACAGTGTCTGGCGTGTAGTTGATGCTAATTAAAAGTATGGTGACTAAGTGACCGAAAGAATAGCAAGTGAAAAGAAAAGCCAAAAGAAGACACGCTTGAGAAAAGGATAGATCCACATTCAGGTCGATCACACAATTTTGTGAAAGCAATATATTTATCTTTCAGAATTACCCGAGACCTGGGTTTTTAAGAGAGGGTGTTGATATTTTCCTGCATGCAAAGTCATTATGTTTGATTGCCTTCAATGTTTTTTTTCAGGGGCTGTGGCTGCCTTTGCAGTGGGTTATGTGAAAGTCAACTGGGACCTTCTGGGAGAGCTGGCTCTGGTGGTCTTCTCAGTTGTCAATGCCGGTTCTTTATTTCTCATGCATTACACAGCCAATATCTGGGCGTGCTATGCTGGCTATTTGATATTCAAGTCCAGCTATATGCTTCTTATAACCATAGCAGTGTAAGTTTTACCAACCACTCCTAAAACTGAACTGTATTCCTCTCTCTTCTGTCTTTCTAAACTTTCTCTAAGAACTTCAGAAGGATTTTAGTCAATTGCAATATTAAATGTTGACTGCTTTATATTAAATTAGACACAACTAAGCCAACTTTTCATTTAACTATTTGCTCTCTGAATATTGCTACAATATACCTTAAGTCATCAAGGGAAAAAACTCTGTAGGTTTATAGACCAAAAGCAGTGATACATTGTCAGGTTTTTCTTTTTGTTTTATTTTGTTTGAGAGATGGCCTGGCTCTCTTGCCCAGGCTGGAGAGCAGTGGTGCGATCACGATCAGGACTCAATGCAGCCTTGACTTCCCAGGCTCAGGTGAGTCCCCAACCTCAACCTCCTGAGTAGCTGGGATGACAAGCATGTGCCACCATGCCTAGCTAATTTTTCGTATTTTGTAGAGATGGGGTTTCACCATGTTGCTCAGGCTGGTCCCAAACTCCTGGGCTCAAGCGATCCACCTGCCCTGGCTTCCCAAAGTGCTGGAATTACAGGTGTGAGCCACTACATCTGGCATCATTGTCAGGATTTGATTTGTTTATTTCCAGCAACTTTCTACATAAAGTGTGATGTGATCTGCTTTCAAATGGTTAGGTTTAGATTTCATTCCTACTTTCATTTGTTTGCTTGAGAAATTCTAAGCACATACTTTTATGACACAAAAGATTCTCAGGAAAGTTATTAAAAAGTTGGATACTAAAAAAAGTAGATGCAAAGATAACAAGAAACCTTTAGCTGCAGTCGTGTATGGAACCAAGCAGTTTTTCTTTTCTTTTGTTCTTTTTGAGACAGGGTCTCACCCAGGCAGGAGTGCAGTGGTGCAATCATAGCACACCACAATCTTGATCTCCTGGGCTCAAGCAGTCCTCCCACCTCAGCCTCCTGAGTAGCTGAAACTACTGGTGCACACCACCATGCCTGGCTAAATTTTTAATTTTCATTTTTGTAGAGACAGAGTGTCACTGTGTTCCCCAGGCTGGTCTCAAACTCCTGGGCTCAAGTAATCCTCTGGCCTCAGCTTCCCAAAGTGGTAGGATTACAGGTGTGAGCCACCACGCCAGATCTAGTTTTCAGTCATTTTCTAAAAATAATTTCTGGGATTTAGAATTTCCCGTCATTTTTGCTTCTACTTTTTTCTCAGAGATCTCTTTAAGAAAATGATTAAAAAACCATTCGGTTTCATATAAAAGTACAGCTAAAGCTGACTACAGAAAATATGCTTTGCTATTAACCAAAAAAAATGAGAAACATTTGAATTTCAAATTGCATGAAAGAAGTGGAGACAAAAGCTTCATCAAGTTTTGCTTTCAATTTGTGAAGAATGTTTTATAAACAATTTACAACACAGAAATATGAGCACTCTGGGAAAAAATCATCAAAGGAAAAAACAATTAGTTGGTATGTTTATTTTCTTCATGGAAATGTCTTAATTTAATCAGAATCATGTATCTTAGGTTGCTTTTTTTTAAATGTGAAGATTTTGTTAAAGTAGGATTATATCATTTCTTTGCATTAAAAAAAAATATTCACGGCTGGGCACAGTGGCTCCCGCCTGTAATCCCAGCACTTTGGGAGGCCAAAGCAGGTGGATCACCTGAGGTCAGGAGTTCGAGACCAGCCTGGCCAATATGATTAAACCCCGTATCTACTAAAAATACAAAAATTAGCTGGGCATGGTGGTGAGAACCTGTAATCCCTGCTACTGGGGAGGCTGAGGCAGGAGAATCCCTTGAACCTGGGAGGCAGAGGTTGCACATTCTCATCAGCATTTATTGCTTGTTTTTTGGATAAAAGCCATTCAAATTGAAGTGAGATAATATCTCATTGTAGTTTTGATTTATAATTCTCTTATCAATGATGTTGAGCACCTTTTCATATACCTGTTTGCCATTCGCATGCCTTTAAAGAAACATCTGTTCAGATTTTTGCCCATTTTTAATCTGATTATTAGACTTTTTTTCCCTGTAGAGTTGTTTGAACTCCTTATATATTCTGGTTTTTAATCCCTTGTCACATGGGTAGTTTGCAAATTTGTTTTTCCATTCTGTGGGTGGCCTCTTTCCTTGGCTGTGCAGGAGCTTTTTAACTTGATGTGATCCCGTTTGTCCATTTTTGCTTTGGTTGCCTGTGTTTGTGGGGTACTCAAGAAATCTTTGCCCACTCCAACGTCCCAGAGAGTTTCCCCAATGTTTTCTTGTAGTTGTTTCATAATTTGAGGTCTTAGATTTAAGTCATTAATCCATTTTGACTTGATTTTGTATATAGTGAGAGATAGGGGTCTACTTTCATTCATTCTTCTGCATACGGATATTCAGTTTTCCCAGCACCATTTGTTGAAGAGACTGTCTTTTCCCCAATGTATGTTCCTGGCATCTTTGGTGAAAATGAGTTTACTGTAGGTGTGTGGGTTCACTATTGGGTTTCTGGGTTCACTCTTCTGTTCCATTGGTCTACATGTCTGCTTTTATGCCAGAACTATGCTGTTTTGGTTACTATAGCTCTATAGTGTAATTCAAAGTCAGGCAATGTGATTCCTCCAGTTTTTTGTTGTTGTTGTTGTTGTTGTTTCATTTTGTTTTGTTTTGCTTAGGATAGCTTTGACTATTCTGGGTCTTCTGTGGTTTCATATAAATTTTAGAATTGCTTTTTCTATTTCTGTGAAGAATATCCTTGGCATTTTAATAGGGATTGCATTGAATCTGTAAATTGCTTTGGATAGTATGGGCATTTTAACAATATTGATTCCTCCAGTCCATGAATATGGAATATCATTCCATTTTGTGTGTGTGTGTCCTCTTCAATTTCTTGTATCAGTGTTTTATAGTTTTCATTGCAAAGATCTTTCACTTCTTTAGTTAATTCTTAGGTATTTTATCTGTAGCTATTGTAAATAGGATTACTTTCTTGATTTCTTTTCCAGATTGTTCTGTTTGCATATAGAAATGTTATGGAGTTTTGTATGTTGATTTTATGTCCTGCAAATATACTGAACTTATTTATCAGTTCTAATAGTTTATTGGTAAGAGTCTTTAAGTTTTCCTAAATGTAAGATCATATCGTCTGCAAGCAAGGATAATTTGACTTGATCCTTTCCAATGTGGATGCCCTTTATTTCTTTCTCTTGTCTGATTGCTCTAGAGAAGACTTCCAGTGCTATGTTGAATAGCAGTGGTAAAAGTAGGCATCCTTGTCGTGTTCCAAATCTTAGAGAGTAAAGCATTTCAGCTTTTTCCCATTCAATCTGGTACTAGCTGTAGGTCTGTCATATATGGCTTTTATTATGTTGACTATGTTCCTTCTATACCCAGTTTTTTGAGGGTATTTAGCCAGAAGGAATGTTGAATTGTATCACATACTTTGTTTAGCATCAATTGAATGATCATAGTTTTTGTCCTTCATTCTGTCGATGTGATTTATCACACTGATTGATTTACATATGTTAAATGATCCTTGCATCCCTGGGATAAATCCCACTTAGTCATGATAGATTATCTTTCTAATGTATTATTGAATTCAGTTTGCTAGTATTTTGTTGAGAATTTTTGCATCAATATTCATCAGAGATTGGCCTGTAGTTGTTTTTTGTTTTTAATGTGTCTGGTTTGGTGTTAGGGTAACACTGGCCTTGTAGAATGAGTTTGGAAGTATTCCCTCCTCTGTTTTTTAGAATAGTTTGGTTAGGATTGGAATTAGTTCTTTGATAGAATTCAGCAGTGAAGCCATTGGGTCCTGGGCTTTTCTTTAGTGGGAGGCTTTTTATTATGACTTCAATCTTATTACTTATTATTGGTCTTCTCAGGTTTTGGATTTCTTCATGGTTCAATCGGATAGGTTGTTTGTATATAGGAATTTATCCATTTCTTCTAGATTTTCCAATTTATTGGCATATACTTGCTCATAGTAGCCACTGATGATCCTTTAAATTTCTGCAGTATTGGTTGTAATGTTTCCTTTTACATCTCTAGTTTTATTTACTTGGGACTTCTCTCTTTTTCTTAGTCTGGCTAAAGGTTTGTCAGTTTTATCTTTTCTAAAACCCAACTTTTTGTTCATTGACATTTTGTATTGTTTTCTTCATTTCAATTTCATTTCTTTCTGATCTGATATTTATTATTTCCTTTCTTCTACTAATTTTGGGTTAAGTTTACTCTTACTTTTCTAGTTCTTTATGACGCATCATTAAGTTATTTATTTCAGATGACTTTTTTTTTCTTCTTTTCTTTAAGAGACAGGGTCTTACTATGTTCTCCAGGCTGAACTGCACTGGCGTGATAATCTCTACTCACTGCAACTTCTGCCTCCTGGGCTCAAGTGATCCTCCTGCCTCAGACTCCTGAGAAGCTGGGATCACAAACATGCACCACCACACCTGGCTAATTTTTGTGTATTTTTGGTAGAGACAGGGTTTCACCATACTGCCCAGGCTGGTCTAGAACTCTGGAGCTCAAGTGATTCATCTGCCTCAGCCTCGCAGAGTGCTGGAATTATACACATGGGCCACCACACCCGGCCTCTCTTCTTTTTTTTATGTAGGCACTTGTAACTATAAACTTCCCTCTTAATACTGCTTTCACTGTGTCCTATAGGTTTTGGCATGTTGTGTTTCCATTATCATTTATTTCAAGAAATTTTTCAGTTTCTCTCAATTTCTTCATTGACCCACTGGTCATTCAGGGGCATATTGTTTAATTTCCATGTGTTTCTATGGTTTCCAAAATTCCTCTTGTTGTTGATTTCTAGTTTTATTCTATTGTGGTCAGAGACGATGTTTGATATTAATTATTTCAAATTTTTGAATATGTTTTAAGAGTTGTTTTGTAACCTAACATGGTTTATCCTTGACAATGATCCATATGCTGAGAACAATGTGTATTCTGTGGCCATTGGATGAAAAGTTCTGTAAATATCTATTAGGTCCATTTTTTCTATAGTGCAGATTAAGTCTGATGTTTCTTTATTGATTTTCTCTCTGGAAGATCTGTCCAGTGCTGAAAGTGGGGTTTTAAAGTCTCCAACTATTACTGTATTGGATTCTCTTATCTCCTTCTAGCTCTAATACTTGCTTTATATATGGGTGCTCCATACGTTAAAAAAAATTTACAATTTTTTTTTTTTTTTTTTTTTTTTTTTGAGATGGAGTCTCGGTCTGTCACCCAGGCTGGAGTGCAGTGGCACGATCTCAGCTCACTGCAAGCTCCACCTCCCGGGTTCACACCATTCTCCTGCCTCAGCCTCCCGAGTAGCTGGGACTACAGGCGCCTGCCATCATGCCCAGCTAATTTTTTGTATTTTTAGTAGAGACGGGGTTTCATCGTGTTAGCCAGGATGGCCTTGATCTCCTGACCTCATGATCTGCCCACCTCGGCCTCCCAAAGTGCTGGGATTACAGGCATGAGCCACCGCGCCTGGCCGTATTTACAATTTTTATATTCTCTTGCTGAATTGACCCTTTTATCATTGTTTAATGACCTGTGTCTCTTACAGTTTCTGTCTTGAAATGTATTTTCTCTGCTATATGTATAGCTACAAGTCCTCTTTTTTTGTTTGTTTCCATTGGCATGGCATATCTTTGTCCATCCCTTCATTTTCAGTCTATGTATGTCTCTATAGGTAAAATGTCTTTCTTGTAGGCAACAGGTCATTGGGTCTTTTTAAAAATCCATTCAACCACTCTCTTTTGAAGAGTTTAGATTGATAAGTAAGGACTTACTCCTGTTATTTTGTTATTTCTTTTCTGGTTTTGCAGTGTTTTTCCTTTTCTTTCTTCCTTTTAGTGAAGGTGATTTTCTCTGGTGATATAATTTAATTTCTTTTTTACTTTTTGGGTATCCATTGCATGTTTTTCAATTTGAGATTACCATGAGGCTTGCAATACTATCTTATAACCCATTATTTTAAGCTGATAACAACTTAAGACTATTTGCATAAACAAACAAGCAAAAAGAAAACTAATAAAAACTCTACAGTGTAGCTTTGTCCTCCTGCTTTTTAACTTTTTGTTGTTTCTCTTTATATCTTATTGTACTATTTGTCTTGAAAATTTGTAGTTACTATTTTTGATTGGTTCATCTTTTAGTCTTTCTACTTATGAGAGTAGTTTACATACCCCAGTTACAGTGTGATAATATTCTGTGTTGTTCTATGTACCTATTATTACAAGTGAGTTTTGTGCCTTTACATGTTTTCTTATTGCGCATGAACGTCCTTTTCTTAGAGATGGAAGTACTCCCTTCAGCATTTCTTGTAGGACAGGTCTGGTGTTGATGAAATCCCTCAGCTTCTATTTGTCTGGGATGGTCTTTATTTCTCCTTCGGGTTTGATATTTTCACTGGATATACTATTCTAGGGTAAAAGTTTTTCTCCTTCAGCACTTTAAATATGTCATGCCACTCCCTGGTTCTAAAATTTCTACTGAAAAGACTGCTGCCAGACATTGGAGCTCTCTTGTATGTTATTTATTTCCTTTCTCTTGCTCCTTTTAGAATCCTTTCTTTATCCTTAACCTTTGGGAGTTTGATTATTAAATACCTCTAAGTAGTCTTCTTTGGGTTAAATCTGCTTGGTGTTCTGTAACCTTGTCCTTGGATATTGATCTCTTTAGGTTTGGGAAGCTCTCTGATATTATCCCTTTGAATAAACTTTCTACCTCTATCTATTTCTTTACCTCCTCTTTAAGGCCAATAACTTAGATTTTCCTTTTTGAGGCTGTTTTCTAGGTATTGTAGGTGTGCCTCATTCTTCTTTTTTCTGTTGTCTCCTGACTGTATTTTTAAATAGCTTGTCTTCAAGCTTGCTAATTATTTCTTCTGCTTGATCAGTTCTGCTGGTATGAGATTCTGATGCATTCTCAGTATGTCAATTGCATTTTTCAACCACAGCATTTCTGCTTGATTCTTTTTAATTATTTCAATCTCTTTATTAAATTTATCTGACAGAATTCTGAATTCCTTCTTTGTGTTATCTTGAATTTCTTTGCGTTTTCTTAACACAGCTATTTTGAATTCTGTGTCTAAAAGGTCGTATATGTTTCTCCAGGATTGGTCCCTGGTGCCTTATTTAGTTTGTTTGGTGAGAACGTTTTCCTGGATGATCTTGATGCTTATGGATGTTCATCAGTGTCAGGGTATTGAAGAGTTGTATTTATTGTAGTCTTTGCTGTCTGGGCTTTTTTGTACCTGTCCTCCGTGGGAAGGCTTTCCAGGTATTCAGAAGGATTTGGGTGTTGTGATCTAAACTGTATCTACATTAGGGAGCACCCCAAGCCCAGTAACACTGTGGTTCTAGCAGACTCTTAGAGCTACTGCTTTGGTGGTCTTGGATAAGATCCAGAAGAATTCTCTGGATTACCAGACAGAGACACTTGTTCTTTTCCTTTACTTTCTTCCAGACAGTCTCTCTCTCTCTTTGCTGGACTACCTGGAGCTGGAGGTGGGTGACACAAATACCCCTGTGGCCAATATGTTCTATCTTTTTAAGACTTCCATCCATGTATATTATAGTTAAAATGCTTATTTATGTTTAATGATAGATTTCAGATTGCAGTTAATCTGAATGTGGAACGCTATGCCTTGGTATTTGGAATCAACACCTTTATTGCCTTGGTGATTCAGACCATCATGACTGTGATTGTAGTAGATCAGAGAGGGCTCAACTTGCCAGTCAGCATTCAGGTAAGCTGCAATACTTCTGTTTTCAACTAGGTAACCTCAAAAATTTCTCAACCTTACAACAAGCAATATTTAAATTTCTTGAGTTCCTTGGTTAAGCAATTAAAAAATACATAATTCCTTCATTATCATATTATAACACACCAAGTAGGTTTTGAGCAATAATTGCAACTAGGACAACATTTACATGGATAAGGCAGGTAAGAAGTAACCTCAATGCTTAAATTTATTCTTGGAGACATTGAATGTAGCATTGCACCAGCCTCCAAACAAAGACATAGAGACAGGTCAATGAGTTTTAGTGTTTTTTTGGGTTTGTTTTGTTTTGTTTTTTACTATTGATGATAGTAACTATGATTTTAACCCAAGCAACCTGCTCTAAAGCCAAGACTCTTAGTCACCGTATTGCTTACACCTTCTTACTTGATCTTGATTTCTTACTTGATAGGAGAGTATTGTTCAACCTAAATGACCCATATTAAAAACCTGGGTCTCAGTTACCCCATAATCCAAGCAAACCAACAGTATTAGGATGTATTATCATTGACATAGATGGTCATATTTTATATGTGGCTAATTATTTGTTTTTCTCCAGTTTTTAGTTTATGGGAGCTATTTTGCAGTAATTGCTGGAATTTTCCTAATGAGAAGCATGTATATTACCTACTCAACCAAATCCCAGAAGGATGTACAGAGCCCTGCTCCAAGTGAGAATCCAGATGTGTCTCACCCAGAGGAAGAGAGTAATATCATCATGTCAACAAAACTCTAACCTCATCGCAACAAACGCAACAGTGGCTTTCAAAGTTATGCAATAATAAGGAAAGATTTTGAGATGGGTGGCATATGTTTTGCCATAACTTGACATGCTTTGCAAATCTGGATTCCAATGGACCTTTCAAAACCACAACAAAACCTCAGTTTTAGATGAGTTCTCTATGTGACCAATTTTACTGGATGCAATTGACAGGACCCGTCATCATAATTAAACAACCCATATTGGGGACCCCCTGTGACTAGTAGCAGCTGGAAAATTCTGGTTTTTATCACTTGTAAAGACATGCAGATGGCGTGGAACCAAACCATGAGAAAACTCCAGCCATCCTGGAGTTGATATTCACCATTTGTGAGGAGAAATACTAACTGGACTGACCCTATTGCTAGGCTTAAATACTTATTTGATCTTACCAAAGAAGTCAACACATGGGACCTTTGTGTCACATGAACCATTTTCTTTCCTCTTCTATTAAGTGTATTTCTGTTTAAGTTACAGTTCTCTAAGAGAATTACAATGTTTGTCCCATTTCTAAGGGCTTCTCTTCAACTCTAATAACAGCATTATTCACGTTATGATTTGATAGTATTATTATTTAATTTTTTTATGATTATTTTCCATTTTGTGCTCTGAGTTTTGCTGTTGAAAGTCTCCCTCAAGAATAGCTTCAGATCCTCTTGTGTATTTGCAGAATACACAAGGTCATTTCCCAGTGGCCTGGGAGAGGCAGTGAGCCTTCTCTCCACCACCATAGACAGGTGTTAATGCATCTATGGGCCAGGTGCAGTGGCTCACTCCTGTAATCCGAGCAATTTGGGAGGCCAAGGTGGGAGTTTTGCTTGAGGCCAGAGGTTCAAGACCAGCCTGGGCAACACAGTGACACCTGACTCTACTAAAAAATTAAAAAATTAGCTGGGCAGCGTGGTGTGTGCCTGTAGTCTCAGCTACTTGGGAGGCCATGGTGGGAGGATGGGTTGAGCACAGGAGTCAGAGGCTACAGTGAGCTATGATTGCACCATTGCACTCCAGCCTGGGCAACAGAGTAAGACTCTCATCCCCCTCCTCCCAAAAAAGAGCACCTGTGTGGTGTCTGTCTAAAATAGGAAAACTTAAAGGAGGTTTCTAGAAGTATTAGAAATAAGAAAACACTGATGGGGGGAGTGGAATAAAACACCTGATTTTGTTTTGTTTTGGTTTTTGAGACAGTCTCGCTCTCTCACCCAGGCTGGAATGCAATGGCGTGATCTTGGCTCACTGCAAACTTCACCTCCTGAGTTCAAGCCATTCTCCTACCTCAGCCTCCCAAGTAGCTGGGACTATGGGTGCACACCACCACGCCTGGCTAATTTTTGTATTTTTAGTGGAGATGGGGTTTCACAATGTTGGCCAGGCTGGTCTCAAACTCCTGACTTCAGGTGATCTGTCTGCCTCGGCCTCCCAAAGAGCTGAGATTACAGGCGTGAGCCACCATGCCTGGCCAAAACACCTGATTTTTAAATGGTAGCAATTGTGCTAAATAAAATGTGTAAAAATTTTAAAGAGTTGTTAACATTTTTTGATGAATTCTGCTGAAAATTATCTGAACATACCTGTTTTTCGAAACTTCAAGAAACTTCAATAAGGGATGCATTGAGCAGTCTGACAGTGAGAATAAAGAATGCTGAGTCAAGATTTATATTAAGGCTGGAAGCTGTGGCTCACACCTGTAATCCCAGCATTTTGGGAGGCTGAAGTGAGAGGTTAATTTGAGGGTAGGGGTATGAGACCATCTTGGCCAATATAGCAAGACCCTGTGTCTAAAACAAACAAAAAAATTTTTAATTGGATTTTGATATGGTTTGGATCTGTGTCCCCACCAAATCTCACGTTGAAGTGTAATCCCCAATGTTAGAGGTGGGGCCGGCTGGGAGGCGACTGGATCATGGGTGTGAAGCCTTCATGAATGGTTTGGCACCGTCCCCTCAGTGCTGGTCTCATGACAGTGAGTTATCGTGAGATCTGGTAGTTTAAAAGTGTGTAGCACCTCCCCACTCTCTCTTTCTCCTGCTTTGGCCACGTGAAGATGCCTGCTCCCACTTTGCCTTCTGCCATGAGTAAAAATTCCCCGAGGACTCCCTAGAAGCAGATGTTGCCACGCTTCCTATATAGCCTGTGAGCTAATTAAACCCCTTTTCTTACAAACTATCTAGTCTCAGGTGTTTCTTTATAGCAATGTGATAATGGACTAATATGTTTCTCAAGTATACTCCTCTCCAAATCCCGAAATTCTTCACTGGACTAAGATCCAGCCCAAGAATCAATGCACTCACTTAGTGGAGAAAACTAATAACATTCCTACTTACATTAAAGGCAAGGAAGGAATGGCCGCTATTCTTTTTCTTCTTCTTCTTTTTTTTTTTTTTTTTTTTTTTTTGATAGAATCTTGCTCTGTCACCCAGGCTGGAGTGCAATGACGCAATGTCAGCTCACTGCAACCTCCGCCTCCCGGGTTCAAGCAATTCTCCTGCCTCAGCCTCCCGAGTAGCTGGGATTACAGGCGTGCACCACCATGCCCGGCTGATTTTTGTATATTTAGTAGAGACGGGGTTTCACCATGTTGGTCAGGCTGGTTTCAAACTCCTGGTCTCAGGTGATCCGCCCGTCTCGGTCTCCCAAAGTGTTGGGATTACAGGCTTCAGCCACCTCACACCCAGTCTATTATCCTTCTTTTTTAACTTATTATTCTGGAGGCATTAGGCATCACAATTAGACAAACAAGAAAAATCAGAGGTCAGAAATTGGAAAGGAGGCCAGGTGCAGTGGCTCACGCCTGTAATCCCAACACTTTGGGAGGCTGAGGCGGTCAGATCACATGAGGCCAGGAATTGGAGGCAAGCCTGGGCAACATGATGAAACCCTGTATGTACTAAAAACAACAAAATTAGCCGGGTGTGGTCCATGCCTGTAATCCCAGCCACTCGGTGGCTGAAGCATAAGAGTCACTTAAACCCAGGAGGCAGAGGTTGCAGTGAGTTGAGATTGTGCCACTGCACTCCAGCCTGAGCGACAGAGTGAGACCCAAAGTGGATTAAAAAATGCATTATGATTCCTTCACATATTCACCTATAACAAAATTAACTGCTAAAAAATGAGGAAGATCTTTAGTGACACAGAACTCTAAGAGCTCTACTATCAAGTGGAAAAAAGTCAAGCACCAAAATAATAATGAACGCAGCAACTCAGCATTTGTATAAAAAGGACAAAAATATCTGTATTGGCTTATATATGCGTATAACTTTTCTAAAAAGACAAATGAGGCCTGGCACGGTGGCTCATGCCTGTAATCCTGGCACTTTGGGAGGCTGAGGTAGGTGGATTGCTTGAGTTCAGGAGTTCAAAACCAGCCTAGGCAACATGGCAAAACCCTGTCTCTACAAAAAATACAAAAATTAGCTGGGCATGGTGGCTTGCACCTGGACTCCCAGCTACTTGAGGGGATGAGAAGGGAGGATCGCTTGAGCCCAGGAGGTGGAGGTTGCAGTGAGCTGAGATCATGCCACTGCACTCCAGCCCTGATGACAGAGTGAGACCCTGTCTTGAACAAACAAACCAACAATCAAACAAATAAATAAACAACTGAAACTCATACCAATGATTGCCTACTGTGGAGTAATGGGAAATGGGAGGGAGACATCACATTCTCATGGTGTTTGATGCTTGCACCAAATGAATAACCCACCAGTAAATTAAAATACGACTTTTACAAAAAAGCATTTAACCTCTTGGGAAATAAATTCGCATTGAAGAATAAGGAGCTGGAGATTTGCCATGCAACCATTATGATAGTTTTATATTTTTGGCAATGTGAATGGATTACTAAATGTGCATTTATAATTAAAAGGAACAAACAACAGAAGAAAAAAATAAGTGGGCCTGGTTGGGCACCTTGGCTTGTTCCTGGAATCCCACCACTTTGGGAGGCTGAGGAGGGAGGATCGCTTGAGCCCAGGAGTTTAAGACCACCCTGGGCAACATAGTGAGACTCCATCTCAAAAAAATTAATAATAATAAGTAGACCTGACATTGAAAAATTAAATTAAAATTTTTTATTTGGTATCTCAGTAATGAAAAAAATTTTTTAAATAATGACCCCTCATATAAGTACCAGCCACTTTGGGGTGTCATTTGATTATCAATCCCAACTGTGATTCCTCAATCAGGAAAGAGGCTCATAGGCATATGAAACTGGTTCAAAGTCAAGCACACAGGAAATAGTGAAGGTGCAATTTGAATTCAAGTATGTCTGACCACAAAAACTGTGGTCTTTCTACAATACCACCCTGCTCTATACTCAACACAGGAGAGTATTGTGTCCACTCATGAAAATAAAATTCAGAGCGGGGTCCCTATTTCCCCGGTCCACGGACTGGTACTGGTCGGTGGCCTGTTAGGAACTAGGCCTCACAGCAGGAGGTGAGCGGCAGGTGAGTGAGCAAAGCTTCATCTGTATTTACAGCTATTCCCCATTGCTCACCTGAGCTCTGCCTCCTATCAGATCAGTGGAGGCATTAGATTCTCACAGGAGTGGGAACCCTACTGTGAGCAGTGCATGCTAGAGATCAAGGTTGTATGCTCCTTATTAGAATCTAATGCCTGGTATCTGTCACTGTCCCCCTTCACCCCCAGATGGGGCTAAATGGTGGCAGGAAAACAAGCTTAGGGCTCCCACCAATTCTACGTTATGGTGAGTTGTATAATTATTTCATTATATATTAAAATGAAATAGTAATGGAAATACAGTGCACAGGGCCAGGCGCAGTCGCTCACTCCTGTAATCCCAGCACTTTGGGAGGCCAAGGCAGGCAGATCACTTGAGGTCGGGGGATCGAGATCAGCCTGCCCAACATGGTGAAATACCATGTCTACTAAAAACACAAAAATTAGCCTGGTGTGGTGGTGGGAACCTGTAATCCCAGCTACTCAGGAGGCTGAGGCAGGAGAATTGCTTGAACCTGGGAGGCAGAGGTTGCAGTGAGCCAAGATCACGCCACTGCACTCCAGCCTGGGTGACAGAGTAAGACTCTGTCTAAAAAAAAAAAGAAAAAGAAAAAATAAATACAGTGCACAATAAATGTAATGTGCTTGAATCATCCTGAAACCACCCCCACCCCCACCCAGTCCGTGGAAAAATTGTCCTCCACAAAACCAGTCCCTGGTGCCAAAAAGTTTGGGGACCACTGCTCTAGAGGATCCCACTAACCAGCAAAATTCCAACTCATAGGATTGCAAGGAAATTAAGTGTTGTGAATTTTAAAGTATATTTTAGATTAACTCAGGAGTAGCTAGAAAACATTTTGATCTAAAGAATCTTTATATTTCAAAAAGTTTCTTACATAACTGCCCTTTACTGGGTACCATAAAAATCAGTGAGGGTTGGCCAGGTGTAGTGGCTCATGCCTGCAATCCCAGCACTTTGAGAGGTGAAGGCAGTAGGGTTGCTTGAGGCCAGAAGGTCAAGACCAACCTGGGCAACATAGCGAGACCACGTCTCTACAAAAAACTTTTTAAAAACTTTGCTGGATGTGGTGGTGTGCGTCTGTAGTCTTGGCTACTCAGGAGTCTGAGGCAGGAGGATCATTTGAGCCCAGGAGTCTGACAGAGAGACCCCATATTCTAAAGAAAAAAAACATCAGTGACGTTAAAGTAAAAAGGATGGCATGGTCCGCTCTTAAGGGACTCACTTAGAGACCAGCAGTAAGATAAATAGGATCAGTAGCCAAATGCATGCTGTCCCAGAGAGAGGTTGAGGCCAAAAGAGCAGATTCCCAGATGCATGCTAGGAGGGCCGATCAACAATACCTGCTCAGGGCAAGGAATTCCTGACAAAAAGAAACTACTGATCACTGAACTGAGTCCTGAGTGTGAGATTTTGAGAACTTTTAGAACCTTTAAGATTATCTGGGTACTTGTGTTTTTTTCAGATTCAGTAGACTAAATCTGATGGAATAATGTATAAAATCATTGTGATTCATAACTCTGAACACCAGCCCTCCCCTTTTAGTGTTTAAATTATATATAGGGATGGCTTCTATTTTATTTTAATTTTTTTTAAGGATGTGATATTTGACTCTGTGTCCACCCAAATCTCACCTTGAATTGTAATCCCCATAATCCTTATGTGTCAAGGGCAGGACCAGGTGGAGGTTATTGAGTCATGGGGGTGGTTTCCTCCATGCTGTTCTCATGATAGTGATTGAGTTCTCACGAGATCTGATGGTTTTATAAGCATCTGGCATTTCCACTGCTTGCACTCACTCTGTCCTGCCGCCTTGTGAAGATGCCTTGCTTCCCCTTTGCTTTCCACCATGATTGTAAGTTTCCTGAGGCAACCCCAGCCATGCTGAGCTGTGAGTCAATTAAACCTCTTTCCTTGGTAAATTACCCACTCTCAAGTATTTCTTCATAGCAGTGTGAGAACAGACTAATACAGGTTGGTTTTTAAATGGAGATATATTTTGAACCTAAGGAAAAAAGTTAATTTTCAATTATTTCCTTCTTGATATGGCCTTTTTTGGTTGCTATGCTTCTTTTCTAAAATTAAAACAATGATTATCTGAATAGGAAACTATTCCAATTAAGAGACGTGGCCAGGCATGGTGGCTCACGCCTGTAACATCAACACTTTGGGAGGCCGAGGCGTGAGGATCGCCTGAGGTCAGGAGTTTGAGAACAGCCTGACCAACATGGAGAAACCCCGTCTCTACTAAAAATACAAAATTAGCCAGGCGTGGTGGTGTGTGCCTATAATCCCAGCTACTTGGGAGGCTGAGGCAGGAGAATCACTTGATCCCGGGAGCTGGAACTTGTGGTGAGCCATGCCATTGCACTCCAGCCTGGGCAACAGAGTGAGACTCCATCTCAAAAACAAAAAGCAAAAGAAAACAAACAAACATAAAAGAGACATAATCCTATGGCTGGGCGCAGTGGCTCACGCCTATAATCCCAGCACTTTGGGAGGCCGAGGCAGGCAAATCACAAGGTTAGGAGTTCAAGAACAGCCTGACCAATGTAGTGAAACCCCATCTCTACTAAAAATACAAAAATTAGCCAGGTGTGGTGGCACGCACCTGTAGTCCCAGCTACTTGGGAGGCTGAGGCAGGAGAATAGCTTGAACCTGGGAGGAGGAGGTTGCAGTGAGCCGAGACCATACCATTACACTCCAGCCTGGGTGACAGAGTGAGACTACATCTCAAAAAAAAAAAAAAAAGAGACATAATCCTGTGGTCCACCTATATTCACTTTAACTGTAATGCTCTAGAAGAAACTTTTACCATGTCTGTATCTTTTTTTTTTTTTTTAAATTGAGTCTCACTTTGTTGCCTAGGCTGGAGTGCAGTAGTGTGATCTCGGCTCACTGCAACCTACTCCTCCCAGGTTCATGCAATTCTCCTGCCTCAGCTTCTTGATTAGCCAGGAATTCAGATGTGTGCCACCATACCCTGCTAATTTTTTGTATTTTTAATAGAGATGGGCTTTCACCATGTTGGCCAGACTGGTCTCAAACTACTGACTTCAAGTGATCTGCCCACCTCGGCCTCCCAAAGTGCTGGGATTATAGGCGTCAGCCACCGCGCCCAGCCTACCATGTCTGTATCTATTATCTTATTCTCCACTGGTAGTTTGACCAGCCTTAAAACACATTTTAAAGAACATGTATATCTGACTACCTGTTTTCAATTTATTAACAGCTACACACTATGTGTCCATTTTATTGGCAAGAATGGAAAGTCTCCTTCAGGGTTTAACACTTAAGATACCTCATGCCTACTACCTTCTTTCCCTTCCTAGCAAAATTCTGTGGACTCTAGTTTATCATTTTCATTCCACCCTAGGAGACTGTCACAGATGCACTATGGAAAACATTATCTTGGAGTGATGATTTATTAGTGATACCTCTGTTTCACTTGTGGGTCAACAAAACTTAGTCTTGACCTATAAGCTGTTTCAAAATAATCATTAATTTTTTTAATTTTTTTTTCCTTTTTTATTATTATTATACTTTAAGTTTTAGGGTACATGTGCACAATGTGAAGGTTAGTTACATATGTATACATGGGCCATGCTGGCGTGTTGCACCCATTAACTCATCATTTAGCATTAGGTATATCTCCTAATGCTATCCCTCCCCCCTACCCCCACCCCACAACAGTCCCCAGAGTGTGATGTTCCCCTTCCTGTGTCCATGTGTTCTCATTGTTCAATTCCCATCTATGAGTGAGAACATGCGGTGTTTGGTTTTTTGTCCTTGCGATAGTTTACTGAGAATGATGATTTCCAATTTCACCCATGTCCCTACAAAGGACGTGAACTCATCATTTTTTATGGCTGCATAGTATTCCATGGTGTATATGTGCCATATTTTCTTAATCCAGTCTATCATTGTTGGACATTTGGGTTGGTTCCGAGTCTTTGCTATTGTGACTAGTGCCGCAATAAACATATGTGTGCATGTGTCTTTATAGCAGCATGATTTATAGTCCTTTGGGTATATACCCAGTAATGGGATGGCTGGGTCAAATGGTATTTCTAGTTCTAGATCCCTGAGGAATCACCACACTGACTTCCACAATGGTTGAACTAGTTTACAGTCCCACAAAAAGTGTAAAAGTGTTCCTGTTTCTCCACATCCTCTCCAGCACCTGTTGTTTCCTGACTTTTTAATGATTGCCATTCTAACTGGTGAGAGATGGTATCTCATTGTGGTTTTGATTTGCATTTCTCTGATGGCCAGTGATGATGAGCATTTTTTCATGTGTCTTTTGGCTGCATAAATGTCTTCTTTTGAGAAGTGTCTGTTCATATCCTTTGCCCACTTTTTGATGGGGTTGTTTGTTTATTTCTTGTAAATCTGTTTGAGTTCATTGTAGATTCTGGATATTAGCCCTTTGTCAGATGAGTAGGTTGCAAAAATTTTCTCCCATTTTGTGGGTTGCCTGTTCACTCTGATGGTAGTTTCTTTTGCTGTGCAGAAGCTCTTTAGTTTAATTAGATCCCATTTGTCAATTTTAATTTTTTTCATGAAGGAAAAGATACACGAAGATTTGCCGAACAGATTAGTACTACGCAGAATAATCCTAAAACCATGATCTAAACTAGGAAAGTGTTTGCAGTGGTCATTCCAGTTTTATAAAATACACTCAGTCTAGTTTTTAACAAGGATATTCCATTGGCCAATCTGCTTACCTGCTTTTGGCTTTGTTTCAGAAATGGATCACTGCCAAAATTTGTTGAGCCTATCTGGGGTTGTTCCTACAGTAATCATCTGTGTATATAGATTTTTATGTGACCTCAAAGAAGAATACATGCTTAAGTTTACACTCACAGACATTTATGATTCTTGGATAATAAATAACAAAGATTCACATTATTTTATTCATCTTAACCAGGATTCATTTCAAGGAAGCTTAGTCTCACCTGTTTGCTTTTCCACACACACAAAACTAGTGGAGGATGATTGGGATTCAAAATGTTCAAATGCCTTATATATACAGTACCTCAAATTGTAAATTCTGACCAGATGATCCTATTGCCCTTGACTTAAAATTAAAGACTTACAAAGTAAAGGAATACTTGAACAAATATTTCCCAAAGGGAGTATTTATTCTTCTTTGAGGTCATCTCACCATTTTTTTTTAAAGCAATACTAGAAGGTACATCATCTGCTCCCAGGATTTGTCCCAATATATCTGCAGGTCATGGAAATACAAGTAGGAGAAGATAAGAGGCTGCAGCAGTTCACTTGCTTTGGGATAGAAATGTCACTTAAATCAGAAATTTACCCTTTCTTTTCCCAAGATCCATTTTCTTCCCCACGATCACCTTCCCTCATTTAAATGATCCACCAGTTGTCCTTGTTAAAATCAAAATGAGAAAACATCTTGGTTTACTTGATTTGTCTGTCCTAAATGAAGACTTGAACCACTGGGCTAGTTTTATATTCTCCAAGTAAAGCCAAGAAGACAGTGCATGGAGAATGACATTGATTGGAAGCCTAAATACCACTACTCTTGGTGGCTAGACTAAAGGCAAAATGGGGGAGGAATGCAGTTTGCCTCAGAAATAGAAATGTAGATACAGTTACATCTCAGACAGCTCTAGGGTGAGAAGGGTCAAGTCAAAACAAAAGAGAAGCTCTACGTCCATGTATGCACATTATTTAGCTTCTTATAAGTGAGAACATGCACTATTTGTCTTTCTGTATCTAAGGTATTTCGTTTAAGATAATGGCTTCCAGTTCCATCCATGTTGTTGCAAAAGACATGATTTTATTCTTTTTTATGCCTGAATTGCATTTCATGAAGGGTGGGGGTCCTGGGAGGGGTGGATGATGAGAAATTACTTAAGGTGTATAATGTATATTATTCTTGTGATGGATACACTAAAAGCCTTGACTTCACCACTGGACTTTATATTCATGTAACAAAATTACATTGTGCCCCATAAATTTACACACACACACACACACACACACACGGGAAAAAGAAGCACAGCCCAAATTCCGCCCAGGAGATCCTCTGCAGCCTCAATTCAACTACCCTTTTTTAAAATTTTATATTAATAAATAGAGATGGGGGTCTCCCTGTGTTGCCCCGACTGATCTTGAACTCCTGGGCTCAAGTGATCCTCCTACCTAGGCCTTCCAAAGTGCTGGGATTACAGGCGTGAGCCACTGTGCCCAGCCAATTCGCCCACTCTTAAAGGAAGACATTGGTAGATTATTGCCAGTAGCTCCTTCACTGCTCTGCCTTCTCTGTGGCTCTACATGTGGCTTCTATTCCCCCAAGTTCAGACAGAAGAAAAGGAGAAGCAATTTGGGGTGGACATCTGCACCTTCCTCTATGCCTTCTTCTGCCAATTGTCCTTCTGTTTTCTAGAAATTGAGATTCCGAGAACCAAAGCTCTTCTGAGTTTCTTAGGCAATCCATGTTAAATTGTGACCAGAATTGACCGAAACCAGAACAGTATTATGTGGGGGAAAAGAGGTTATGGTCCCTTTGTATCTACCCAGCATATTATAATTCAAGTTTTATGGAATCATAAGGCATCATTGTATAATTCTCACATATATAACAAGGCAAGAGAAGCTATTGAAGTGTAAGGTGTTTTTACTTTACCTTGTCAAAGTAAACATTCTTTAAGTCAGTTTCACAAAATGGCTGTGGATCTGTGCGCATTCAGAGGTCACTGTCAAGAACACTTTTTTTTTTTGAGATGGAGTCTTGCTCTGTCACCCAGGCTGGAGTGCAGTGGCATGATCTCAGGTCACTGCAACCTCCACCTCCCGGGTTCAAGTGATTCTCCTGCCTCAGCCTCCTGAGTAGCTGGAATTACAAGCATGTGCCACCATGCCCAGCTAATTTTTGATTTTTAGTAGAGATGGGGTTTGACCACGTTGGCCAAGCTGGTCTTGAACTCCTGACCTCAGGTGATCCATCTGCCTTGGCCTCCCAAAGTGCTGGGATTACAGGCTTGAGCCACCATGCCCAGCCAAGAATACTTCTTATTAAGAAAGGCATGATTAGAAAGCAGGGAACCCAACAATTCTACTTTTGTTATATCCTTTATCAAGGGAGCATGTGATTAAACCTTAATCGGACAGACTAATTCTCAATCATATTCTATTCCTTACAAAGTGTGTAAGTTGTATAATACTCTTTGAGGCTGCATTTCATCAGTGTAAAATTAAGAGATACCACCGATTCTATATATCCTGCTTATGTTTTATGTTTGTTTGTTTGTTTGAGACAGGGTCTCACTCCCATCACCCAGGCTGGAGTACAGTGGCATACTCTCTGCTCACTGCAGCCTCTGCCTCTGGGGCTCAAGCAATTCTCCCACCTCAGCCTCTCAGGTGGCTGGGACTACGGGCATACGCTACCATGCCTGGCTAATTTTTGTGTTTTGTTTTGTTTTGTTTTGTAGTGACGAGGTTTCTCCATGTTGCCCAGGCTGGTCTCAAACTCCTGGGCTCAAGCAATCCAACTGCCTTCAGCCTCCTATAGTGCTGAGCTTACAGGCATGAGCCACTGTGGCGGGCCTCAGAACATATTACTTTTTAACAAACACCATTTGATTATGGAGATGACAGCAGAGAAAAAGAAGAATACAGAGAAAGAAAATGAAAAGGTTGAATTGATAGTGGCAATGTGGTCTTAGCCAGCATCGGGACCTGGAGAAACTGCAGAAGGAAGTTCTAAAGAATGGTGGCCAGGTGCGGTGGCTCATGCCTGTAATCCCAGCACTTTGGGAGGCCGAAGCGGGCGGACCACCTGAGGTCAGGAGTTTGAGACAAGCCTGGCCAACATGGCGAAATCCTGTCTCCACTAAAACTGCAAAAATTAGCCGGGCATGGTGGTGGGCACCTGTAATACCAGATGCTTCTGAGGCTGAGGCAGGAGAATCACTTGAACCCGGGAGGCGGAGGTGGCAGTGACCCGAGATCCCACCATTGCACTCCAGCCTGGGCGACAGAGCGAGACTCAGTCTCAAAACAAACAAACAAAAACAAGAACGGATGTGAGGGTCTCCAATTTTCATCATAGTTTCCTCATTGGGGAGCTTTCTTCCTGCCCGTTGTATCCTTCCTCTCATCTGAGGAGTTAAAATAGGCATGAGGTTGATAGGACCTTGGTCACACTCTTGCCTTTTCCTCCTGAGGCAGCTTGTGACCCTTCTCACATTTCCTTCGGAGGCCAGAGGGAAGCACATGATAGGAGTCAGAGGTTGATCCAACTATCTGCATTTATTTTCTGATTGTTCTGTTTTTGAAGACATTTTCTAAGAAACTGGAATGTTCTACACTCGTGTTTGTTGACATTTTGCAAGAAAACCTTGGGCTTATTTTCTCATTGCCTCCAACTTGTGAAATTCCAGTCTAGCTCTGGAATCTGGCTTTACTCCGGGATTTTTTGTTGTTGTTGTTCCTACATGCAAGTTTGAAATAGGAGGTAAATATTTATTTTTTATTCCTTTCTAAATTTATTATTTTTTATTCTTTAAGTGTATTTCATGTCATTCTCAATTTATTTTATTTTTTAACTTTTTTGAGACAGGGTCTCACTGTGTTGCGCAGGTTGGTCTCGAACTCCTGGCCGCAAACAGTCCTCCCACCTCAGCCTTCCAAAGTGCTGGGATTACAGGTATGAGCCACTGCACCCAGCCTTTTTTTTTATGTACGATTTTAACTATTTTATTATATTTTTATTAATTTATGTTTTTAGAGACAAGGTCTCAGTCTGTTGCCCAGGCTAGAGTGCAGTGGTGTGGTCACGACTCACTGCAGCTCTAATCTGGGCTCAAGTGATCCTCCTGCCTCAGCTTCCCAAGTCTCTGGAACTACAGTGTGTGCCACCACACCCATTGTATTAGTTTGTTCTCACACTGTTATAAAGACATACCTGAGACTGGGCAATTTATAAAGAAAAGAGGTTTAACTGGCTCACGATTCTGCAGCCTGTACAGGAAGCATGGCTGGGGAGGCCTCAGGAAACTTAGAATAGTGGTGGAAGGAGAAGTCAAAAGGGGCACGACTTACATGGTGGGAGAAGGAGGAAGAGAGCGAAGGGGGAAGTGCTACACACTTTTCAACAACCAGATCTCATGAGAACTCACTCACTACCATGAGAAAAGTCTGCCCCCATGATTCAATCATCTCCCACCCGGCCCCTTCTCCAACACTGGGGATTACAATTCGACATGAGATTTGGGTGGGGACACACAGCCAAACCATATCACTCAGGTAGTTTATTTCATTTTATTTTATTATTTATTTATTTATTTATTTATTTATTTATTGAGACAGAGTCTCACTGTGTCACCCAGGGTGGAGTGCAGTGGCACAGTCTCGGCTCACTGCAGCCTCCACCTCTCAGGTTCAAGTGGTTCTTGTGCCTCAGCCTCCCAAGTAGCTGGGATTACAGGCACACGCCACCATAGCGGTCTAATTTTTCTATTTTTAGTAGAGACGGGATTTCACCATGTTGGCCAGGTCGATCTTGAACTCCTGACCTCAAGTGATCTGTCCACCTCAGCCTCCCAAAGTGCTGGGATTACAGACATGAGCCACCGCGCCCAGCCTTATTTTTATTTTTGGAAACAGAGTCTTGTTATTGCCCACGTTGGTCTTGAACTCCTGGCCTCACATCATCTCTCACCTCTGTCTCCCAAAGCACTGGGATTATAGATGTAAGCCACAGTGCCCAGAAAATCAGTTTTTATTTTAAACACAAATACATTCTCATCACATTAAAAAAATAGCCCTAATTATAGAAAATGTCTTTATTAAATCAATTTAGAGAATAGATATGTAGATATGTGGTTCTAGCACTTCCAGTAAATTAAAACAGACCTACAAGGAATTGGGCTGAGGACCAATAAGCAAAGTAAGGTGTGACTGCTGTATCATAGACTCAGGCTTCCTCAGGAACCTAGGCCATTGAGGACCTGGCTACGTGTTCTCTGCCAGTCTGTGTCCTTCTGCTGGAGCTTGAAGTGCGCAGATCAAGAAGTGAGGGCAGAAAAATGGATATAAGGGGAGGAGAGGAAGAACTAGCTGGGGCTCACCGTTATGAGCTGGGGCCCAGGAGGACAGACAGCCCCCCTTGTCAGTTCTTGTTGCCCCTGACCTTGGTGGCATGGGTGTCCTGCAGGAAAAGGAACCCTTTGTTATGGAGCTAACCAGGTATGTAGCTAACCAAAAGGTCACAGAAGCCAAAGGAAGATCCAGGAGAAGACAGAACCATTGCAGGCCTTGGCTGCTGCCTCACGCCAATGAATTAAGGAAAAGGAGAAGAAAACAATAAGTAAAGGAAAAGGTTATTAACATCTGGTAGAGCTGAATCAAGTTGCTTTTCTTTCTTTTCTTTTCTTTTTTTCTTTTTTTTTTTCTGTCAGACTTGTCTCTGACACAAGGTTGCTTTTCATCAAATCAAAATTCAAGCAAAAAAAATCTGTATTTTGTTGTAGTATGGGTATTGACAACAATGGATAAAGCCATTTCACACTTTGGCTACCAAGATATAGATATGGTTATTCCTTCCTTTCAGGGGACACGGCTATATCTTCACAGTGGGCCATGTGAAAGTCCACAGGGATCTTCTGGGGGAGTGGGCTTTGGGAATCTTACCAGCTGCTACCCTCAGAAGTGGCCAAGCTTCGTTAGTTATTTAATATTCATTCAGGTTACAGTTACATATGCATCATTGTCCATTTAGTTATAGCCCCTAATTATACAGTATTATTTTATCTTAGTAATTTCAGTTCCAAGAACAGCATTTTATAAGATATTTATGGTATTGTATTAAATACCACATGCTAGATAACATAATGCCGTCTGAATATAAGAATAGGAAACTTATACTGATGCTTATGATCAGTAAGCAGTGATACTGTCTCCAGTTTTGATATATCTTTCCTGTTTACTGTCACACCCAGTTTTTCTCGTCTGCTTTAGTAATTCCTGCGCAACTATTTCTTTGAAAAACAAATTGCAACATGTTCTCAGGGACGTCAAAAAAAAAAAAAACTAAATGCAAAGATTACAAGAAATGCTAAATTCCATGAAAGTTTACAAAGTCTAAAAGAACACTTGTACCCACAAAGAGAAGATAAAGTCAAGTCTGAGTTAGGTAAGTGAGCTGAAGAATTAAGGGGCCCTTAGGCCACTTGGAAAGCACATTAAAGCAATGAAGTGCCACTTTTCTGTTAGATCATGTGTTCTTAGATTAATGATCAAGCTGACTAGTAATAAAGCAACAAATCTGGAAAAGTATCCTCAGTCTGACACTACAGGACCCAATCATATAGTCATGATCTGGTGCCTTTGGTTAGACTGGGGATACTTGAAGATGAAAAATTTAAAAAAGAGAATTTAAAAAAACACTGCTATTCTTCAGGCATCAAATTCTCTTTCACCCTTGAGGGCCTTGGGAGAACAATGATCTCTTCTTTTGTAAATTTTCCTATTGTGAAAGATAGAAAAAACAACATAAGAATTGAGACATTTGTGATTATGTAAATGACTACAGCCTTATGATTGCTGACTATGGTATAAATGTGGTAAGTATTTTTTTTTAAACGGACTGACTCATGTTCATTAAGTATTTTTGTGAGATTTTTGGATGCCTGTCTAGGTAAGAAAACTGTGGGATGAAAGTTAAACTTTGAAGTGTTGTCATTTTGTAGTAAGTCATATTCACAAATATTAAAAATCATGATTCTTGTCTTCATTTGAATGCTCTCAAGGGAAGTCTTGTGTCTCTCTGTATTGTTCATGTTAAAAACTCTAGAGTTTCTTAGAGGACCACAAGACCAAATGAAAGATGCTCTTATGATGACTGTGATTCAAATCAGTCTTTCTCCAATTTCTAAAATGTAGCAAACATGAATATCAGATAAACCTGCAGCCACCCTAGGTTTTGGTTCTCCCAGATGTAATGACACAGAACACAGACCTTGGTATGGGAGGTCAAATCCTACACCTGCCACATACTAATTGTGCGAATCTCAACAAGCACTTTAACTTCTGTGATCTTCCTTTCCTCAACTATAAAAATGAAAACCAATAATAATTTTCCCTGAACTAGATTGATTTGAGAATTGAATCCTTTAAAGAAGCAAAAGCTTTTTGCTTAAGCTTGAAAATTCCGAAAGCTTTAAAAATAACTATAATTATATACCTACATCCCTTGGATAACAACATGGATTATTGCAAAACTGTTGATTCCTTCCTCATCAATCTATGAGCTTTTCTATAATTTCGAAGTCTAAAGATGCTGTTTCCCTGTAATGAAATGATCCTAGAGCATATGCATGTGTAAGGTGAACAGGCTAACCACTGCACTACAGAAACCTAAACAAAAAGCTTATGTGGACACAGAGGAAAAATAGATGGATAATTTGGAAAAAAAAAAAAAAAGAAATGAGAAAGGACTTTCTGCAAATAGACATTAAAGCCTATTACAGAGCTAAAATAATGAAGACAGTGTGCTCCGGCACAAAAAATACATAGAAAGATCAACATAACATTACTGTTAATAGAACACCTGAAACTAATCTACTATAACTAATTCAAATGCCTAAGGAAATTTGGAATAAGCAAAAATATTACTGGGTGTCTCCAGCAGGGAACCACGCATTGTTTATGGTACATCCTTCTGGGTTTTCTGATGTTAGCCTTCTACTGCCTTTGAGCTATTTTATAACTCTGTAATAGAGAACTGAAAACAATGCAGAGAACTAATGGGAATACCAAGAAATGATAATAATGCAATTGATTCTTGTCTGCGGACATGCAAATGAATTCTGTTTTGTGGAGGGACAATCAATGACATGATTGGCTGAAATTAAGAACCATGCTTGGTAAAACTTCCAACCACCAGAATGGAATCTTCTCTTAATTTACTATCTATTGCTTTCCTAGAATCTTCACTATACATTAAGCTAATGTGAAAAATACTCTGTTTATGTGTAGAGTGGAGTTACTTATAGGTTCCAATAATTATACACAGGGACTTCATTTATTTGAATGCCAAAGAGACTTTTGAAAATCATATGTGTCACAAAACAAGACTTTGTTGTGGGGATATCCTGTCTACGGCAGGATCTACTATCCCTGCACCTGCCCACTAGACACCAGTAGTGTACTTCTGATTGTGACAACCAAAAACTATTTCTACAAATTCCCAAGCACCCCACGGGGGCAGTACCACCTCCTGGAAAGCCAATAGTTTATTTTATTTTATTTTATTTTATTTTATTTTATTTTATTTTATTTTATTTTATTTTATTTTTTGAGACAGAGTCTCACTCTGTTGCCCAGGCTGGAGTGCAGTGGCACGATCTTGGCTCACTGCAACCTCAGCTTCCTGGGTTCAAGTGCTTCTTGTGCCTCAGCCTCCCAAGTAACTGGGATTACAGGTGCACACCACCACACCTGGCTAATATTTGTATTTTAGTAGAGATTGGGTCTCACCATGTTGCCCAGGATGGTCTCAAACTCCTGACTGCAGGTGATCCTCCTGCCTTGGCCTCCCAAAGTGCTGGGATTACAGGTATGAGCCACTGCACCCGGCCGAGAGCCACTAGTTTAAATAAAGAGGTATTGATTCCAAAGTTTCCATGTATATTTATACTAGTAAAGCATAGGGTCCTACAAAAATTGGCTAATGGGGCTCAAAATTCTTAACAGTGACACTGAACATGTCATTCATATTAATTACTTGCCCTTGGAGGTCATGTAAGTGCTCTTGGTTTCTGTGTTCATATTTGTTAACCAACTATACAACATAACAAAGGTTACTTTGTGGTTAGTATAATAATAGGCACAAATGCTTTGGTCAACTCACTTGGTATTCAAAGTCAATGTTAGTAAAAGATTGAGTACTCAACCTTAGTCACTCCCAGTGAAAGGTGCCTCATATCGCATCTTTGCTTAATTTACTAAATAAACTGATTGTAGTTCCTTTCCTCTTTGGAATACACCAGTAGAGGGAAACATGCCTTTGAAAAAGCACCAAAAATATTCTTTGTTCTATTGGCTACAAGTTTTTAGTCCTTTGCAGTTTTTTCACTCTTAATAGAGTTTGAAGATGCTGGGCACTGTGGCTCAAGCTTGTAATCACAGCATTTTGGGAGGCCAAGGCAGGAGGATCACTTGAGCCCAGGAATACAAGACTAGCCTCGGCAACATAGTAAGGCCTTGAGTCTACAAAAAATCAGAAGAAATTAGCCGAGCCTGGTGGTGTACACCTGTAGTCCCAGCTATTTGGGAGGCTGAGGAGGGAGGATCACCTGAGCCCACAAGTTCAAGCCTTCAGTGAGCCGCGATGATGACACTGTACTCCAGCCTGGGTGACAGAGTGAGACCCGGTCTTAAAAATAAATAAATAAAAGAAAAGAAAAATACAGTTAGAAATAAAAAATAAGGTAGAAAAAATATGAGAATGTAGGTTTGCTTTGTAAGAGATAGTAGTTTTGTGGCTCATAGGAATACCCCATGGAGAAACATTTTAAGGGCTTTAGTTTGTACACAGAACAACTCTGAGACAACAACCACAAAAACAAGAGTTCACAGACAAATAACAGAAATAAGGGAATAGAAAAGGCAAGAGAATAACCATCCTTAGAAAAAAACGATAGGCCATTTTTCTAGCTTGTTTAGACCTGCCTTTTGTTTACAGTTCGACATGGACTTATGTGAAATATTTAGATTTGTTTTGAGGAAGTTGCATCTGGAGAGGTGCATGGTTCCTTTTTGACAAGTAAGCTGGGTCTTGGGGTCTTTAGAAGAACAGGGGTACGTGGCAGCAGGTGTGGAAATACCTGAGGGAAGTGCCGATCTCAAGAGATGGAGAAAGGGCAGGTGGCAGGGAGGCCAGGTCCCCAGAGGCCTGGTAGTGGCCTCCCCAGCAGCCCCGTGCTGGCATTGCGGTCCGGTCATGGTGCATCTGTCGCTCAACTTGTTCAAGGAGATAGAAATCTCACTCTCTCTTTTTTTCGTTTTTCTTTTGAGACGGAGTCTCACTCTTTTTGCTCAGGCTGGAGTGCAGTGGTGCTATCTCGACTCACTGCAACCTCTGCCTCCCGGGTTCAATCAATTCTCCTGCCTCAGCCTCCCAATTAGCTGGAACTACAGGCGCGCACTACCACATCTGGCTAATTTTTGTATTTGTAGTAGAGACGGGGTTTCACCATGTTGGCCAGGCTGATCTTGAACTCTTGACCTCAAGTGATCCACCCGCCTCGGCCTCCCAAAGTGCTGGGATTACAGGTGTGAGCCAACGTAAGAAATCTCTTACGTTCCCTCTGTTGACGTGGCAGAATAAATACAGAAGCACTCAGGGTTGTTGACATTGTTTTATTAGGGAAATAAGCAGTAGCTATGTGGTGACTGGAAACAAAACTCATAGAAAAGGTGGGAAATGGTGCCCATGCAGGTGCAGAGAAGTAGAAACACAAAGGTGGAGGCCATCTGAACACCCAGGAAACAGAACGCTTGGGATCATGACCCTCTTGGCTGGGCTCAGCAAGGCGGACTGATCTTTAGGGATGAGTCTGGGGTTGTATTTTGGTAATGGCCATTTCCTATTTGGATTTTTTTTTAATAAAAAGATTTTAAACCACTAGGTTCAAAGAGGGGGTTATAGAGTCCAAAGGAGCAAGTCCCTGGACACCCAGGTGATACCAGATGGGGAGGTCTGGGAGAGAAGCAGGCAGGGGCATGGGGGAAAGTCTCATTACCTGGAGAAAGCAGGACCCCGCACCTCAGTCCAGAAGCAGAGCCAGGCCGGCCGCCTAGCAGCAGCATTGCTTCTGGCAGCAGCCTTTCTGCTGGCAACAGCCCTTCCCACAGCCGCAGCCACATGAGCAGCAGGTGCGGCGGCAGCAGCAGATCACAGGTGTGCTGCAGCAGCCCCCACAGCAGCCGCGGCAGCAGGGGCAGCAGCTGGAGCAGCAGCCCACCCGGTAGCACCTGCAGGTGGTGCAGCTGCCACAGCCACCACCACAGCCGCCACCGCAGCCACCACAACCTCCACAACCACAGCAACCCATGGTGTCAGTAGAGAGGACTCGAGGGAAGTGAGGAGGGAGGACTCAGGATACTGAGGCCCAAAGGGTAGAAGGGTGTTTGCTCAATATCACAGTCATTTCATGGCTTGCACAAATAAGTTAAACCTTTTCCCGTGAAGTATGTCCTATCCCATTTTCTTTCCTCTTTCCACTCTCTCCTCTTCTGGAATCTTAACATTTTTCCCAGGTGTGGAGGTCTGATGCCTTCTCCTGCTGGGGGAGGCCCTTATGTACCATCCTGAGGATGGTGATGGAGTGACCCAGGGCACATGACAAATAGCTACTTCTTTGTTACTATTTATTCCAGTATGCGTAAAGGAATCTAGAGTTCTTTCTCATCTATATCCACTCTGGAAACATTTGGCTTTAAAAAAGAGTTACAGTTTAGAAGAAATTTTTCTAAAATTTTAAAGCTCCTGTTTACATATGAAGAACCAGGCTTCAAAGATTAAAAAAGAAAAAACTCAGAAGGTGTGATATACAAGAAACGGGGATATGAATGCCTTCTGACTCAGTAGGATATGGGGACAAGAAGAGAAAGAAAAATAGAGGTAGAAGAAATATGTGGATGTGTATCTTATCCTCTTCCTGGGATGGCCTGCTCAACTTCAGAGAGTGACCCACAAGGCTCCCCCTGATCCCATGTGGAATGGAAGAGACCCAGAACATTTCCTTGCACAATGGAACAGAGAGGACAGCCGAGGAAGCTGGCTGATGAGGTGCCAAGGTGTCACCATGGCAGGAGTGAAATGATCAAGGAACCAAGGGCCTCAGGGCAGCCAGGCAGGACCATGATCAGTGGAGAATGCAGCCCATCTTCCAGGCTATTGGCAGCACCAGAGAGAACCAGATGGAGACTGTGTTCTCAAGGAAGGACCACAAGGTCTTGACTGGGGCCAGAGAAGAGATTCTACTGTTCTGTGAGCCGCTTAGCTGTATTCCATTATCATATCCACAGATTGTACCCTGTTGTCTTCTGTACCATGGTTTGGCAGATTGACTGGATAGGGAAATGTGTATTACTCAAAGCAAATTATCACCACCTTTGGACACACAGTTGAAAGTACACATCCTTCTGACAGTGAGTAACATGGAAACATCATTCAGTACATATTATATAACCCATACCTGAAGTATTAACTTGCAAAGAAAAAGATAGTGCCATGGACTGATAAAATAGAATTCTAGAAATTACAGATATAACTTGTGTAATTGAAATACATTACGTGGTGTACCGACTAGATTTTCCTTTCAATTTTGAATTCTGTTAGAGTTACCATCTGTTATGGACTGAATTGTGTCCTTCCAAAACTCATATGTGAACGCCCCAACTCCCAACGTGATTGTACTTGGAGACAGGGCCCTTAAGGACATAATTAAAGTCAAGTAAGGTCATAAGGGTGGTGCCCTAGTCCTACAGGACTGGTGTTCCTATAAAAAGAGGAAAGGATTCCAGAGCTCTTTCTATCTGACAGAGAAAAGATCAGGTGAAGACACAGTAAGAAGGCAGCTGTCTACAAGACTGGAAGAGAAGTCTCACCAGAACCGAATCCTGATGGTATCTTGATCTTAGACTTCCAGTTTCCAGAACTTTAAGAAAATCTATTTCTTTTGGTGTTTAAGCCACCCAATCTGTTGTATTTTGTTACAGCAGTGCAAGCTAATATACTGTCTCCCTGGTTTCTCCCACTATGGTCCTAAAGCATAAGCCTTGATTCAGATTACAGGGAAATTTCAAGAAAAAGTGCTAGATCTTTAATCAGTTTCTGAAGATGGACAAGACTTTGTCTGTACCCTCAAGGTATTAAACAAAAAGAAAAAAGTATTACTCTACAGCAGGAGACTATAGGAACACTTGTCTGTTAAAAAGAGATCCTGGTATCTTTCTTGGTGATATGTAAGAGTGAAGTTTCTTTTTTTTGTTTTTGTTTTTGTTTTTTGTTTTTTGTTTTGAGATGGAGTCTCACTCTATTGCCCAGGCTGGCATGCAATGGTGTGATTTCAGCTCACTGCAACCTCTGCCTCCCAGATTCAAGTGATTCTCCTGCCTCAGCCTCCCAAGTAGCTGGGATTACAAGTGTGTACCACCACACCCGGCTCTTTTTTTTTTTTTTTTTTTTTTTTTTTTTTGTATTTTTAGTAGAGACGGGGTTTCACCATGTTGGCCAGGCTGGTCTCGAACTCCTGATCTCAGGTGATTCACCGGCCTCGGCCTCCCAAAGTGCTGAGATTACAGACGTGAGCCTGGCTCAAGGACAGACTTTTGAAGAAATACAATTACTTAGAGAAGGATGAGCATGCACAGTGGTCTAAGGAGAGGACAGAAGGAAAAAGCAGGAAAACAGAAAGGGTTTGGCTGCCCAGGGAGGAGAATGTTTGAAGTGGGAAGAAGTGATCAGTAGTGGCCAATGAAAATGAGACATCAAGTAACAGGCTGTGGAATGTTTTCACTGCAGGTGCAAACATGGAGGTTATTTTTGATCTCAGCAAGAGATGTTTCTATTTAGGAGACAGGATACCTGCAGGTGAGATTTAAAATGAGAGGGAGGAGAGCAGGTAGAGACAGTTAACATAGAAAACTTGCTCAGGAGGTTTGTCTTTGATGAAGGAAGAGAGGTCAGACTGTCATTGAGGAGCGTTGCCGGGTCAAGAGAGGATTTTCTAAAATGGAAGATGTCAAATAAATTTTTAAATAAGGAGAGGCAATTTAAGTAAAAGAAGTGAAATATTTATTTTTTTAAACAAAAAAAAATGTAGTGCAAATGTGCTCAGAGGGGGAAGGAGCAGGAATTCCAGGTCCCGATGAAGGGACTGGCCCTAGTGAGAAGGAATGGCTGCCTCGTGTTACAGAGTGTGACATGGTGAGCGGAGGCAGATGGAGAGTAGTTTGCATGTTGCTGGGAGCTTGAGGGAGATGGCATCTGGTGACTTCCTTTTTCTCTATAAAGTAGGTTATAGTCTCTGGGAATGAAGGCAGAGTAGGGGAATTTGAGGACTGAGAAATACAGACACAGTGTAATATGGCCAAGATGGAGAGTAAGAACTAGCCAGCTGGGCACAGTGGCTCACACCTGTAATCCCAGCACTTTGGGAGGCCGAGGAGGGTAGATCACGAGGTCAGGAGATAGAGACCATCCTGGCTAACACAGTGAAACCTCGTCTCTACTAAAAATACAAAAAATTAGCTGGGTGTGGTGGCACGCACCCATAGTCCCAGCTACTTGGGAGGCTGAGGCAGGAGAATCACTTGAACCCAGGAGGTGGAGGCTGCAGTGAGCCAAGATTGCGCCACTGTACTCCAGCCTGGGTGACAGAATGTGACTCCGTCTCAAAATAATAATAATAACTAGCCAACTAGAGAAACCTCACAGGACTGCCTGATTAAATCCCACTTGAAGCTGGTGATTGTGAGCTTATGATGGAATTATTTTGCTGTATTGTGTGACTTTCTCTAGCAAGCAGATCAAAGATTTTTCCTGGGATTGTTTTTTTTTCATACAAATGTGACTGAAACACAGGGAGGCCATGGAGCTTTGGGCATTGGTGTGATTGCTGTAGAGGAAATAAGGGAAGTGAAGAAAGGACAGGCAGGGAGGTTGAGAGGAGAACAAGGATGTCCCGATAACACTGAAGAATGGTCCCGTGGAAGTAGATGATCGAGTAAGCAAGAAGGCGAGATCCCTGTAGACAGAGCCAGGTGACGCAGTTCCTTACATTGGAGGGAGGACAGGATGTGGCCACAAGAATGGGGAGCTGAGGTAGAGTGGAAAAGGAGTCTAGAAATGAGGGGATTGAGGAACAAAAAAGACAAGATGTATCACATGTGGATACTGAAAAGCTGCAAGATAATGGCAGGACCTAGGATGGAGAATTGATGCCAAAGGGTTTGATGACTGAGGAAGACGGACCAGGAAGTCAGTAGATGTCAGCGCCGAGGAGACAGTGCTCTAGCTGATTGAGTTTCAAATAGATTGACATTTTCATTTTCTCCCAAGGAGTTGGGAATAATTGTCTGGAGGCAGCAATGAGAAGCAAGGACAATATCAGTGACCACATCTAAGTTCCCAAGATCATAGCTAGAAAGTGATGATGCTGACATTTGAGCTCAAGAACCTGAAAAAGAGGCCGGGTGCAGTGGCTGATGCCTGCAATCCCAGTACTTTGGGAGGCTGAGGCAGGTGGGTTGCTTGAGCCCAGGAGTTCGACACCAGCTTGGGAATCATAATGAAACCCTGTCTCTACTACAAAAAATACAAAAATTAGCCAGGCATGGTGGCGTGTGCCTGTAGTCCCAGCTACTTGGGAAGCTGAGGTGGGAAGATTGCTTGAGCTTGAGGAAGTCAAGGCTGCAGTGAGCTGCGAGCTGTGAATGCACCACTGCACTCCAGCCTGTGCAACAGAGTAAGATCCTGTCCCCCCCCAACCCAAAAAAAAATCCTGAAAAGGCAGCATTATTACTCTCCTTGTTAGTTGTGGGGACTGGCTTCCAATCTCCTTTCTCCTTTAAGACCATCTACCTCCATGTCTGTATTTTTTCCTCTTCATCACCTCCTCTCTCTAAGGAGACTGTTATTCTGTTTATTCTGTGAGATTTATTTCTTCTGACTTTCTCCCACCAAATTCAGAGGACAGAAGTGCTAGAGCAGGCAAAGAGACAAGAAAAGGCAGAGGAATTTCAGCATCTCCAGGTCTCTGAAAAGCATGAGAGCATGAGGAAGAAAAGACTGGAATCTCAGTTCCAAGTTCACCCTTGGAGTTGTGCAACAACACGTGGTCAGACGAGATAGAAATATAATGGAAGAAAAAAGAGGGTGGGCTTTCTGGAGCACAGAAAATGGCTGACCCCAGTAAGGCTCCTAAGTGACTCCGCAGATAGTTATTTCATCATTCATTTGCACAGGAAAGACCCAGGAAACCTCAGAAGTATCCCACAAAAAAAGAGCATTTCCCCACTTTCTGTGAAGTCAAACTAGATGGGAAGCAGCCAGTGTCAATTCAACCACTGACAGATTTTTCTCCTTATCAGCATTGCTCTTTATGGGTATAATTCAGTTTCTAACTGTCATTGCCACCTACTCCATGTAAGCAAGAGTTTGGTTGATATAAATTGGAACAGTAATAACTTTACTTTAAGGAAGACAAGAATTCATCTAATGGGTCTCCAAGAAGGGCTATTTCACCTGGGTCCACTTTGTGCAGGGCAGAGCGGGTGGCAGCCAGTGTGGTGTGATCTGGAAGGTCATCCCACTAAAGCTGTCCCCCACTGGGCGCTGGATTCCACCCAAGGCCACTCACTCTCTCCTGATAAGCATCCAACCTTCCTTCAAAGTGACATTACCCAGAGGACTGGCTGATCGTGACTAGAGAGTAAGTGTAAATGCATTTATCAAGAGACATTTATTTCTCACTGGAGACAGGACTGCCATTTAAGAATATCAGAAGGCAGGTGTTTAACACATCAGTTGTTTAGCACATTACGTTTCTTTTCAGGCTTTCTTTTCTATCTAAGACCACACACACTCCACTCCCCACCCCCACTGCCTCGCAGTCAGCAGGAGAGGAGGGGCCTTGCGGCTCAGGGACAGACAATGCAACCCCGTGATGCTCAGTGGAGGAGGGGAAGGTAGGCCTTATGGAAGGTGTGTGAACTTCAAAATCTCATTTGAAAGATCCTGTACTTCATGTCTGTTGGCATCACCACCACCACCTTCTAGAGTCTCCTCCTTCCTTTATGGAAGAAACCTGGGATGATGTTGCCTGGATTCCCTTCCCTGTATGACTGTAGGTCAGTCTGACAATGAGAAACACTTCTGTGAAATTTGGAGAGTGGAAAATTAAAATGACCAGTATTCTCCAAGGCAGCTACCTTAATTACAGTCAAACCCAGTATAGAATTCCTTCTCAGAGAGGCCTTTGGATAAATATAAATACCCCTTACCTTAATAATATTTAAATTCAAACGCCCTGAAGCCTAGAAGGATATTCTCTAACATAACCAGAGTATATAAAAATAAAATACTGGCCAGGCATGGTGACTCACGCCTATAATCCCAGCACTTTGGGAGGCAGAGGCGGGCAGATCACCTGAGGTTAGGAGTTGGAGACCAGCCTGACCAACATGGAGAAACCCCATCTCTACTAAAAATACAAAATTAGCTGGGCGTAGTGGCGCATGCCTGTAATCCCAGCTACTCGGGAGGCTGAGACAGGAGAATCACTTGAACCTGGGAGGCGGATGTTTCAGTAAGCCGAGATCGCGCCATTGCACTCTAGCCTGGGCAACAAAGCAAAACTCCATCTCAAAAAAATAAAATAAAATAAAATAAAATAAAATAAAATAAAATAAAATACCATTACATTTAAAAGGCAAAAGATGTACACAATTTGAAGAGAAACCAGAGTATACAATATCATTATATTTAAACAATTACTAGAAAGTGTCAGATGTTGCACTTTTATTATCTTATTTTTTGAGACAGGGTGTCACTCTGTCATCCAGGCTGGAGTGCAATGGCACAATCATGGCTCTCTGCAGCCTCAACTTCCCAGGCTCAGGTGATCCTCCCACCTCAGCATAGGTGTAGTGTAGGTCTAGGTATAATCTTAGCCGTGTAGCTAGGACCACAGGCGCCCGCCACAACACCCGGCTACTTTTTGTATTTTTTCGTAGAGATGAGGTCTTGCCGTGTTGCCCAAGCTGGTCTTGAACTCATGGGCTTAAAAGATCCGCCTGCCCCGACCTCCCAAATTGCTAGGATTACAGGTGTGAGCTACCGCGCCTGGCCAGATATTGCACTTTTAAACCCAGAAGTGCAAGTGGAAATTTTTCTGTAAATGTATATAATGTTCACATTATCTGGGTACTGTTAGAACCATTTAATAAAAGATACCAGTTTTTACCATTTTAACATATTTAACATTATATATATATATAATGTGTTATGTATACTTATATATCAATATGTTGGTTCCATTTCTCTGGAGAACTCTGGCTGATAGAATAACCAATCTTATGTTCTATACTTTGAAAATATTAATTCATCCAGTATATGTTCACTGAGCACCTACAAAGTACTAGGGATATAGCAGACACTAAGATAGATAAAGTCCCTTCGGTTCTAGCTCTATTTTAGAGAGAAGAAGCAAACAAAAAAATAATTAAGCACATAACAGGTGGTGACAAAGCAAGGTACGAAAATAGAGAGTGACCCAAGGAGGCCCATTTTGGAGAGTGGTCTGGGAGGTCCTCTTTAATAAGGTGCTATTTAAGCACTCTGCACGCAGTGAGGAGGCAAGGCTGCAGATGCCTGGAGCAAGAGCGTCCTAACAGGTGGAACAGGAAGACCCGAGGCCCGAAGACCGAGTGCATTTGACTGGCCCGGGTATTGTCATTGCACATAGAACTGCAGGTAATAATATTTTGGTCCTACGGAAAGTACCCTGGACTGCAGTCCGGAGACAGGTCCTGTCACTACATAGCAGTCATTTTTCTCTTCCAGTTTTTAATTCCTTATGGAAAAGACGAAGAATCAGGACCAGGCAGGTGTTTCCTGTCCAAAATACCCAGAAGGCATTACTCCCACAGCGGTCCTGCCTTCCGCATCCTCCTCCCAGTGGTTTCCAATGTACAAACACAGGCTCTAAGGAATATTTTAATAAAGGAGTCTGTGTAACTTTAACTCAGTGTTTCCAGCTTTATTTGGTCTCAAACCCTATTTCTACTACTAACAAAACAGGAGTCACTGAAAACACGTTTAGAAAAGTGAGCTCAAATAGCAAATTTATCTCTAACATTCTCTGAATAATGGAAAATAAAATTGTACACCTCAATAGCCTCAGCTCTCCAGCTAATAAATATATATGAGTTTAAAATAAAAAGGCTGGGCGTGGTGGCTCACGCCTGTAACCCCAGCATTTTGGGAGGCCGAGGCGGGCGGATCACCTGAGGTCAGGAGTTCGAGACCAGCCTGGCCAACATGGTGAAACCCCATCTCTACCAAAAATATGAAATTAACCAGGAGTGGTGGTGCATGCCTGTAATCCCAGCTACTTGGTAGGCTGAGGCAAGAGAATCACTTGAACCCAGGAGGCAGAGGTTGCAGTGAGACGAGATTGTGCCATTACGCTCCAGCCTGGGCAAAAAGAGCGAAACTCCGTCTCAAAAAAATAAGTAAATAAAATAAAAAGACAGGAGAGAGAGCAAACTTTTAACTTCTTTTTAGCAGCAGAACCTTTTCTACCTACAAATGCCTACATGAAACATCTGGAAACAAAATATAAAACCTCGGTCTGGATTCAGTGTGAAGTCAACCTGCTGTCCATCGCAGTAGCTGTAATCACACTGCCCTCTAGTGTAACCCTCGGGGGAATTACAGCTAAAATGACTACAGAAATCTCTCTCAAACTTTCAGCCTGAGAGCTGGCCAGGACGGCTGTGAGCTACGCAGTGGTTCTCAAGGTGAGGTCCACAACCAGCAGCAGCAGCAGCAACACCTGGGAATTTGTTAGAAATAAAAAATTTTGGTTTCACACCTTCCCCACAAGTCCAACTGAGTCAATAACTGGGGATGAGCTTAGCCAAGCAGTCCTTAATCCCTCCAGATGAGGAACAAAATCATGGCTCAGCCCAGCACCCACAGGTAATTTTTTTTTTTTTTTAGACAGAGTCTCACTCCGTCACCCAGGCTGGAGTGCAGTGGCACGATATTGGCTCACTGCAACCTCCGCCTCCCGGGTTCGAGTGATTCTCCTGCCTCAGCCTCCTGAGTAGCTGGGACTACAGGCATGTACCCCCATGCCCAGCTAATTTTTATATTTTTTAGTAGAGACGGGGTTTCACTATGTTGGCCAGGCTGGTCTCGAAGTCCTGACCTTGGAATCCGCCTGCCTCGGTCTCCCAAAGTGCTGGGATTACAGGCGTGAGCCACTGCGCCCGGCCAGGGGTAGTAATTTTTTGTACCATGTTGTGTTCAATTAAGAACAAAAAAGCATACTCAGGGCAGCCTATTGAAAACCAAAAAGTTCATAAACAGAAGAGTTTCTATGCTTAGCATTTGTTCAGCAGTTTTCACTTGATGCTGTGCTTTCAGATTCAATAGGAGTTACATCCACCCCAACAATAAATACCACTAGACCCAATTTCATTGTACTACTGCCAGGAATAACAAAAGGTTCTAGAATAGACCTAGTCATCTTTTCTTTAAAAATTTCTGCGTGTGGGGGTAATGCTAGTTGTGAAAAACAGGTTTTGTATTGAGAAGTAGAGGTGAAAATTCTGTAAAACTAGCCTGTGTTTAACATATATACAGTTTGGTATTTCCAGCTCAAGTGTTTGTTCTGGCCAGACGTGCAGCAATTACGCTCTGTTCGTGACCGGGGAGACTGGAGAAAAGTACATGCGTGAATCAGTGCAATTTCCCCACAACTGCAAAAAAAAAAAAAAAAGTAACTTTCTTCCTTCCAGTCATCCTTCTTCCTTCTCCAAACGCTGCCTGAGCACTTAGGGTAGATGAAGCCTGTGTTAACAGAAAGCATGGATCCTGCCCAAGGTTCCCTTGGAGCATCAGCCTCCCACGCAAGAGACATCTTCATTTCTACCATGTTACACTTGTTCCCAAATATGATAACTTGATAAAGAAGAGAGACCTGTAAAAAAGACAGCAATGGTTACAAACATTTGAATCTCAGAGGGGAAAATCAATATAAAATAAATTACAAAATGAGTAATGACTAAACTATTTTAAAATGTATACTTTTTTTATGAAAATTGCAATTTTCTTAAAAAGGCAGGTCACCTAAAAGGGTTAAGCACCCCTTTATCATGTCTGCATTTCATATAGTATCTAGTTTTTAAAAATAACACTGTAGGCCAGGCGCGGTAGCTCACGCCTGTAATCCCAGCACTCTGGGAGGCCGAGGTGGGAGGTCAGGAGTTTGAGACCAGCCTGGTCAACATAGTGAAACCCCGCCTCTACTAAAAATACAAAAATTAGCCAGGCGTGGTGGCATGCACCTGTAATTCCAGCTACTTGGGAGGCTGAGACAGGAGAATCGCTTGAACCTGGGAGGCAGAGGTTGCAGTGAGGCGAGATCGCATCATTGCACTCCAGCCTGGGCGACAGAGCAAGACTCTGTCTCAAAACAAACAAACAAACAAATAAATAAATAAATAAATAAATAAATAAATAACACTGTAGTCCTTTATGTGAACATCTAAGTTTTCAAACAACCACCACACGGGGTGTAACTAACATTTATTACCTAGCTAAAGATAACAAAAACAAACTGGAAAATTTCACTCCATATGTAAATATAGATTCATCTGTCCTATTTGTATTTAACAAAAGTGAAAGTATTGATACATGGAAAATCAGAATACAGTAGATTTAAATGAAATATTTTAATTAAAGATTTAATCCCACATTTTGTGCAAATGATTAAAAATTCAAATTAGGTGTAGCACAATCTGTGTCAGCTTCCTAGGGTGGTTTTAATGACATACCATAAATACTGGTTGGATTAAAACAACGTGAGTTTATTGTCTCACAGTTTTGGAGGCTAGAAGTCTGAATTCAAGATGTCAACAGGGCCATGTACCCTCTGAAACCTATCGGGGAGAGCCCCTCCTTGCATCTTTCAGCTTCCGGTGTTTACCAGCAATTCTCGGTATTCCATGGCGTGTAGATCCATCATTCCAATCTCTGCCTTGGTCTTCACATGGCTGTCTTCTCACTGTCAGGTCTGTCTCTGTGTCTCTTTTCCCTTTCTTATAAGGACACCAAGTCATTGGATTAAGAACACACCCTACTCCACCATGACTTTATCATAACCTAACTAATTACATCTACAACAACCCTATTTTCAAATAAATTAACATTCTGAGATGCTGGGGATTAGGACTTCAACGTGTCTTTCTGGGGGACACAAGCAACCCATAATAGTCTTCCCCTTTGCCCCAAAATTCATCTTTCCCACATGCAAAATATATCCACCCCTTCCAAATATTCCCAAAAGTCTTAACCATTCCAGTATCAACTCTAAGTCCAAAATTTCATCTAAAGGTCATGAACTCAAAGTCCCAAATGTTGTCATCTACATCACTGATGGCTGAGACTCAGAGTATGAATCACCCTGGGGCAAACTCTTCTTCATCCATGAACCCGTGAAGTCAGACAATGAGTCATCTGCTTACACAATACAATATCTAGGCATAGGACAGACATTTTCATTCCAAAAGGGAGAAATTGGAAAGAAAAAAGGGGTCATGGGTCCCAAGCAAGTCTGAAACCTAGGAAGGCAAGTTCCATTAGATTTCAAGGCCTGATACCTTCTGAGACTGAAGAAAACTTACAATTAAAAAAAAAAAAAGACTTCAAGGCCTGAGCATAATCCTCTATGGCCTGATGATCTTTTACACCCATATGGTGGTTGTTTAAAAACTTAGATGTTCTCATAAAAGACTACAATGTTTTTGTTTGTTTGTTTTTGTGATGGAGTTTCACTCTTGTCACCCAGGCTGGAGTGCAATGGCGTGATCTCAGCTCACTGCAACCTCTGCATCCCGGGTTCAAGCGATTCTCCTGTCTCAGCAACCTGAGTAGCTGGGATTACAGGTGCCCGCCACCACGTCTGGCTAATTTCTGTATTTTTAGTACAAATGGGGTTTCACCATGTTGGCTAGACTGGTCTCGAACTGGTCAGGAGTTCGAGACTGGCCTCTGCATCCAGCACTCCAGGCTTTAAGTCATTCTTGTTAATTTTATGGTCTCTTTCAGTCCAGAATGGCAATGTTTCTCCTGGTATAAAATTCTCAAAAACGTTGTCAGCCTCCCAAGAAATTCATGGTGATCTAAGCCATCAGACAAGAGGGCCCTGCACAGATCTTTCCTGAACAACTACATCTCTATTCTTGGCTTCTGATGAGATAAATGATTGGATCCATGAGCCACACACCTCATTTATTTAGCAAACACTTGTTGAGCCATACTTTTGACATTTCTATAGTATACTATTTGGACAGGTGGAGAATTTTCCAAATCAGGTACTGCTTCCTTTTTGCTTAGCAGTTCCTTCTTTAATTTATCTCTTTCTTCTCACATTTTATTACAAGCAACAAGGAGACAACAGGCTTCCCCTTTGCACACTTTGCTTGGGATTCTCCTCAGCTAAATATCCAAGTGCATCATCACTTACAAGTTCTGCTTTCCTTCCAACACCACGACATAATACAGCCAAGTTCTCTGCTGCTTTATAACACAGATCAATCACCTTTCCTTCAGTGTCCAATAAATGCTACCCCTTTCCATCTGAGACCTCACCAGAAACACCTTGTAATGTGCATAATTCTAGAAACATTCTGTACATGGTGGTACACGTATTCTCTAAGACAATAGAAGCTTTCTTTGTAGCTCTCCTCTCTTCCTTTTGAGCCTTCATCAGAATTGTCTTTCCCCCAGCCCACCCCCACTCCGCCAGGCAGAGTCTTGCTCTGTCGCCCAGGCTGGAGTACAGTGGCATGATCTCGGCTCACTGCAACCTCTGCCTCCTAGGTTCAGGCAATTCTCCTGCCTCAGCCTTCTGAGTGGCTGGGATTACAGGCACGCACCACCACGCCCAACTAATTTTTGTATTTTTAGTAGAGATGGGATTTCACCATGTTGGCCAGGCTGGTCTCGAACTCCTGACCTCATGATCCACCTGCCTCAGCCTCCCAACGTGCTGGGATTACAGGCATAAGCCACTGCACCCGGCCCAGAATTGCCTTTAATGTCTGTATTTCTACCAACAATTTCAGACATGTGAATCTAGGCTTTTTCTATGAAGTGCTTCAAAACACTTCTAGCCTCTACCCATCACAGAATTCCAAAGGCACTTCCACACTTTTACATATTTGGTATAGCCCCGCCCTACTTTTCAGTACCAAAATTGCTATCAGCAATTCATTGAGCCTTGTGATTTCCTGGGTGATAGAGAAACAGGCCATTGAAACGAGTCCCTAGTCCTAGCTCATGGCATCCAAATAGCAAGATCAGTGACATAGACTATTCAATGTGAACTAGGAGGAAATCTGCCTCATCACCATTAAAAATGATGAGACTACATGGTCAGTGGGTGTTAAGCAACATTGCCAGGAAAAACGGGCAGGCCAAGGTTCAGATGGGAAATGTTGGCATGCAATGTTGATTTAAGTAATCTGGATAAAAAATACTTTTCATGCTGAGACACGAGTCATGAGGCGCTAGAATATAGGGATAACTTCCTTTCAACTCTTTAAAAAGTACATATGGTAAATATTTGCTGATTTAGACTATGTAGAGAAGAATCAAAATGAATCAGTAAAACATCCAAATAGGGAAGTATGGGTGTGGAAAGCATGTATTTTGAGCAGAATTTAACGAAGCCGACCAAGGGTTCCCTATGGAAGGAACTATGGAATGAAGGACTGAACATTTGATTAAAGAGCAGTTAAGAATGATTTATTGCTAGTCTTACATAAGTTAGTATTTATAAAGTGCTTTCAAACAATGTAATTCCTTAAAGAAACAGTTTTCCTTGCAACCTTAATTAAGTCATAAATTTACTTTTTCAATCTCTCTCTATTCTTACAGGATAGCCTTGAAATTGATTTTGTAACCTTTTACATTGGTTTTTGTACAGATGATCAACAATCTATATTAGCTGGGTCTGACATTATGAGCTTTTATTTTATCACCAATTCATTGGTCCTTGTGATCTTCTGGGTGACTGGGACTAGATGAGATTTTCAAGGAAAAGCAAGGGAAAGACAGCTGTATTTATTATACTAGGTGCTGCTTGGATTCCTCCCCTATTGATCTTATTTACTCCTTACAAACAAAATAGTGGATAATTTTTATCTTCTCTTAATCAGTGGGACTCAGGTTAAGGAATCTGAGTAAGGTCAGCTAGCTGTGATTAAGTACAACAGAAAAAAATATCTGATGGCCACATCACAGTAATACCTGGGATGTTTATGAAATACCAAGCTGCTCAGAGCAGCCCACCAGCTCTGCAATAGCCAGAGCCCCCAAGTTCCAGGATTCCCTGTCTATAGCAACACTAGGATAGACCAGTGGCCCAGACCAGAAGTCCACTGCTTTCTCTGCACCCATCTTCCTTGCAAAGGTTAGAAATTTACATTCTAACATAATTAGGAGAAAATCAGAGCATTTCTTCGGTGACGTTTTAACTGATTTTAACCAATGACCATGTTAACCAATGACCTTTGAAGCAGAGGTTAAACAGTAAATAAAAATTAACACCTGCTTGATATATTAAAAAGTATGCCACTGGCATAACATGGGATTGTAAGTTCACTGTTTGTCTTTTTTGTTACATAGTTATAACTCTGCCTTTAATTGTAAAAATAGAAGAATGCCTTGAAGTTAGAAAAATAGCCCTAAGGAAAGAATGTTTGAATCTTTCAGGCTGTTTCTTGCTCCCTTCCATCTCAGACAGACCACATAATCAAGGGATATTGTATTCTTTATGTTTTCAAAGTTTTTCCTAGGTAGTCATTCGTTTTCTGTAGTCCATAAGGAAAAGCATTCAGTTCAGAGGGGCCATGTAAGCAGAATGCTGACAAATAAAATAATATACCATTCACCGTCTTTTTATAATAAATGAAGATACTAGCAGGGGGCAAACTTGGTGCCCATCCTAATCAGAGTTGTGGAAATCTCGCACTGAAGAGGATTTGTTGTAGCTATTTCTCCATGTGAGCACTCATATTCTTTGAGTCTTTTCACTGTGCTGGTGATGGACTTCCTAATTTAGTTGAACCAACCCATCCAACCATCTTGAGTTAAACATTCTGCTGCTAGCATTAGGGGAGGAATCAGGAGTTATTTCCAATGTAAAAACCTGAAGCCATGGTCTCTCCTGGTCCTCAAAAATGGTGAGTGATGTTTTGTCCATGACTGATTCAGAAAGAGGATTTGAGATTTGATTTCCTGGCTAATTTTGGGGGTTTTATTTGAGACAAGGTCTCACACTATTACTCAGGCTGGAGTGCAGTGGCACGATCATACCTCCCTGCAGCCTCCATCACCTGGGCTCAAGTGATCCTCCTGCCTTGGCCTCCCAAAACTCTGGGATGATAGATGTGAGCCACTGTGCCTGGCCCTAGAAATCATTTCTACTCTCTATTTTATTAGAAGTAACCCAGGAATTAATGTTCTGCAAAATACACTTGTAAAACTGCAATGGATCTGGTGACAAGAAATTATGCATTTTTCTAAAGTATGCAATTATTTAATATCTCACTTTCCAGAGGATTATTTCTAGTGAATACAGGTCTCCCCTGGCTATTCCCCTTAATCGCCAGCAGGACTAATCAGTGTAAATAACAATCTCAATTGCTAAACTCACTTAAAACTTAACGGTTTCAGGCTCCAGCACCTGCCTGTGACTTATACGAGCTGGATGATGACCAGCGTCTCCACGCTCTGAAAGATGGTCCTTCTCTCTTCCACGGCCACAGAAGCTAGATGTGGATTCCTACGTAGAGGTGGCATAATGTGGAATGTAACCCACGTTATGCACCTGCTACCAGGAAAGCATTAGGCCAGGAAATTTCTTCACGACTACACCTGTGTGATGTGCATTACAATCTCCCTAGTCAGCTAAGGGAAACTGAGGCCCCAAGACACAGAGAAACTCGGACAGGATCACATGACTTGAAAGAGTGGATTAGAGATTTTAATTTACTCAACTACAATGCCCATGTTCTTCCCACCAGAAAATCCTCTTTTCCTTATTCCAGAGCTGTTTTAGGAGTAAGTAACCAGCATATTCTTGAGAATCAGATGGTCGCTTGTAGTTCTCATTCCAGAGAACAACTTTAAATAAGTTAAACGCTTGGAAAACATATTATTATTTGAATTTTTATGGTCAGAAAAGTCTGGTTTGATGACTGTACTTTCAACAAGCGCTTCTAGGATACTTTTTTTTTTTTTTTTTTTTTTGAGACGGGGTGTCACTCTGCTGCCCAGGCTGGAGTACAGTGGCGAGATCATGGCTCACTGCAACCTCTGCCTCCCAGGCTCAAGCAATTCTTGTGCCGCAGCCTCCAGAGTAGCTGGCACTACAAGCATGTGCCACCATGCCTGGCTAATTTTTGTATTTTTAGTAGAGACAGAGTTTTGCCATGTTGGCCAGGCAGGTCCCGAACTCCTGGCCTCAAGTGATCCACCCGCCTCTACCTCCCAAAGTGCTGGGATTATAAGTATGAGCCACTGCTCCCAGCTCGATACCTTTGATGGGTCAGACACTGTGCTAGACTCTAAGGTGACAAAACTGAATCCCTGCTCTCAAGGAGATCCCAGGCTAGTGGTAAGATGTGCGTGTCAGCACATCAATACCTTTCAAAGCCATCAGTATGGCAAATTGTATAGCTTATGACTGATGACTGCGTAGTGTGTGCCAGGCATTGTTTTAACATGCACTAGCAAATGGAATCCTCAAAACATATTATCATCCCCACTTTACAGATGAGGATTCTGAGGTATAAAAAGGTCCAGTAACTTACCAAAGGTCACATGTTTGTAAGCAGCAGAGAAGGATTTGGACCTGACTGTCTGACTGCAGAATCCATGGTCTTAAATGGCATGCCCAGGCTGGAGTGCAGTGGCATGATCATAGCTCACTGCAGCCTCAAACTCCTGGGCTCAAGCAATCCTCCTGCCTCAGCCTCCCAAGCTGCTAGGACTATAGGTGCCAGGCTAATTTTTACTTTTCTTTTTTTTGTAGAGAGAGGGTCTCACTATGTTGCCTAGGCTGGTCTGGAACTCCCAGGCTCAAGCAATCCTCCCACCTTGGTCTTTCAAAGTGCTAGGATTACAGGCATGAGCCGTTGCACCCAACAATTTTATCTTATTTTGCCTCTCTTTCCTAGCCACCATCTACATTCACCCACCTCACACCAAGTAGATTTTGCCTTCTAAACCAATCCACCTTTTTTCTTCACAATAAACACCAGTACATCCCATGAGGTACAAACTGGTTTAGCTAGAAGCTATGACTGGGCTGGATTCAAATACCAGAGATTGTCACAAAAAGCATATCTGGCATACAGCTTTTACCATGTTAGTGACTATACCCAAAAGCCAAAAACAGCAAGAATAAAGTTCTACCAAACTTCAAGAGTGCTTGGGTAAAAGTCTACCTGGGAACCCAAAGCATGAGGACACAGATTAGGTCATAGCAAAGGGCATTCTCAGGCTCAGTAAATCTGTGGATTTATTTTGGTAGTCTAGAAATTCAGAGGACAGGGATTTGAGAAGGTCTACCCCAACCGCCTTTGTGTCATCCTCCACCCACTGTACATTCCCCTTATAGAAAGTGAAATAATCACTTACGACAGATAGGCGCCGATAATTGGCCAGTGCCAGCAGTTCCAAGAGAAACTGTGGCCAAAATTGTCTTGAATGAGAGAGCTACTAAGTAGTTTCTTATGGTTCCTCCAGGGCAGCCCAAAAAAGTAAAGTGAAGAAAACGGAAGAGTAGAAGATAAACACACACATTTCTTCCTCTGACATTCAATCTCAAACTGGTCATTTGTTCCATATTTTCCTGATCACCGAGATGGTAACGCAATGGGCTCCTCAGTTTTGTACTGATGGATATCAAAGGGAAAGAAGGCGGTCAGGTTTTTCCAGTACTGAAACATCCTTTTTGACCTTTTGGTTCTCACTGTGAAGAGGAATAAACTATTTTGTTACATGCTAGTAAGCAACAGTATCTGAGCAGCCCTAGATTGTTCTGGAAATCCTGTCAAGTGTAAACAGATTAATTTATCCATTATGGCCTCTTTTCCTAGCCTCCATAGCTTATTGCAGATCAAATTACATTTATAAAGTTTAAAAGGCTGATAACTAAGATAATAGCTGCTGTGTTTTTTACACCTGGAAATATAAATTCTCACCTTATGAATATCTGTCATTCAATTTGTTTCCCTGAATTTCAGTTTCCCATTGCTTTCCAAAGTATTGTTAGAAATTCATGTAAACCATGAAACTAGACCCACTTTGGCAAAGGCCAAGCAGTGCGTCCTGGGGTTGATACATCTCATCTTGATAATGTTAAGTGTCAGAGGCCCAGGGTGTATTTCACGTCCTGATGTTTTTTTGTCTTTGCACTCTCCCCACTTAATCTTGCAGATGACAGATGAGATCTTCCCCGTTTGGACATACTCCTACCTGGTGCTGCTGCTGCTTGTGTTTGTCCTCACCGATTACGTCCGCTACAAGCCAGTCATCATCTTGCAAGGTATTATTAGTTTCATCATTACCTGACTGCCGCTCCTGTTTGGCCAAGGAGTGAAGACCGTGCAGGTTGTAGAGTTCTTCTACGGGATGGTCACTGCCGCCGAGGTGGCTTACTACGCCTACATATACAGCGTGGTCAGCCCCGAGCACTACCAGAGAGTGAGCGGCTACTGCAGGAGTGTCACGCTGGCCACCTACACAGCAGGGTCGGTGCTGGCCCGACTCTTGGTATCCCCGGTGAACCTGTTGTACTTTTACCTCAACGTCATATCCTTGGCCTCTGTCTCCGTGGCCTTCCTTTTCTCACCTTTTCTACCAATGCCCAAAAAGAGCATGTTTTTTTCATGCAAAACCCAAAAAAGAAACTCCTCAAAAGCCACCAGGAGAGGACGCCATCTTAGAGGAATCTCACAAGGATCACAAAGCAGTTCACTCGGAATTATTCACTGTTTCAGGGGACCTGGATGCCAGCAGTGGGGCACCCCAAAGCCAAGCAATGTGGCTTTGAGAGATTTTGTGCAGTGGTCCCGGGATTTGCAGGAGTGCTACTCCTCGAAGCATCTCTTTTACTGACCCCTGTGGTGGGCTTTTTCCACAACAGGTTTTAACCAGATGTTAAACTATGTTCAAATCCTATGGGATTACAAGGCACCATCTCAAAGTTTCACAATACATGTATTAGTCGATTTTCATGCTGCTGACAAAGACATACCCAAGACTGGGTAATTTATAAGGAAAGAGATTTAATTGACTCACAGTTCAGCATGGCTGCAGAGGCCTCACAATCATGGCAGAAGGTAAAGGAGGAGCAAAGTCACTGATTACATCGCAGCAGGCAAGAGAGAATGAGAGCCAAGCGAAAGGGGAAACCCCTTATAAAACTGTCAGATCTTATGAGAGTTATTTGCTATCATGAGAACAGTACGGGGGAAACTACCCCCATGATTCAATTATCTCCCACTGGGTCCCTCCCACAACACGTGGGAATTATGGGAGCTGCAATTCAAGAAGAGATTTGGATGGGGATACAGTCAAACCCTATCAATATATAATGGAGCAGTAGAAGCCCTTGAAACCTTTGGGTCTAGGTATATAAGACTTTATCTCATCAATGTGCAGAAAATGTGCTGCTCCATGTTGTAAGATACTCCATGGTAAAAAATTAGACCTGTTCGGAAGTAACTCCAATCAATGCATTTCAGTGCAATAGAGCCCTGAAAAAAGTAAGATAGTAAGAACTGATATTACAAGACCTACGCTACGTCAAGTATACAACACATATTTAATTGATATTTTTGCTGTTTATAATGAAGCTAGTGACTAGATTAAAAAATAAAAATAAAAAAACACTGGGCTCAATTTTTTTTTTCTTAGAGAAAGAGTCTCGCTCTGTCGCCCAGGAGGGAGTGCAGTGGCACCATCTCAGCTCACTGCCACCTCCACCTCCTGGGTTCAAGCGATTCTCCTGCCTCAGCCTCCCGAGTAGCTGGGATTACATGTGCACACTACCACGCCTGGCTAATTTTTTGTATTTTTAGTAGAGACGGGGTTTCACTGTGTTGGCCAGACTGGTCTTGAACTCCTGACCTCGTGATCCACCCACCTCAGCCTCCCAAAGTGCTGGGATTACAGGCGTGAGCCACCGTGCCTGGCCCCTGGGCTCAATTTTTTTATCTATGTTCTATCATTTGCCAAGTAGGCAAATCAATGAAAATTCTAGCAATCCATTTTCTCTTCTCTTAAAAGGCCAGAACAATATCTGCTAGTTTATTTCACAGGATAGCTTTTTTTCTTTTTTTTTTTTTTTTGAGATGGGGTCTGGCTCTGTCACCAGGCTGGAGTGCAGTGGCACGATCTCGGCTCACTGCAACCTCCAGCTCCCTGGTTCAAGCCATTCTCCTGCCTCAGCCTCCTGGGTAGCTGCACAGGATTGCTTTAAAGATCAAAAGATATCATGCATTCGGAGGTAATTGTGTACTGTAGTATCTTGGGTAAAAAATAGTTGTTTTTATTTAATTTTCTTGAACATAAAATAAATAACACAACTTTCAAATTGTATTCTTCAATAATCCTGTTGTAGTGATTTCAACACCAACTACCAAGTAGTTTGAAAAAGAAGAGTTTTGTCACAAATTTAAAAGAGGCAACTAATGTAATAAAACATTGAAAAAGGTATACATGGAAGATAAAGTTACACTCATCCCTAAAAACAGGAGCTACAAACTGGTGTCCTGCTGGCCAATTATGGTTTGACCATGAAGAGTTAGATGGTTTAAGGTTAAACTATCAAAACTCTTTTCAGGCAGGCAAGGTGGCTCATGCCTGTAATCCCAGAGCTTTGGGAGGCTGAGGTGGGGAGGCCAGGAGTTTAAGACCAGCCCAGCCAACATAGTGAGACCCTGTCTCTATAAAAAAAAAAAATTTGTTTTAATTAGCTGGGCATGGTGGTGTGTGCCTGTAGTCCTAGCAACTGGGGAAGCTGAGGCCAGGAGGGTCACTTGAGCCCAGGAGTTCTAGGCTTCGGTGAGCTATGATTGTGCCACTGCACTCCCGCCTGAGTGACAGAGTGAGACTTTGTCTCGTAAAACAAACAGGCTGGGCACGGTGGTTCACACCTGTAATCCCAGCACTTTGGGAAGCCGAGGTGGGTGGATCATGAGGTCAGGAGTTCAAGACCAGCCTGGCCAATGTGGTGAAACCCCATCTCTACTAAAAATACAAAAATTAGCCAGGCATGCTGGCATGCACCTGTAATCTCAACTACTCGGGAGGCACAAGAATCACTTGAACCTGGTAGGTGGAGGTTGCAGTGAGCTGAGATCTTGCCACTGCACTCCAGCCTGGGCAACAGAGCAAGACTCTTGGGAAAAAAAATAACAAAAAAAACTTTTTTTCTTTCTGGAATCTTTCAATAACTCTAGTCTTTAAAATGTGGTTTGAAAGGCCAGGTGTGATGGCTCATGCCTGTAATCCTAACACTTTGGGAGGCCGAGGCATGTGGACCAGCCTGGGCAACATGATGAAACCCCATCTCTACAAAAAATGTAAAAAAATTAGCCGGGTTTGGTGGCGTTCGCCTGTTGTCCCAGCCACTCAGGAGGCTGAGGCAAGAGAATCACTTGAACCCAGGAGGTCAAGCCTGCAGAAAGCTAAGATCGCACCACTGTACTCCATCCTGGATGACAGTGAGACCCTGTGTCAAAAAATAATAATAAAATGTGGTTTGCAGACTACATTACCATAAGGTGGGCACACTCACGGTAATGGTCTTCAAACCTGATATGCATAAACTGACCTAAGCCAAAGTTGACCGCAGCTAATAGTTTTACCTTTTTAAGGGATTGTAGAAAAAAAAATATGCAACAAGACTTGTAAAACAGGATATGTGGCTCATAAGCCGTAAGTATTCACTACCTGGCCCTTTAGAGATTGTGGATCTTGAATTCAATATAGTGGGTTGCTGACCAGCATTTTTAAATCGGAGTAGACTTGTCTAGTATAGAATAGGGAGCATATCAGCTTGTAAGGGTACATTTTGTTTTGCAAAAATTCTGTTCACACACATATATATGTACTAATTAATATATAAAATATATTTTTCTCAGGCTATGGTCAAAGAAGTTTGAAAGCTTCTGCTCTTGGAGCTATCTTATAAATATCAGGGTTCCCAGCCTGAGTATCATTGCTGTCCCTTGAGTTGGCTGGTGTCTCCTTCCTCCTTATCTAAAGATGAATTTCTGATATTTGTGTTGTCTGACAGGAAAAAGGCAAGAAGACTGAGCAACCAAGAGAAATCTTGGGAAGGTCTCTGGGGTACTGAGGGTTTCAGCTCCCACGCCTGGGTTCACCCTTCAAGGTCCATCCTGGGCCTTCCGCTTGGGCAAAACCTTCCTCCTGGCTCAGAAGCTACAGTAGTTTGGAGAGTTTGAGATGCTTGTCCAGGCACTCCTCATCTCTCCCAGAATATACTTTGTGAGCTTTAAAACACTCTTCCAAAGGCAGTGTGGTGCAAGGAGGGAGAGGTGGGCTGACACAGGCATTAATACTCCAGGGTACAAAGGGCAGGCCCCAGAGCTGTCTTTGAAGTTAGCCCAACAATCTGCATGTATTTTCCTGACAAAACAAAGCTTTCACATCAAATGAGACTTTGAAGCTGTTTATTTTAAAGTTAGGTTGTTCCACACCCACCTGTTTATTGAACATGGCGGGGCCCATTGTTGAGCTCACATTCTTGTCATTTCCCTCCCTGAAAATTCCTAACACTTGGTTGATTAGGTCAGGGATCGGATCGCTGTTTCATCCTCTGCACTGCTGGCCTCTTGGGCTGGGCAATTCTTTGTCGAGGGCACTGTTCTGAGCTCTGTAGGATGTTCAGCAACATTGTATGCCCGTAAGCCACTAGGTGCCAGGATGCACCCCATTGTGACAACCAAAACTGTCTTCAAATATTGCCACCTGTCTGCTAGAAGGCAAAAATACCCCTGGTTGACAACCACTAGATCAGATTTGGATTAGGGTCAGAGCTTTTGGGTGGGGGTTGAGGGAGATAATGAGTCTCGCTTTGTCGCCCAGGCTAGAGTGCAATGGCGTGATCTAGGCTCACTACAACCTCCGCCTCCCGGGTTCAAGCAATTCTCCTGCCTCAGCCCCCCTAATTTTTGTATCTTTAGTAGAGATGGGGTTTCACCATGTTGGTCAGGCTGGTCTCGAACTCTTGACCTCAGGTGATCCACCCGCCTCAGCATCCCAACAGAACTCTTTTATAATCTTTATCATACCGTATTTATTTATTTATTTATTAACTTAAATTTATTTATCTAATTTCCCCACTAGGCTGCATTGTTTTCAAAGCAAGGACCCAAAATTTACCACTATGTTGTTCCACAGAGAACCTCAAAAGTACTTGCTGGTTTAACAAATGAAGGAAAGAAGGAAGGAAGAAAAGAAGGAAGGAAGGAACAAATAAAGAAGGGAATGACCAGGCCAGGCATAGTGGCTCACACCTGTAATCCTAATATTTGAGAGGCCAAGATGGGAGGATTGCTTGAGGCCAGGAGTTCGAGACCAGCCTGGTCAATATAGCGAGATCCCATCTCTCTCTCTCTCTCTGTCTCTCTGTCTCTCTCTCTCTGTCTCTCTCTCTCTCTCTCTCTCTCTCTCTCTCTCTCTATATATATATATATATATATATATATATATATATATATATAGAGAGAGAGAGAGAGAGAGAGAGAGAGAGAGAGAGAGAGAAAAGCTTGGCATCTGCCAGGGATCTTGAGGAAAATTTTTAAATGGTGTTACAGAAAGGAAAGAGAAAAGAGAGACAAGGGCAAAGAGAGAGAGGCCATCCTTCCTAGGGCATTGGTAATAGGCTCACAGAAAGGGCGGGGGGGAAAAGAGCAGGCACCACACATTAGGAAACTTTAGGCTGCAGACCTTGTGCACCTCAAGCCAATGACCAAGCATTCAGTTTCCCATTTCTTACCCTCTGTTTGTCTTGACCAGACTTTAGTCAGGCTCCTGGCTTTCCTACAGACCCCTAAATGTTGCTTACTCCAAACCCTGAGCAAACACAAAAAAATGTGGAATGTGTCACCCTTATCAGCTCCAAACGGGAATTGGCTGACCACAGTGGGATACTTTCCTGTCAAACGCCACTGACCATTTCCCCCTGTGAATCCAGCTTCCTCTGCAGAGATTCTGCTTATGTCTGCTTGTACCCTCTTTACCCTATAAAAGTAAATCCTTTTTCTGTTTGATCTTGAGTCATGCAGATTTCTGCAATCAGAGAGTTCTTTTTATTGCAATAGCCTTTCTTCTAAATAAAGCCTCTCCTATCTAAGTCACATATATATTCTTTTTATTTGACACCAGGTTTCTAAGCCTGAGTTTTAACATCTGCAAAGGGAAGAGGAAAGAAAAAAATGGCCCTCTCCATGGGTCCTCTCCAGTCTATGATTTACGAAAGCCTAAATTCAATTGGTCTATTTCAACCCTTAAGAGAAAATGATATGTACAGTTCACAGAGGTGGATCAAGCAATTTTTCATTCAAAGTTCACAATAAGTCAGCATTTTTTTTTTACCTTAGTCTGAAAACGCTTCAGTGCTTCTGTAACTGTGGATTTTAACAAAACCGTGTGCTATTTTACTGTACATGGATTAACAAGATGTAGTTTATTTTTTATTTTATTTTATTTCATTTTATTTTATTTTATTTTATTTTAGGAGCCGTGGCAGCCTTCACAGTGGCTACATCAAAGTCATCTGGGATCTTCCGGGTGAGTTGCCCTTGGTGATCTTCTCAGGAGCAGATGGAGGTTCTCTATGTCCCATGCATTTCACAACTAATATTTGGGTGCACTATGCTGGTCTCTTGATATTCAAGTCAAGTTTTATGCTCTTTATAACCATAGCCGTGTAAGTATTTACCATTTCTTTCTTTTAACTACCTAAACCTGAAGCAACAAAACATGTTTATTTATTCTTCCAGTTCCTCTGAATAGCATTTTGCAATGTTATGCCTAAGGCTTCCTACAAGAGGCAATGAAACTATATTCCCATTTGAATCAACTTTCTCTTACGACTTGACTAAGATTCCTAATCAGGAGGATACCTGAAGTTCTTAAGCAGTAATATATTGTTAGGCTTTTATTTTGTCTGATTTAGCGACACAGTATAATAAGATGCGATTCTAATTTTGACTAAGTTTAGTTTTCACTCCCAATTGTCCTGCTTGTATAGTCAGAGCGTATCTATTTCTTTTTGAAATGACTTATCAAATATTCTGAGAGCTGTTACAGAAGTGAAGCTGTTCTATAAAACTATGTCTAAATACTATATCACACAGTAGTTTAAAAATATGAAGTATTTGATTTAGATTAATCATGAAGTAAATGAGCTAAGGAGGTGGTGGATGCTGGTTGGAGAACACTTCAAGGAATTCGATGTTGCTTCTCGTTTTCTGTGTAACAATGTATTTCATTCTATATACCAAGTTAATCCGAAATAAACATCTGAAAATATTTTCCTTGGCTGAACATTACTGGCAGCATAATCTTTGACATGCTCTGTGGCCTTAAAGTTTTCTAGTCTGTTTGGCTATAAAATGAAGGTCAGATGCGTTTCTTTCTAAGGAGTATTAGTAATGATGACATCTGAATTTTCAACAGAAATACTGGAAGCCAGAAAACAATGAAACAACATTTTAATTTTTATTTCTATTTATTTATTTATTTATTTAGAGACGGAGTCTTGCTCCATTGTCCAGGCTGGAGTGCAGTGCACGATCTCAGCTCACTGCAACCTCTGCCTCCCGGGTTCAAGCGATTCTTCTGCCTCAGACTCCCAAGTAGCTGGGACTACAGGTGCATGCCACCATGCCCGGCTAATTTTTGTATTTTTAGTAGAAATGGGGTTTCACCATATTGGCCAGGCTGGTCTCGAACTCCTGACCTCGTGATCTGCCCACCTTGGCCTCCCAAAGTGCTGGGATTACAGGCGTAAGCCACCACGCCCAGCCTGTTATTTTTATTTTTATCTTTTAAAAATAATTGCACCTTTTGGTTTAGATTCAGGAAGTACATGTGCAGGTTTGTTACATGGGTATATTGCTTGAGGCTGAGGTTTGGGATACAATTGATCCCATCACCCAGCTAGTGAGCATATTACCCAATTGGTAGTTTTTCAACTTTTGCCCTCCTCCCAAGAATATTTTTAAAGTGTGAAAAGTAAAGAACTGCTAGCCTAGAATTTTATGCTAAGCAAAGATATTCCTCAAAAATTAAGTCAAAATAAAGAATTTTTAAGACAAAAAAATTAAGCAAAATTATTGTGGCTTACACTAAAAGAAATATAAAGGGAATTCTTTAGGCAGAATGAAAATGATCACCATTAGCATTGCAATAATATAGGAAAAATAATACTGGAAAGAATAAACATATAAGTAAATCTAAGCAAATCTTGATTTTTAAGACAGATTCGCGCAGGCTGGAGTGAAGTGGTGCAATCTCAGCTCACTGCAAGCTCTGCCTCCCAGGTTCAAGCAATTCTCGAGCCTCAGCCACTCAAGTAGCTGGGATGACAGGTGTGCACCACCATACCTGGCTAATTTTTTTGTAGTTTTTGTAGAGAAGGAGTTTCACCATGTTGGCCAGGCTGGTCTCCAACTCCTGACCTCAAGTGATCCACCTGCCTCAGCCTCCCAAAGTTCTGGGATTACAGATGTGAGCCACCGCACCTGGCCTAATGTTTCTAGTTTTAAAAATATATGTAGAGTCCGGGCACGATGGTTAATACCTGTAATCTCAGCACTTTGGGAGGCCAAGGCGGGCGGATCACTTGAGGTCAGGAGTTTGAGACCAGCCTGGCCAACATGGTGAAACCCCATCTCTACTAAAATACAAAAATTAGCTGGGCGTGGTGGCAGGTGCCTGTAATCCCAGCTACTGGAGAAGCTGAGGCAGGATAATCGCTTGAGCCTGGGAGGCGGATGTTGCAGTGAGCCGAGATCCCACTATTGCACTCTAGCCTGGGCGACAGAACAAGACTCCATCTCAAAAAAATAAATAAATAAAAATATATGTACAGTTAAAATTTATGATGGTAATAGCACAAAAGGAAGGGGAAATAATAAATTTAAAGTATTGCAAAATCCTTGTATTGTCAAAGAAGTGGTGAAAATACTATTTTAGGGTAGACTCTGCTAGGTCAAAAATTCATGCTATAATATATATGGTAACTACTAAAAGAATAATACAATAAGATAGTACTAACAAGCTAATGAAGGGAGGGAAAGTGTTTTTAAACTTAATTAAGGCAACAAAAGACAAGAAACAGAACAAGGAACGTAAATCAGGCAGGACAAATAAATGGTAAATTTAAAACCCAATATAGCAGCAAAATCATTAAAATGTGCCTGAACTAATTACTCCAATTATAAGACAAAAGTCAGCTGAATGGATTTTAAAACTCAAAACCTAATTATGTTGCTTTCAAGACACACTTCTTGAAAATAAGGTCTCCAAAAGGCTGAAAGTGCAAATATGGGAAAAGATAAACTGTACAAATGCTAATACAAGGAAAGCTAGTTTAGGTATCCCAATATCAGATGAAATAAGCAATAACACCAGAGTGATTTGTCTTTGCATTATAAGTTTCATAGTCGTTTTATAATGATAAAAGTGTTCATCAACAACTAGATAAATAAAGCTATTCTTTTTTTTTTTTTTTTTTTTTTTTTTTTGATAGAGTCTTGCTCTGTCACCCAGGCTGGAGTGCAGTGGCACGATCTCGGCTCACTGCAACCTCTGTTTCCCAGGTTCAAGCGATTCTCCTGCCTTGGCCTCCCGAGTAGCTGAGATTACAGGCGTGTGCCAACACACCCAACTAATTTTTGTATTTTTAGTAGAGACGGGGTTTCGCCATGTTGGCCAAGCTGGTCTCAAACTTCTTGACCTCAAGTGATCCACCCGCCTCGGCCTCCCAAAGTGCTGGGATTACAGGTGTGAGCCACCGTGCCCAGCCAATAAAGCTATTCTAAATTTGTATGCACGAAAAATACAGCCTCAAAATGTATTAAGCAAAATGCCAAAAAAATTTTAGAGAAATAAAATAGTCCACACTCACAGTTGCAAATGTGAACACAGCTCTCTCAATAACAAGTAGACAAACAACATCAGTGAGGATTAGGAAGATTGAAACTACATGTCAAATAAAGTTGCAGTGATGGATATGTGGAAACTGTACACACTGCAGGATAAAGATTATTTTCAAGTGAACATAGAAGAGTGACCAAAAACAGGCTTGGACTGGGCCAAAAAGTAGCCCTCAATAAATATCAAAAGATTGAAATCATATGGAAAAAGTATTCTGACAACCATAATTAAGCTAAAATTGTTAGCAAAATTGTAATTTAAAAATACCCAAATGTTTTATAATTAAAGATAGAACATGGTCAAAAAATTATACTTGGAGTTAGAAAATAATTTGAACTGAATGACAAGGAAAATATGAAAAATCACAACTTATAGGATACACTTAAGCAGTGCAAGGAGAGAAACATACAGTCTCCAATGCATTTATTTTTTAAAAAAAGAAAGGACACAAATTAAGTTATTTAAACATTCATCTTCAGAAGCTAGAAGAGAACAGCAAATGAAACTCAAAGAAAAGAAGAAAATGTTAGAGATAACAAAAAATAAAATCAATGGAATAGAAAATAGTACAATAGGAAAAATTACCAAAGCCAAATCAGTCATTTGAAAAGTCTAATAAATGTGAGAGAGAGTGCTCGTGCATAGAATGGAAAAAATACAATTTATCAATATCAGAAATGAAAAAAGGGAGATAACTACATCTCTTTCTCAGTTCACTGCAACTTCTGCCCCCAGAGTTCAAGTGATTCTCCCCCCTCAGCCTTCCAAATAGCTGGGACCACAGGTGCATGCCACCATACCCAGCTGATTTTTGTATATTTTGTAGAGACAGGGTTTCACCATGTTGCCCAGACTGGTCTGGAACTCCTGAGCTCAAGCAATCTGCCTGCCTCAGCCTCCCAAAGTGCTGGGATTACAGGTGTGAGCCACCATGCCTGGCCTCTTTTGCCCACTTTTTAATTGGGTTCTTTGATTTTGGCTCATTAATTTGTGTAAATTCCTTATAGATTATGGATATCAGACTTTTGTTGGATGCATAGTTTGCAAATATTTTCTCCCATTTTGTAGGTTGCCTGTTTACTCCGTTGATAGCTTCTTTTGCTGTACAGAAGCTCTTTAGTTTAGTTAGATCCCATTTGTCAATTTTTGTTTTTGTTGCAGTTGCTTTTATTTTATTTTATTTTTATTTTATTTATTTAATTTTTTTGAGACAGAATCTCACTCTTTTGCTGGAGCTGGAGTGCAGCGGCATGATCTCGGCTCACTGCAACCTCCACCTCCCGGGTTCAAGCAATTCTCCTGCTTCAGCCTCCCATGTAGCTGGGATTACAGGCACCCGCCACTACGCCCAACTAATTTTTTGTATTTTTAGTAGAGACGGTGTTCCACCATGTTGGCCAGGCTTGTCTCGAGCTCCTGACCTCATGATTCGCCCGTCTCAGCCTCCCGAAGTGCTGGGATTACAGGAGTGAGCCACCGTGCCCGGCCTATTTATTTATTTTTTTGAGACCCAGTCTTACTTTGTTGCCCAGGCTGGTGTGCAGTGGCACCATCTCGGCTCACTACAAGCTCCACCTCCCAGGTTCAAGCAATTCTCCTGCCTCAGCCTCCCGAGTAGCTGGGACTACAGGTATGAGACACCACACCCGGCTACTTTTTGTATTTTTAGTAGCGATGGGGTTTCACTACGTTGGCCAGGCTGGTCTCGAACTCCTGACCTCAGGTGATCCCACCCCCGTCAGGTGATCCCACCCCCCAAAGTGTTGGGATTATGGGCGTGAGCCACCGCACCCAGCCTGCAATTGCTTTTAGATTTTCTGTTTTTATTTGATTTTCAGCAGTTTATGCCTATTTTCTCTTTATGGAAAAATATGATTTTTAGCTTACCTTGTTATTTTCTTACTGTAACAGGAAGTAAATCTCTATCTTCCCCCAATATTCATTCTAAATATTTTGTTTTCACTTAGCAATCTCTTGATTAGGAAAAAATAATTCTAGCCAAACCTAAATCAGTTTCGTTTCATGGTCAACGGCTATACTTGGGAAGGAGAACCTGAAAGTTAGTAAAAATGATAATGATTTTTCCGTTATTTTTACTATTCATGACTATAACTTCCATGTTGTTAAAAGATAAATGTATATTATTCTTGAATATTTCAGAACATATTGGTTCACAGCCGTATTGCGTTTCTATTGCATGTTAATCTCATTCTACTGATGGATGCAAGTTAACTTGCATTCTACTGAGGAAACAAATAGGGAAATTGGAAAAATATTAATAATTAACTGTCAGGATGTGAAATATTTAGAAAAAACAAAATCTTTTGATGAATTAAGAAATGCTCAGAATGTTTTGTTATGGACATGAAAGCGGTGAAAGGTTAAGCCACATGAATAGTGAGAATCCTGAGATTCTAAGAGGCCGTAAAATGAGACTCGTTATCTGACTGTTAGGGTTTTCTCAGAGAATATGTTCAGAGCTTTCCACCAAAGTCCTGCACAATCATCTTTTATCTAATTTGTCAATTCAGTCAGATGGTCAGTAAGTTTAGTGAAGAGAAAAATTATTTCAGACACAATTAATTTGGGTTACATTTTTAAAATTAATTACTGGGCAAGAATTGAATAAACCTAGTATTTTAGTGTCTGGAGACATACTCAGTAGAGAAACAAAGGGAACTTGACCAAATAGATGTGTGAACTTTGGCACTAAATAAAATGATCATTTACATATCTAACTCAACATACTGACAAAATATCATTTTCTACATGTGTGAATTCAATCTCTGTAAGTTCATTTACATCTAATTACTGCTCCAACTTCTAGGCAACTTATAAATTTAGCAAGTGTAGAATAAATTTATCTCATGCAAAGGGTTAGTATTGAGGTTTAGAAGAAATTCTAAGACTGTTGACCATCCATGATTTCAATCATTATATGATAGAAGTTTACATAAAATAATTTGTGATTTTTTTTTTTTTTTTTTTTTTTTTTGGAGTCTGGCTGCATCATCCAGGCTGGAGTGCAGTGGTGCGATTTCAGCTCACTGCAACCTCCACCTCCCGGGTTCAAGTGATTCTTGTGCCTCTGCCTCCTGAGTAGCTGGGATTACAGGCATGCACCACCACGCCTGGCTAATTTTGTATTTTTAGTAGAGATGGGGTTTCGCCCTGTTGGTTTCGCCATGTTGGTCAAGCTGGTCTCAAACGCCCGACCTCAAGTGATCCGCCCGCCTCTGCCTTCTTAACTGCTGGGATTACATGTGTGAGCCACTGCGCCTGGCCTAATTTGTGATTATTATATAAAAAGATATTTACTTTGCATTTTTTCATGACATAAAAACTGATAAATTTAATTAACAATTAATCAAAGCAATTATCTGGTCCTAATTTATTCCCTGATGGAGTGCAAGCTCAAGCTCCGTGGGTGCCGTCATTGTCTAGCTTGTTCCCTGTTATGCCCCTGGTGTTTCCTCTAGTTCTCACTTTAAGTAGGTACTTGGTTAGTATTTCCTTCAAAAAATAAAAAAATAAATACATGCAATATGAAAGTAAAACTTTGAGCTATTGATTTTTTTTTTTTTTTTTTTTTTTTTGTGGTGGAGTCTCTCTCTGTCGCCAGGCTGGAGTGCAGTGGCATGATCTCGGCTCACTGCAACCTCTGCCTCCCGGGTTCAAGCGATTCTCCTGCCTCAGCCTCCCGAGTAGGTGGGACTACAGGCACGTGCCACCACGCCTGGCTAATTTTTGTATTTTTAGTAGAGATGGGGTTTCACCGTGTTGGCCAGAATGATCTTGATCTCTTGACCTCGTGATCTGCCCGCCTCGGCCTCCCAAAGTGCTGGGATTACAGGCATGAGCCACCGAGCCCAGCCTGAAATTTTTTTAATTTAACAATTTCATTGTTATACAGGCACAACCTAATTTTTTTATGCTTTAGTAAATGTTCCCATTACTTTCCTTTAAGTTATAGAGTAAATTGGGAAATGCTAATCTCATACTTCCGTAATACACGATATATAAATGATTGAATAAAACTTCAAGGTAGTTCTATTTTTTAAATTACAGACAATCCCCCAGAGGCTCATCTGTACTTACTGCCAAATGCCCAATGGAAGAATATAAATACAACAATTACTTTTCTAAGAACTTGCTAGTCCTAGGCAATGTTCTCTGCGTGGTAGCTCAATGTCTCCACAGCGACCAAGTGAAGGCCACTGTGAAATAACCCAGCCGGAGCTTCAAGATAAGATTTGAAATAGTATGATTACATGTAATTTCAGGTATCTTGGAAATAATTTGGGGGTTTGGACTAAAAATCTTAGGATTCAAAGCCACTCTCAGCCCACCGTCAGAACTGTGTTTTTTTCTAATCCATCACATGTAGAGGTCTTATCCAAAACCAAATAAATCACTGTCAAGCTGCTTAGGCATCTGAACGGATTAAATCAAGATTCCAACATGAAATAATTTGCATACTAAAAGGAAATCTGCCATTTGATTTCATCTAAGTTTTAAAAGCATCAATGTAGTTCCACATTTGTTCAAGGGAAAAACTGTTAGCTGAACAAGAAAGACCTGAAATTACAAGTCCCATTTGAACCACCTGTCATATTCACTACGTGGGACCTAAGGTCATTTATGGGTTTTGCTATGTTTAGTTGGTAGTATCTTGCATGGAAATAATGCCTTTTGTTGAATCACATCGTTTTAAAATGCTTGTATTTGTTTTTTTATGTAAAGAATTTTGGAAGGGACATAAAAATAGTTAACATTTTTCATTTGGTTCATTTTGTAAATAGATTCACATTACAAATGTTTTAGCTAAATTGCATGGAAGAACTTTAACTATATATGTCAGTCTTGACTGACTAAATTTAACATCCCAGTACAATTATTTAAAATGAATTAATTACCAGATTGAATGAACTATGAAAGGAAATAATTTGTGGATTTTGCAGAGAAATATTCACTGATTAGACTCTGAAATTGCTAACTCAATAAATAATCCAGTGATTAAATCTTTAAATAAGTAAAAAATTCTTCATGCTGACCTGTTTTCACTTATTGATAAGCTTAATTTTTTTTTTTTTTTTTTTGAAACAGAGTCTCCCTCTGTCTCCCAGGCTGGAGTGCAGTGACACGATCTCAGCTCACTGCAGCCTTTGTCTCCCAGGTTCAAGCGATTCTCCTGCCTTAGCCTTCTGAGTAGCTGGGACTACAGGCATGTGCCACCACACCCAGCCAATTTTTGTATTTTTTGGTAGAGACAGGGTTTCACCATGTTGACCAAGCTGGTTTCAAACTCCTGACCTCAAGTGATCTGCCTGCCTCAGCCTCCCAAAGTGCTGGGATTACAGGCCTGAGCCACAGTGACCGGCCTGATACATCTGATTTTAAAAGTGACTTGCTAAGCCATATTTATCTCAAATAATGTTGAATGTTTTCTAGTTGCAGAGTATTTTGAAAATTTGGTTTAATTTTAGAATTGTTTAACTAGTTTTAAATTCTTAGCGTACTATATCCCATCCCACGGAATGTTAAAATACATTGCACCATCCCATTTGTCTATTTCTTCAGTCTATCTCTGCTAAAAGAGCTTTCAGAAAGAAACTGTCAATAGAAACCTGGGCTTCCTCAGCAGACCAAAGCCTTGAGAAGAACACAATTCGCTGTTTTGTATTTGAATGCGCATGTGTGTGTCCTTTTAAAACTCTTTCCATTTGTACAATGACAGATTTCAGATTGGAGTTAATCTGAGCATGGAAGACTATGCCCTGACGTTTGGAATTAATCCCTTCATTGCCTTGATGATTCAACCCATCGTGACGATGACTGTGGTTGACAACCAAGGACTGGGGCTTCCTGTTGACATTCAGGTAAGTGCATGGGCCACTGTGCTCTCATGGACAAAGAGGCATGTTTTCAAAACTATATATCTATATCTATTTATCTTTATACTTTTAAAAATCAGAGTTATTGATAAATAATATACGTGCAGTAAGTTCACACTTTGTATGTACAGTTCTATGAATTAGGGCAAATGTACAGCTGTGTGACTACCACCACAATGAAGATAAACATCAACCCAAACAGTGCTCTTGTGTTTCTCTGCCACCAATCCCCTCTCCCCACCCCTCGTCCCTGGCAACAACTGATTGGTTTTCTATCCATACAGTTTGTCATTATAGAATGCCATATCAATGGAATTATTTTTTATATAGCCTTTTATTTCTAGTTTCTTTCCTTTAGCATGATGTCTTCAATAGAATAATTTTATACTGAGAAATAGAAATATGGTGTAGTTAAGGTTCTATTTCTTAAGAAACCTTTTCATTAAACAGGTGACCTTTTCACTAAAGAGGTGAAGGAATGAAAGAACTGCATAAAATTAAAGCCATAAAGTCATTCCAGTGGAAGTGGTTCTCATTAGCTACAGCTAAAGGTTTTTCCTTGCCCTAGCTAAAGTTCAATCTTATTAAAGCTTAGTTCCCAAATTCTGTAAATCTACTCTGTCTCATGGACAAAATCGTCATTCTTACCTCTCTATAAATAGATGAGAATTCCTACAAAATATTTAGAAGCTATCTTGTTTAAAAGCAAAAAGGCAAAAAGAAATCATTTCAGAATACAAAATTAAATGAAGTAATGCCAGGACATTTTTTAAAAATCTACTTTGTAGTCGCACTTGTTCAACAGAGGAAAGGATTGCTTCCATTTAATAAATCTTAACACTAAGATTCATGTAGATTCAGTACTACACACTTGTTCAATATAATATGCTTGTTTGAGGCTATTCGACGTGTAAGCATTACTTTCTAAAATAAAATGTAAATTCCTAATTTACTATCTGGTTGGCAAATTGCTCTTCAGTTTTTCAGAAATTATTCTGTGTATCATCTGTTAGCGAGAGAACAAGCTTGAAATCAGCAAAATCTGGTTTTGAATCTTGATGTTTATAGTGACATGTTAAAATTTTTTCATTTTGGAAAACTTCAAATACATACAACATTTTGAAAAAATAGTATAATGAAACAAACTTTAACAAATATCAATTTGTGGCCAATCTTGTTTCATCTGTACTCCACTCCCAATGAAATTTCTCACCCCTGCTTCTAAATTATTTTAAAGTAAACCCTAAAGATGTAATATGTTCTTAATGTCTCAATTTTCTTATGAGTAAAATGGAGAATATAAGACTTACTGCATGAGTTCTTACACAGGTTAAGTGCTGGCCTCTAAACCACACTATTCCTGGCCTTTAGTGTTGTCAATAAACAAACATCTCTCTCTCTTTTCCTAATTGAAAAAAATAACATCTATTTACATTAATCAACATGGTTAGGAGGCACTTACCTTTTCTAAAGACTTTTACATTAATCAGCTCCAGATATTTCCCTTACTTTTCGACAAATCCATTATATCCTAAGTTGAAATGAATGAATTCCTATAACTGAATTAGGTAAAATAGGACTAGAAATAAAAACGAGCCATTAATCCTTCTATTCTCCTTTCTGCCACTATTTTGTGTAACCTAATTTAAAATTTCAGTGTCTTCTTTGTTGGCAGATCAACACCTTTTGCTCTTTCTTCAAAAGGCAGGGGGTCACACAGGCATGAAAAGCTGAAAACAAATCTAAAATTTGGCAGAAAAATTCAAGCTTTACCTTTTGTATCCCCTGATACTTCAATGTTTCCGAATCCTTTTACCTTCTTGACCAAGAGGAATAGATTTAAGTCACTCCTTTAAAATCTTTGTATTGCTACCGTATCTTCTCTGCTAGTCTCTGCTGACATCCTCAATGCTGGAACAACTTTCAATTCGGTTCTTCCATGGAAAGCTATTTTAAAGTTTAATTGCTAAAGAAGAGACCAGTTTACCCAGGTACAGAGCAGGATGAGCAAAAACATACAGCTCAAAGGCATAACAGAAGACAAACCCTATTCCTATATACAAAGAAAAAAAGGTGTTATTATGAATGGCTGGTCTTGAAAACTGTGCTTCTTAAAAATTGATTTTTGGTAGGAATCTAATTAAATATGCTTTCATTAAGTTTTTAAGAGCCAGTAATATGGAAGTGCATTGATTAGTAACTCCCAAATCTCAATCATAAATGTCCATTCATCATTGACTCTGTCTGCACTCATGATATTCCACTAATAGGATGCCAAATGCCATTTTTAAAAATTGGAATCTAAAAAGTAGAAAATACAAACTGAATCAGGATTTTTCTCTGACACAGAGATTCAGCAAAGAGTAGGATGCATCGAGACTTCCAGAAGCGATTCCTTCATTTTCCCAGCATCTCTCAAACTGCTGTCACAACATAAGCTATTTATGGAGTTTCAAAGGTCTTAATGGATTTATGAAGATCTTAAAAAGGGGCTTCAAGACACATCTTTGAAGATGACTGAAAGATTAGGGGAAGAGGCCCATGAGGAAAGCTAAAAGAAGCATTTTTATCTCAACTAGAAAAAGCTGAAGAGTAATTTAGTAATAATCACCAAGCCGGTTATGGAGAGAGTGGTAGATATAATTGTCTTTACTGAAGGCACAAGACTGTACTGTGGTTGACTAATGATATAAAATGATTTTCTGGCAGAATCTTGTTTCCAAAAATAGATGAAATTCACAAGTTTGAATATAAGAGGGATTTGGAGGGGGTGGGTAAATAACCATACAACATCTCAAATAAGGTTAATTTTTTAAAATAAGCCTTTAATTAGGTAAATGAAGTAATAACACCCCACAAGTTTTGCACCAGAACACCCACCTCTTGGTTACCTGTTACCAGACCTCTTCATCCCTCTCATCGCCCCCCACTTCCCCACTTTCACCCCCCAATTTGCAGCGATAACTTTTGGAATGAGAAACAGACTGAGTAAGTGCCCATTTCTTCTTGATCAAGGGAGTTGACAGTAAGACTCCTCCGTCATTCACTAATTTCTTTGCCTTCACCCTCCTCCTCCCTGGATGGTCTTGAGGCTTAAGACATGAAAAGCAACTCTTATCACCAAGTTTGGGGAGTACACACAAAAAAGAAAAGGGAAAGTCCAGTGGCGCCAAGTGCCCCTTTGATATCACAGAAACCGCAGCTGCTGTGCTCCTCTGCCTTCATTTTCCTCACTGGGAAATAACGCAGTGACCCTGCCCAGTGCTCACAGCCAGCAGCCGTTGCACTCAGCCACTCTGGGACCAGCTGATGGCCTCTGATTGCACCCTCCATTAGATTAACCAGCTAGGATAACTGGTACTTTAATCTACCTTTAATTAAATAAAAGTTAGAATCATGAAAATGGAATTTTAGTTGTAACCCCAAAGGGATTAGTAAGGAGAGGGGCACTCTGCGTAGAAAGATTACCTCCCGAAACGTCAAACACAGTGATGATATTATTTTAAGTGCATGAAATGGGGATTCGTCTGGATTTGGAATAGGCTCACATACATCAAAATGGATATTTTTCAGTGTGTGTGGAGTATGTGCTATTTGACATTCCAGATAGCCCAGATGAGTGTTCTCACTTCATATTCATGGACTCAAATGCAGGTTGTGTGTGGTCCATCAGGCTTAGGTTCCACTATTTCATAAACTATTTTTTGGTGTCTTAACTCAAAGGACAGCTGAAGTCAAAGGCCAGATTTTCTTTCTTTTCTTTTCTTTTCTTTTTTGAAACAGTCTTGCTTTGTCGCCTAGGCTGGAGTGCAATCTCGGCTCACTGCCACCTCCACCTCCCGAGTAGCTGGGATTACAGGCACATGCAACCACACCCGGCTAATTTTTGTATTTTTAGTAGAGGCAGGGTTTCGCCATGTTGGCCAGGCTGGTCTCGAACTCCTGACCTCAGGTGATACACCCACCTCGGCCTCCCAAAGTGCTCCAATTATAGGCATGAGCCATCGTACGTGGCCCACATTTTCATTATCAAACAAAATAAACTCCTTAAAAGGATTTTGAGTGAGTTTGGGTCCTGATCATTTAGACGTTGCCTTGTTTTCTTACTTTTCTATCCTAATGGAGATGGTCTCCATGCAATTACCTTAGGAGGAATGGGATTGAGGGGTTGAGCTTAAAGGAGAAAGGGGTGCCATGGCTGGAATACGACACCAAATCTCGTGCTGAGGCTTGGTCCCTAATGTGGCAGTGTTGAGAATTGGTGTCTTTAAGAGGTGATTAGGTCATTCAAGAGGGATCGATGCCTTTCTCCTGAAAGTAAGCTCTTGCCTGCTTGGGAATGGATTAGTTACCACTCGAGTGAATTGTTATAAGCAAGGCTGCCTCTCATGTTTGGTCTCTAAACATGCGCTTCCCCTTCCTTCTCCACCATGTTATGACAGCACAAAGCAAAGCCCTCGCCAAAAGCCAGCCAGATGCTGCCACCTGATCTTGGACCTCCCAGCTTCCAGAACTGTGAGCTAAATAAGCTTCTTTTTTAAACAAATGTTTTAGTCTCAGGTATTCTCAGTCAACAGAAAATGGACTAAGATGGGGACTTTAGGGTTGTTTGAAATTTAAACAAATTTCAGTAAATGTTTTTAAATTTTTTTATTAAGAAAAGCTTATTTATTAAAGGCAACAGACTTTTTAAAAAATATTAAAGTAAGAAAGGCTTACTTTCATTAGGCAACAACAGACTGGATATCAGAAAAATCTTTACACCACAAAACCCTTGGATTTCGTGGATATAAATTTAATTAAAAAAAAATAAACGGCTAAACTGGTAAGAAAGTAAGAAAAATCCTCAGATGCCAAAGCAAGAACAGGAAGCCAGATAGCTAAGGAAGCATTGACTCTGCGGTGTGCTCAAGGCATCTGCTGGTTCCCCCAGAACCTAGAGTTTTGGTTTTAGTGACAACCCCAAAGGGCCACATCCTCAGTGAATGGTGAATCAGAACAAAATACAAAATGACAGGGGGAAAATCCCTAATGAAGAAGACTAATCTGGGTGGAGTCTGGAGAATATACCCTCAGCATTTGCCTTTATAAACCAGCACTTACGTAATTCTGGAGTCCTATTCCTATAGGCTAAACTTTTTTTTTCAAGCTGAAAATTTAGTTTAAAGTGGTCCTGATTGGCAGTGTCTCCAGGCACCTATATGTAACAAAGGCAAATGGTTTCTGAAAGAATGTACCTCAATACAGGAATCAAAATATTGCCACAAATAAAATTCCATCGAATAGGAGATTATGATTTTTAAAAATTCAGAATCAAACAAGGATATAAAGTTTCATGAACAAGCCAACTGAAGTAATAAATAGCGAAATCAGACTAACAAAGATTTGACGTAGAAGAATTATCAGTATTAGAATATAAAATAAAATGTTTAATATGTTTACACATGGAGGAAAATAACATCATAAGAATAGAACAAGGTACATAAATAGAACATCATAAGAATAGAACAAAATAATCATGAATTTGGGGAAAAAATAGAACTACAGTCATGGGAAGCATAACTATGTTTCGGTTAATGATGGACCATGTGTATCAGCAGTCCCCACCCTTTTTGACACCAGGGACTGGTTTTGTGGAAGACAATTTTTCCACAAACCAGGGCAGGGGGATGGTTTCAGGATGGTTTCAAGTGCATTATATTTTTGTACATTTTATTTCTATTATTATTGCATTGTAATATATAATGAAGTAATTATACAACTCACCATAATGTAGAATCGGTGGGAGCCCTGAGTTTGTTTTCCTGGGAGACAGTGACAGATCATAAGGCATTAGATTCTCATAAGGAGTGCACAACCTAGATCCCTCGCATGCACAGTTCACAATAGGGTTCCCGCTCCTATGAGAATTTCATGCCATCACTAATCTGACAGGAAGCAGAGCTCAGGCAGTAATGTGAGCAATGGGGAGTGGCTGTAAATACAGATGAAGCTTCTCTTGCACACCTGCCACTCACCTCCTGGTGGTGGCTTGGTTCCTAACAGGCCATGGACCCTGGTACAGGCCCTTGGACTGGAGGTTGAGAACCCCTGGCATATAGGACAGTGGTCCCATAAGATTGTAGTGGAACTGAAAAATCCCTACCACCCAGTGACATCATAGCCATCGTGATGTTGTATCACAAAGCATTACTCATGAGTTTGTGGTGATGCCGGTGTAAACAAACCTACTGCACTGCCAGTCTTATAAAAGTCTAGCACATGCAATTACGTACAGTATATAATACTTGATAATTATAATAAATGGCCAGGTGCGGTGGCTCACGCCTGTAAACCCAACACTTTGGGAGGCCGAGGCGGGCAGATCACCGGAGGTCAGGAGTTTGAGACCAGCATGGCCAATGTGGTGAAACCCTGTCACTACTAAAAAAAAATAATACAAAACTTAGCCGGCCATGGTGGCAGGTGCCTGTAATCCCAGCTACTCAGAGGCTGAGGCAGGAGAATCACTTGAACCTGGGAGGTGGAGGTTGCAGTGAGTCGAGATCGCACCACTGCACTCCAGCCTGGGTGATGGATCAAGACCCTGAAAGAGCAACTTCCAGCCCTGAAGCTCCACTCATGTAAGTGCCCTATATGGGTGTACCATGTTTTATCTCTTATGTGTATTTTTACTGTATCTTTTCTATGTGTAAATACGTTTAGATACACAAATGCTTACCATTGTGTTACAATTGTCTACAGCATTCAGTACAGTAACATGCTGTACAAGTTTACAGCCTAGGAACAATAGGCTATGCCATTTAGCCTAAGTATGTAGTATGCTATGCCATCTAGGTTTGTATAAGTATACCATATGATGTTTGCACAATGACAAAATCACCTGGCAATGCATTTCTCAAGAAATATCCCTGTTATTAAGGATGCATTACTGTAGTCAAGAATAGAAGCTTAATAAACAAGTTAAGAGCTATGTAGAAGTTAAGAGCAATAAAGAAGAAAATATTAAACTGTAAGAACTCATTTAGAATATAGCACAGAGATGAAAGTGGAAAAAATTAACACACATGGAGGTTAGAGTGAGAAAGTTTCACGAATGTCTATTTGACGTTCCTTGGGGAGATAATAAGATAGAAGTGAGAGACAGACAAAGAAATATCCATGGAGAATTTTGCAGATGAGATGAAAGGCATGAATTAGATTTAGGAAGCCTAACAGCTCTCCAAAAGAGTAAATGAAAAGAAATTCAAGTCTAAACACACCGTAGTGAAACTGCAGAATACCAAAGAAAAAGAAATCTTATAAACAGTCAGAAAAATAAAAAGAGCATCACCTACAGAAAAATGATAATTAGATTGACAAATGACTTCTCAATGGCACACAAGGGAAGCCAGAAAGATCGTGGAATAATGCCTTTAAAGTGCTGGGGAAAATAATTGCCAGCTTAGGGTTGTATACAAAGAGAAAAACATTTCAAAAAATGAGAATAAAATAAAGACATTTTCAGACAAAGAGAAATGGAGTGAGTGAGGCACACTCGCTTTGTAAGAGTGTAACAGACCCTTCCAAAAGCAATTTCTAAAGGATGCATTCAAGAAAGAAGGAAAATTACCCCAAAAGGAAGGCATATGATGCAAGAGGGAGTGTGAAACAGAAAACACGTGAGTAAATCTCAACACTGGCCATGTCAAACAGTAGTAACGTTTTATATCTTGAAGAGTTTTGAAAAACATAAGACTAACATCCTGGACAATAATAAATTAGAAATTAGAAGAATGTTCAAAACCAAAGATTTTTGTACTGTTCTAGAGAAGGTAAAAGTTATTAATTAGACACTGCCAGGGTGGCATGCCAAGCCGGGAGGGGTAGCAGCCCACCTGGTGGGGAGCATACTTTATCACCATCATTATTTAGAATTGCTGGTACATGGCAACAATAAAATGCAGACAGGCCCTTCATCAGTTTTACTATTGCTTTTAAATTCTCTACAGGTAATTCTCCTCCTTACTGCCTGTACCTAGGGAAGACCACTTCATCACCACCACTATAGTCCTAGCTAGTTGGGAGGCTGAGACAGGAGGATCACTTGAGCCTAGGAGTTCAAGGCTGCAATGAGCTATGGTTGTCATAAGGAGTGTGCAACCTAGATCCCTCACACGCACAATTCACTATAGGGTTCACGCAGCCTGGGCAACAGAGCAAGACCCTGTCTCTAAAATGTGTGTATATGTATATGTGTTTATACCCATACACATACATAAAAATATTTTATATGAATATAGTTGGGCATTCTTACATAGATTGTTTTGCTTAACATTATATTTGTGAAATTAAGTCATTTCTTTGCTTCCCTTTAAGGCAAAAATTTATGGAAGTGTTGTCTACTTCCTGTCGCTCTAATTCCTCTCTTCACACTTTTTCTTAAACCCATTGATATCCATCTTTCATCTTCAATACTTCGCCAAAACCATTCCTGTCCAGATCACCGATGTCGATCCAGCAGTCATTCATCAGTGCTCACCTCACTTCACGCATCTCACTTCATCCTTTGGTAGCATTGTCACCATTATCACTCTCTCCTCCTTGAAACAGTTCCATACTCGCTTCCAGGGCACCATGCATTTTTAATTTTACTCTTTCTTCACTAGATGCTCCTTTCCGTCTCCTTTGCTGGCCTCTCCTCTTTTTTCAGAGGCTTTTAACCCTGGAGCTCCTAAGGTTAAGTGCTTACAAATTCTTTTCTCTATATAGTCTTTGATGGTTTCATGCAATCTCTATATTTGTATACCGATGACACCAAAAAAATGATAGCTCAGACCTTGACTTCTCCCCCTGAACTTCAGACCACTGTGTCCAGCTGCCTACTACTCAGCATTTCCATTGGGATGTCTAGTAGACACCTGCAATTCAGCATGCTCCAGATGGAATCGTCATCTTGCTCAAAACGGTGCTATCTACAGTTTTTCCCCATCTTTCAAGTTGCTTAGGCCCAAAATCTTGAAGTCCTCCTGTTCACTTGACTCCTTGACTCCTCCTGTTCTCTCTCATCTCAGATATAATGTGTCAAAAAGTATTCTTTATTTTCAAAGTAATTCTAGGAGATAGTTGCTTCTCATCACCTCCATGGCTACCACTCTGTTCTGAGTTGTCACTATCTCTTCTACATGGATTATTGCAAGACCTTCTAACTCATCTCTGCTTTAATCCTTTGCCCTCCTCAACCTAGCCTCAAAATAGCAGTCAGAGCTCTTCATACAATATACATGAGATCATGTCACTTTTCTGCTCTGAACTCTCCAATGGCTTTTCAGTTCATACACAGTAAAAAAACCACAGGCCTGAGGATAACCTGCAAACCCCACCTGATATTCCTGCCCTCTCCTTTACCTGTCTGGTCTCATTTTCTACTATTCTTCCTCTCACTCAGTTCAGCTACACTGGGCTCCTTGAGAGTCTTTAAATATTTCAGAAACCATCTTTGGACTTTAGCTTCCTTTCCCTGGAATGCTCTTTCACCCAGATATTGCTCTGTGACTCACTTCCTTTAAGTCTTTGTTCAAATGTCTCCTTTTCAATGAGGCCTGCCATGATGATCATATTTAAATTTGCATCTCTTCTTACCTTGTAATACAGTCTTTCTGAATCTTTATTTCTACATTCTGGGTCCTTATTTTTAAAAATACAAACTGAAATGTTTATTAAATATTAAATATTAAATTAATAAATATTATTAAATTATATGATACAGGATTCAAATTAACCCATGGGGGGAAAGGGTAAATGGTTGGGTCATTGATGAAACTAGATTGGCCATGAATTGATAATTGATGAAACTGGGTGCCATGAAAGACTGGGCCATCATGAGCCCCATTGAAACCACACCCATCAGCCAGTGAACTGGGCACAATCAAATTATTTAATGGAACAGATTGAAACAAACCATCTACATGACCTCAGTGAGCAAATGAAACCCAAAATACAGTTTCAACACATTCAAGTCTACCCCCAAAACAACATGGAAACCAAAAGAGTGGGACCATCTAAGAGCACTAACCTCGGTCATGCTAGTGTTTTACAGATGTGATTAAAGTCCATAATCAGTTGATTTTAAATACAGTCCTAGAGGATCTGATTCAATAATCTGGGTAGACCTGATTCAATCAGGGGAAAGGCCTTACCAGCAGTGCTGAAGTTCCTCTGAAAAGGGAGATTTGGTCTGTGTTCAGGGGCTTCAGCCTGTGCCTGTGAGTCCTAGCCCACCCATTCTGATGGCCTGTCCTGTGAATTTTGGACTGCCTTACCAGCCTCCATCACCATGGGAGCCAACTTTTTTAAATTAGTTTCTTAATTTATATCTCCTATTTGTTCTGCATCTCAGGTTGAACCCTGCCTGATGTAGATTTAAACAAGTAATGTACTTTCTTTCACTTAGTTTGTAGCACTAATTTGTTGAATAACCCATCAGGCTTGGGAGCTCAGGTAGCCAGCAGCAGTGGATATGTTCCACTATTACAGCTCAAATTCTTAGCTGTAGGGGGCTGTACCCCCTCAGGCCACAGTGATGGTCTGTGCCACAAGCAGCCTATGTTAGTGCTTGTAATACATGAAGTGGTAGGAACCATGGTCACCAGCACCCAGAATGGCCTGAGGGCCCCACCTGGAAGCAGATAAGCACCACAGGTCACCATGTTTGTCCTCAAACATCCCAATGTCACCAGGCTAATTATTCCCCTAAGGGGACCTGGAAATATTGCCATATGGATTCCAATATCCAAGAACCCCAGAAAAGTCTGAATTCCCCTTCTTTCCCTTTCTGTATGGACTGGAGTATAGCGCCGTTGACCTCCAGTGGAGACCCAGAGACCTTGGCCTCAATCTAACCACACCATTTAGCCTGAGACATTGGGTCTGCAATGTCCTTTTATCAAACAAACACATCAACCAGGCTGCATAAGCCATCTCTGAACCATCTCCATACCTGTCCTTTAGCTAGAGAGTCTCCTCTTCTGTGGCAGCCTGCATTGCATGGTTGGTTCCTGCTCAGATGCCTCAGGACCACATCCTTCTCAGGTGCCTCAGGGTCCATCTGAGCATTCTCTTCCTGAGCTCTGCAGCCCCAGGAATGAAGGATCACATCAGTGCCCAACATTCAGGGCCATGCGCCACAATCTCGTTTCCACGTGCCTTCCTGGCAGCCTCAGTCCATGTCCAGCTCACTCACATCCAGGAGTCCCACATATAACCCCTCCTGACCCATAACATGTCCAGCAGTACCATCTAGCTCTTGTGCCCCCAGGCTGACGTCTCCACCTTCAACCAGGTACTAGGGGGTTTTGCCCCCTGCTTCACCAATAAGCCATGATTCTGTCAGACTGGACCCCGCCTGCTGTGTCAGTTTTGGGGAGCAAATTCACTGTGCACTGATTACCAATTTTTCTGAGTCCAGGGAGGCTCACACCCACACACACAATGAATGACATGAAGCAGGTTGATTACTTATAGGCAGGCAGCAAGGGGCATCAGAAGCCTGAGATTCATCATGATCAAGAAGCCGGGCTCAGGAAGCCATGTGAGGCAGATGAAGTCCGTCAGTGTCATAATTTTCAGTGCAAGGTGTTTTTGTTTCCATTGCTCTCACTTTCTCTCCTCATCCCAATCACACACACACCCTGACCCAGCACCACTTGCCTCTACCTGTCTAGCAGTTTTGCAGTTGTCTTTTCCTGTCCCATCCCCAGGCCCCATCCCGTAGTGCTAATGGGGATAATAATAGATTATTCTCAAGCCTGCAGAGGATTTAGGTCAATCTGTAGCCTAAGACTGTGTCTGGGCTGGGCGTGTTGGCTCATGTTTGTAATTCCAACACTTTGGGAGGCCGAGGCAGGCAGATGACCAGAGATCAGGAGTTCGAGACCAGCCTGTCCAACATGGTGAAACCCCGTCTCTACTAAAAATAAGAAGAAGAAAAAATTAGTCAGGTGTGGTGGCAGGCACCTGTAATCCCAGCTACTCAGGAGGCTGAGACAGGAGAATCGCTTGAATTCGAGAAGCGGAGGTTGCAGTGAGCTGAGATCCCACCACTGCACTCCAGCCTGGGTGACAGAGTGAGACTCTGTCTCAAAAAAAAAAAAAGACTGTGTCTGTATCCTCCAGTCTCTCTAAGGCAGTGGTCCCCAACTTTTTGGCATCAGGGACTGGTTTTGTGGAAGACAGTTTTTCCATGGGAAGTGGGGAGATGGTTTCAGGATGATTCAAGCACATTACCCTTATTGTGCATTTTATTTCTATTATTATTACAATGTAATATATCATGAAATAATTGTACAACTCACCATAATGTAGAATCAGTGGGAGCCCTGAGCTTGTTTTCCTGCAAATAGATGGTCCCATCTGGGGGTGATGAGAGACAGTGACCGATCAACAGGCATTGGATTCTCATAAGGTATGTACAACCTAGATCCCTCACATGCGGAGTTCACAATAGGGTTTGTGCTCCTATGAGAAGCTAATGCTGTGGCTGCTGATCTGACAGGAGGCGGAGCTTGGGTGGTAATGTGATGGTAATGTGAACGATGGGGAGAGGTGTAAATACAGATGAAGCTTCGCTCACTTGCCCACCGCTCACCTCCTGCTGTGAGTCCTGGTCCGTGGCCTGGTGTTTGGGGACACCTGGTATAAGGGGTTAGCAGTTCAGAATCCACAGCCTGGGGCAGCAAGGACAGCAGGTTTATTCCAAGACGAAGGTGGCCCCACTCTGACACCTATCTTCAAAAGTGAGACTGGCTCTGATCCCCCACTCTCATGAGGTATTTGGCCTCTCTTGTATCCTACGCACGTCATGCCTGTGACCCAGAACCCAGCAAGCCCACAGCTCCAGCCCTGCATTTTATATTTTCAGTCTGTGATCCACAGAGATAGATGTCTTGTTTTTGAGTTCAGCTATGTTGTTATTTTATTTTTATATGTTATATACACATATCTATCCTGTGTATATAACACAAAAACAAACTTTCTTTTTCCTGTTTTGAGCAGAGGCCGCATCAATGTGTGAACACATGAAACCATCTTGATCCCAAATCTCCTTAGCCTGAAGTCTCTTCAGCAAACAGAACCATAGAATCTCAACAGTCAGAAAAAGTGTGGAAGCTAGAGAAAATAATCAACAAGAAAAAAGGAAGGGAAAGGAAAGAGCAACATGCTCTTCGTTAAATTGAAGCACTGAAAAAAAGACTTCCTCCTTCAAAGAAGTTTGAAAACCCCCTTCCCACCGGCTTTCTTTTATTAGGCCCTGATTTCATTTCTTGCTTTTACTAAAGGTAGTAAAGAAGACGGTGTCACTGGGAGAATTTTTCCACAATCGAATGTATTTGGTTTTAAAATGTTTCAACAAATATTAGCCAGGTACGGGGGCAGGCGCCTCTAATCCCAGCTACTCAGGAGGCTGAGGCAGGAGAATCGCTTGACCCTGGGAGGCGGAGGTTGCAGTGAGCCAAGATCACGCCATTGCACTCCAGCCTGAGCGACAAAGCAAGACTCTGTCTCAAAATAAATAAATAAATAAAAGGTTTCAAATGTCTTCCACGAAATGTTGCAGTGTATGGAAAAAAAGGAAAAGAAGAAAACCTCACACACAGGAGAAAGGGAGGAAGAAGAAAGAAGAATATGAAACATATGAATGAACGAAACCCAGCGAAACCCAGCTGAGCTTACCCCACCATTAAATTCCATATTTGTTCTTGATTGCAACACCTGAGCTTGGCATGTGGGTCTATCACTGAAGGGCTGTGTCGTCTTACATCAATAAAACAGGGGCCCCAGGCCGGGTCCTGTGGCTCATGCCTATAATCCCAGCACCTTGGGAGGCTGAGGCGGGTGGATCACTTGAGGTCAGTAGTTCGAGACCAGTCTGGCCAGCATGGCGAAACCTTGTCTGTACTAAAAATACAAAAATCAGCTGGGCGTGGTGGCTCATGCCTATAGTCCCAGCTACTCAGGAGGCTGAGGCAGGATAATCACTTGAACCCGGGAGGCAGAGGTTGCAGTGAGCCGAGATCACGCCACTACACTCCAGCCTGAGGAGCAGAGTGAGACTCTATCTCAAAAAAAAACAAAAACAAAAACAGGGACCCTGGATCTCCAGGGAGGAAGACACACTGCAGGCTTGTTCTGAGGCAACATAATGTGTCACTGAGCAAGGCTGGTCCCCAGAGGCCCGGCCACAGCTTCTTACATGATCCTTTGCTGCATTGCTGCCATAGCAAGTGTTTTTCATCTTTTTCCTTTTTTTTTTTTTTTGGTTATTGTTTAGTGTGTGTGTGTGTGTGTGTGTGTGTGTGTGTGTGTCAGGGTCTTGCTGGGTCCCCCAGACTGTAGTGCAGTGGCATGATCTCGGCTCACTGCAGCCTCAACCTCCTAGGCTCAAGTGATCCTCCTGCCCCAGCCTCCCGAGTAGCTGAGACTACAGGCACGCACCACCACACCTGGCTAATTTTTGTATTTTTTGTAGAGACGGGGGAACTCACCATGTTGCCCAGGTTGGTCTTGAACTCCTGGACTCTCCTGCCTTGGCCTCCTAAAGTGATGGGATTACAGGGATGAGCCAGGGCACAAGTGTTTCAAAGGCTTTGTTCCAAGATAAAAAAGATAAAACATCTCTCCAGTTTCTGAACAGACAAACCAGAATTCAGTGTGATCAAGTGGAAGAAAGGCAAAAAGAGAAGTTTTTATGGGCACTTAGTTTATTTTGTTAGGAAATTTGGACAATGTTATGTGATAACTAAGAACACAAAAGCAAAGAAACAAAAGAAGCATCGCATGCCGATGGGAAAAGTGGAACTAAGACGGAGCTGCATAGCCATGAGCATGTCCATCAGACCAAACACGAGGAGTTGTGATTTCATTTCCCTGAGGTCAGTGACCTGGACAGTTTCACAGCTGCTGTGCTGTTCTCATATTTTTCCATGAGATCGTTCCTATTAGTTTGGAAGCTTTTCAGACGGAAAGACATGAAACACCAAAGAAAAACAGCAACAGAGTTCAAGACCACAGAGGAGGGGGAGACCAGACAGGATGGGAAGGATGGGAGTCTTACCTACAGGGCAGATACCTGCAGCCCCTGCCCAGAGGCCGGGGGCCCGCCTAGCAGCAGCATTGCTTCTGGCAGCAGCATTTCTGTTGGCAACAGCCCTTCCCATAGCCACAGCCACACGAGCCGCAGGTGCGGCGGCAGCAGCAGATCACGGGAGTGCTGCAGCAGCCTCCACAGCAGCCGCGGCAGCAGGGGCAGCAGCTGGAGCAGCAGCCCACCCGGTAGCACCTGCAGGTGGTGCAGCTGCCACAGCCACCACCACAGCCACCACCGCAGCCACCACCGCAGCCACCACTGCAGCCACCACCACAGCCACCACCGCAGCGGCCACCACAGCCACCACAACTTCCACAACCACAGCAACCCATGGTGTCAGTAGAGGACTCAGGTGAAGTGAGCAGAGAGGACTCAGGAGAGGTGAGGAGGTCTGATGCCTCCTTCTGCTGGGGGACACCCTTATGTACCATCTTGGGGAAAGGAAGAGGGAGTGACCCAGGACACATGACCAGTGGTCACTTCCTTGTTGTTGCTACTGCAGTTTCCATGATAAGGTTATCTAGGACTATTCCTTGTTTACATCCTTATGGACTATATTTGACCCAAAACATTTGCTAATTTTCACTTGTCTCTGTTAAAACCAGATTAAAAGCAAGCCAAGAGATGCTAACATGTAGGAGAGGATCTTCATTTACTCAGAAACCACTTGAATCCTTGAGACTTCGGGTTAAGCCGGAACCCAAGGTGGCTGCCAGCTGCTTTTCCATCTCTCTGCCATGGCTTCTCTCCAGGAAATCACCCTGCTTTCATGGAAATTCCCGAGATGCAAAAGAGTAAATAAGAGCATCCAAATAAAACATGTCATTTTTGCAAAAATGCTCACTTGCCAACTATATTTCTGAAGGGATCTTTATAGTAAATGACTCTTTTTTCTGTTTTGTTTCCGCTCACAATTGTCTATGATAAGGCTTGAAGCAACACTCCCTTCCCTTCTCACTCCGTCCTGCCTCCCAGAGTGCTGACATTCACACCCATGTGTAGATTTCCATATGCGTATTCCCTGGTTAGTTTCTCCATGGGGTGCCTCCAGCTCAGACTCTCCTGCGGACTACAAAATCCATCAATAGCCACTCTCCATTCCACCTTCTCCCCTTGGAGTTTCAGGGACACCTCCAATGTCACATGCTCCAGACTCAAGTCATAATTCTCCCTGCCTGATCACCAACTAGCCACCAAAATAAAACTGTGTGTTCCCTCCACTGCTCCGTATCCATCAAGATATGAATCCATGTTAAAAATTATCTTTGAATCTTTCTTTTCTCTTAGTTCCATTTCTAGTCTTTCACCAAATTCTGTTGCTTCTGCCTCGTTAATAACTTCAAACCTATTCACGTCTCTCTAGCTCCACTGTCCCCGCGACCCCAGTTCAAGCAACTCCCTGACAAGTTGAAAATGCTCTGTTTAGTCCATATACCACAGAGACAGCTTGAGGTCATTAATAAACAACTCTAATCAGCCACAGGGACGTGGCAGCACTTTCTCTTGCTCAAATTTCTGAAGAACAATTTTACCAAGTTGGGAAAACAGGCTTTGGGCAGCGAGCCTGTTACAAAATGAGTTGGAGGATGATCTCGTCTGCAGCAGAGATGCTGACTGCTGTCTGCTGAGCACTGACTGATCGCCAGAAGCCTCTACCTCAGCATGCATGGAGAAGACCCTGCTTGCACTCATATTTTTCTTGCCTTTTTTACAGGCTTCTTGTTGGTCACAAATTCTCACACTCCACCATGATCCACAGCCACAGGCTTCTCCTTGGAGCCATAAACTCCTTTCCTCCCCATGCTGGGCCTTCATTCAGCTCAGCAAGCTTCTCTGACCTCTGGACCATGTGTCCCTCGATGTTCCCACCCTGCGCTCTCCCAATAGCCCAAGAGCCTGCTCTCTAGGGAGCCCAGGCCAGGCTATTTAGCACAGACTTTTTTCTCTCAGCCATCAATTGACATCACCTAATCAAGGACAAAAATGAATTCCTGGCCGGGCGCAGTGCCTCGTGCCTGTAATCCCAGCACTTTGGGAGGCCAAGGCAGGAGGATTGCTTGAACTCAGGAGTTCGAGACCAGCCTGGCCAACATGGTGAAACTCTGTCTCTACTAAAAATACAAAAATCAGCCAGGCATGGTGGCACATGCCTGTAATCCCAGCTACTCGGGAGGCTGAGGCAGGAGAATCGCTTAAAACCGGGAGGTGGAGTTTACAGTGAACCAGACCAAGAATTACATCACCAAAATGCAGACTCCTAAGAGGATTGATTTCTGCTTTTGAAATAATCATTAAGACCTGGTGTGCAGAAGACAAATCACAATGATGTGCTTCAAATGAGGAGGGAGGGAGCAGCCCCAGTGCCTTCACTGGTCAATAAATGGGATGATGGCATCTGACTTTGGCAGTGACCTTTGAATCTGTGGCCATTTACACCTCCCAGCTTGCGTTGTTACTTACTATTGCAAGCCCTTTGAAGTCAGGGACTGTGCCTTCAATATCACTGTACCTATCGCTGAGAAGCTCTCAGATTGTTCAGTGCAGGGACTGCCTGGTGCTGTGTGGGGTTTGTAAGCCCTGCTAACAACTCATGGACCTATGCACATGGCGCGTATTCCCAGGGCATCTTAGGAAGAAGGAGAAGGCTGTCATTACTAAGGACAGCCTCACCACACGTCAGCTCCCAGAATGCTTCCCTAGAACTTTTAGGCCTTTTTAACTTATACTGGCATATAGTTTTATGAAAAAAATAAACAAAACCAAAAATGTAGTGAAGACAAAGATGTCTGAAAGGAAAGTCAATATGAGATGGAGGGATTCTTCCATGTACATCAAGTCAAATGACAACAAGGAAGTGGTCATGTGCCTTCCCTCTCCTGTCTCCAGAGTTGGTATATAAGGGCCTCCCCCAGGAGAAGGAGGCATCAGACCTCCTCACCTCTCCTGAGTCCTCCTTCTTCACTTCATCCGCATCCTCTCTACTGACACCATGGGCTGCTGTGGTTGTGGAAGTTGTGGTGGCTGTGGTGGTGGCTGTGGTGGCTGCGGTGGTGGCTGCGGTGGTGGCTGCGGTGGTGGCTGTGGTGGTGTCTGTGGCAGCTGCACCACCTGCAGGTGCTACCGGGTGGGCTGCTGCTCCAGCTGCTGCCCCTGCTGCCGCGGCTGCTGTGGAGGCTGTTGCAGCACACCTGTGATCTGCTGCTGCCGCCGCACCTGCCGCTCATGTGGCTGTGGCTGTAGGAAGGGCTGTTGCCAGCAGAAGTGCTGCTGCCAGAAGCAATGCTGCTGTTAGGTAGGGCCCTCAGCCTCTGGCAGCTGCTGCAGGTAACTGCTGTAGGTAAGCTTTCCCCTTCTGGCTGCCACTGACTAATAGGACACAAGCATGACCTGAACCTGTCACCTGCCCGTGAGTATTTCACATTTCTATAGTTTTTTTGTGATTCTGCCTGCATTTAATCATCATCACCAACAAAAATAACAACCATGCAGCCTTCTATGTTGATTACAACTCAAGTCATGACCTCAACAAAATGGAGTGAAGATAGTTAGACCTTGAAATGCCTCTAAGGTTGCCTTCATTTCTGTGCTGTTTTTACCGCTGCCTGGGTATATTTGTATACACAAAGCAACACTTATCTTAATAAATTATACTAAATCATTCTCAAAGAGCTATCTCTTTTGTTCTTTCCAGTCTCTAAACTGTCTGTCCATGGGGAAAAATGAGTTTTATCCCAAAAGATAAATCAAAGAATAAAAAACTAGATGAATTCTTTACACTAGACACATAGATTCGTGGATGATTAATTCACTGTGGGTTTGTAAAGAAGGAAGGGACTTGGGGGGCACATACTCAGCCTGATACTTCATTATCATAAACCAAAACTTTCCCCAAATCTCTCTCTTGATAGAGTCTTAGAAACAGAAGTCTGGACTCATAAATACCTGTTCAGACTCCAAATGGTCATATGATCATTCAGGAGCCTGACCACTTTTGGGCAATGATGAAATTTGGCTCTTAGCCATGTTAGGTATCATGGAAGTCTGTGGTATCAACCACTTCAAACTACAAAATTAGCTTTCAGTTGTAATGTGAGACTATCAGCATTAGAATCAAAATAATGATACACCCTACTGAGAGTGTCCCCATGCACAATAAAAAATGTCCCCAAACACCCATTTTGCTAATTTTTCATAGAGATTCCCTGATCCTTTTCTTTGCAGACTTCAGATTCTTGATTTATTGTGGCTAGTTTAGCAGCAAAGTGAGAAGGAAACAAGGCAGAGAGCGGGGAATCCCAGCTTGGGTGAGCAGTGGGGCGGGGGCTGAGGGAAGCCAAGCTCCTTGGGTGTGTCTCCCGGAGAAGCTGGTTCTTGCACCAGCCCCACGAGGACCACTTAGGGTGTGTCCTTGTTACTCTAAGCACAGTTTGGCTCTGGACAGAAGCTTAAACAGGTTGAACTGACCAAATGAATGTTATAACCAAAGGGAACATGAGTCAAATAACCATGTCAAATAAGATTTCCAAAGAGGGGAAGATGCTGTCACAGAAAGACAGTTTTCCTTCCACCTTGAAATTCAGAAGAGAGGGTTTGGAGGCAGGTGCGAGATGAGCCCTCTGAAGTCTAAGTTGACAAGGTGGTTTTGGGCACTCATCTGGCTCTGTCTCTATTCCCTTTCCAGCTCCAACAGCCCTGAGCCTCTAATACCCTCAGGCTACCCAAAGGCCCTTACTTACTCTCAGCCTTTAGGAATTACCTCTGGGGCTCCACCCTCTCACTCATTCTTCCCTCCCAGGCTTCACCTGTAGAACTGCCCCCTCCCTTGTGATGGTTCTCAGCTGGAAGAGCGGGGTCAGGAGAGAAGTGCCAGTTCATCCATCTTACGCTAAGGCAAGTGGCATCCGCTTTTCCCCACTGAGGGAGGACCCCTCAAGTCGCTTTTCCCAGTAATGTTGACCAACCTAATGGGCAGAATTCTGGGACATGTGGTTTTTCCAGCCACCAAGACCCAACACTTCTTAGGCACTTGCTCCTCCTGTCCCACTCGCTGAAAATGTGAGTTTGTTTCCAGTCAGCGTAAATAGAAGATGTGGCTGTCTGCCAGGATTTGCTGGGTCTCAATACTCATGTTGACATAGATTTGTGAAAAAAGAACCCAGGTGGCCTGGTATGGGGTTTGTGTTGTGTGTGTATATATGTACATATATTATGAGATAGTCAGATGGTCTGTCAGGCGCGGCCACAAGAAGAGGCAAAGGCGGCTGGGCACGGTGGCTCATGCTTGTAATCGTAGCACTTTGTGAGGCCGAGGTGGTTGGATCACCTGAGGTCAGTAGTTCAAGACCAGCCTGACCAATATGGTGAAACCCCAACTCTACTAAAAATATATATACAAAAATTAGCTGGGCACAGTGGCATGTGCCTGTAGTCCCAACTACTCGGGAAGCTGAGACAGAGAATTACTTGAACCCGTGAGGTGGAGGTTGCAGTGAGCCAAGATCGTGCCACTGGGCAACAGAGTGAGACTTTATCTCAAAAATTAAATAAATAAATAAATAAAAAGAAGAGACAAAGGATAGGTTCAGGAAAACAGTGTATTCCCATCACAGGTCCTAAAGAGATGGAGTCACTGCATGCCAAGAGGGGGTCACATGGGAGGCAGCACCGGGGGAGTGGTCTCAGCCAGGCAGACAGGGAGAAAGGACCCATAGGCTTGCTCACGGGTGTCAGGGTGGAATATATGAGCAAGAGGTGCAGGGGTGTCCATCAGTGCATCTGAATGTTACTGGGTCTCAGTCAGGGGAGGACAGGGAGGTGAACCTGTGGCAGGGGCTAAACATACCACGCTGGGGCTCACCTGGGAGAGATGCGCAAAACTTACAATGCAGTGCACTGGGGGCACCTGTCTGCATCTCACCCCCGCAGAGGAGTGGCTGTAGGTACCTCCCTGTAATCCAATTGTGAGTTGGAGTCTTGCTTTAGGCTGTCTGAATAATTAGCACAAATGTAGTCAACTATCCCCTACTGTAGGGGAATTTATAGGCAGGGCTTATAGGGATTTGCAAAGCAAGTGAGAATACTAGCAGATTGAAAAATGAAAACAATTTGTTGGGCACAATCGAACTACAGAAATATCTTCTTTAAATTCTGACTATCTTTTTTTCTTTTTTCAGTATTAAGTCCATCTGAGAAACTAGAGCCTTGGGACCCAGGGATGAGGAAACTTACCGTACAGACATGCGGGCTGACCTTCATTCACCCTGCGGGCCATGGCCTCTGCCATCCAACTGCAGAGGCTTCAGCCGAAACTCTCTCCAGCACTGCCCTAAACAGACCAAGTGTGAGGGAGGGAGCATGTAATGAAAAGTCCACAGAGAACAAGAAGCCACAAGATTCGGTGCTCTGGAGCCATTCTAGATGGTTTCAGGGGAACTAGCTTCCCACCTCTGACAGGGATACCATGGCAAATACCACTCTTTGCCTAGGATTATAATTCTTTGTGCACAATGCATCCCATCCCAAAGACAGTCCACAGCAGGACTTGCTCCATCTCTGAACTGGTCTTACCCCCTTAAACCTGCCTTTATATCTAGGAGTTTCTTTATTTTATTTTATTTTTTTGAGACAGAGTCTCGCTCCATTGCCCAGGCTGGACTGCAGCGGCGTGATCTCAGCTCACTGCAACCTCCACCTCCTGGGTTCAAGTGATTCTTGTGCCTCAGCCTCCCAAGTAGCTGGGATTAAAGGCACGTGCCACCATGACTGGCCAATTTTTATATTTTTAGTAGAGATGAGGTTTCACCATGTTGGCCAGGCTGGTCTCAAACTCTTGACTTCAAGTGATCCGCCCGCCTCAGCCTCCCAAAGTGCTGGGATTACAGGTGTGAGCCACCAGGCCCAGCCTATATCTAGGAGTCTCTTGATGAGCATTGGTCGACAGAAAGAAGTCTCTTCTAAAAATTGTTAATGCTTTTATAGACTACTCATAGTCTGAGTCATAAAACATCATTTGCCTTTCAATTTATACCTTCCAAGTGAATATGATTATTGAGGATTATCTAATTATTATCTACGTTTCTCTCTAGATATAAAAAACACCATAGATCCTATACACACAAAAATGGTTTTTCTATCAGAAATGGACTCACTCGCCTGGCAAAAGGACACAGATTAGATTATTCTAATCTCAAGGCCCCTTAGGCTTATGAATTCAAAAAAAAAAATAGAAGAAATGAACAAAAACTTAAATCACAGTTTGTTATTAAGTAATATCTGAAATGAATTAGAAAGAAACCATAAGCCTTAACAATACTCCAATCACAGTTAAATTAATTTAGACAGAAAAGCAAATAGCAATTGACTTGAAAATAAGAAGTGGAGCCGAAGGTGGATACAAGAAATCCAGGAGGGCTAAGATAAATCCCAAATCCAATGTTCATCAATGCCTACACATTCAGTACAACCTGATGGCATTAATTCTGTGGTTGGGGAAATGTGAAAGTGAAATCGATAATACCACAGTTCTAAATGTGCACTGTTGGCTGAACTTATGGTGTGGTGGGGGGTGGTAAAAATTAGGCTTCTAAGAAAGGATGGGACTCTGCCCTCCAGGCAAGGAGTAAATGGCCCCAGCAGATGGAAAACTAAAGCAAATGTAATCACCTGCATTTTGAAAATAGGTGTGTTTCTGAGAATTTGTTTGAATTAGTTCTTTGTAAATAAAACAGGATTTTGAATGCATTCAGGAAGCTTGTCTTTTTTTTTTTTTTTTTTTTTTTTTTTACAGAGTCTCGCTCTGTGGCCCAGGCTGGAGTGCAGTAGCACAATCTCGGCTCACTACAACCTCTGTCTCCAGAGTTCAAGCGATTCTCCTGCCTCAGCCTCCTGAGTAGCTGGGATTACAGGTGTGCGCCACCACGCCCGGCTAATTTTTTTGTATTTTTAGTAGAGATGGGGTTTTGCCATGTTGGCCAGGCTGGTCTTGAACTCCCAACCTCAGGTGATCTGCCCGCCTCGACCTCCCAAAGTGCTAGGATTACAGATGTGAGCCACTGCGCCTGGCCCAGCTTGTCTATTTTTAAAGGAACCTCACATCTCAAAATTGAATACGAACTGTAGAGAGAAGCTGGACATTCAAGTATTCTGTTTGGTAACTAGAGGGCACAAACAACAGAGGCAGGAAGCTACTCTCAGGGTCTTTAACTTGCTCCACGATCACTGCGCATCCACCAAAGGCTTTCTAAGAGAGATTAAGATTTTCTAGAATGTGAGATATGTTCAAACCAAAAAAAAAATGCAAAGATAAACTTTTAATAATATATTTTTATTTTATTAGGAAATTTAGAAAGTAGCTATTGACAAATAGGAATACAAGATAGAAAAGGAGCAGAGAAAAGCACACTAATGGAAATGAAATGATCATATACATCAAAAAGTCTGTTGGGAATCATGATCCTCTTTGATTGAGCTCAGTGATGTGGACTCTTCCTGAAGAGGTAGGTTGTCCTTGTGTCTTTGTTTTGGCTGCTTGATATTAGAGAGGAAACTTTTCACGTAGGCAGACTGGAAACACCCAAAGCAGAAAATACACGAACCCAGAATACAGGAGCAAAGTTACAGTCCAAGAGCATAAGTGCTAGGATACCCAGAGGATGGGTAAGGCAGGTGAATGGGGTGAAGGAAAGTCCCCAGCATATCCTGCCACAGGACGGAGGCCAGGCCAGCCCACCTAACAGCAGCATTGCTTCTGGCAGCAGCACTTCTGCTGGCAACAGCTCTTCCCACAGCCGCAGCCACATGAGCGGCAGGTGCGGCGGCAGCAGCAGATCACAGGTGTGCTGCAGCAGCCCCCACAGCAGCCGCGGCAGCAGGGGCAGCAGCTGGAGCAGCAGCCCACCCGGTACTACCTGCAGGTGGTGTAGCTGCCACAGCCACCACCACAGCCACCACAGCCACCACCGCAGCCACCACCGCAGCCACCACCACAGCCACCACCACAGCCACCACTGCAGCGGCCACCGCAGCCACCACAACCACAGCAACCCATGGCGTCAGTAGAGAAATCTCAGGTGAAGTGAGAAGAGAGGACTCAGGAGAGGTGAGGGAGATACGATGCCTCTTTCTGCTGGGGGTGGAGCTTATATACTAACTCTGGGGGAGAATATTGACCTAAGACTCAATGCCACTTCTCTGTTGTTGCCACTTCCCTTTGGCAAATATCCAAAGCAGAATCTCACATGGCCTTTTGTACACTTCCTTAATGGGTCCTTCTGACTTCAAAAATTTGCTAAATTTAGCTTTCACTTGTTTTTTTAAAGCCATCTATAATATAGAATAGTAAACATCTAACAACTCCCTTTTTTTTTTTTTTTTTTTTTTTTGGTGATTGGAAAAGTCAGAGTGGGGTTACAATTTCCCTTAGCTATTGTACATATCTCCATTGTATCAGCCCAGGACAAAGATTTTTTCATTCCTACGTTATTTGTAACTATTTATTAATTTGCAAAACATCCCTTTAGATGGAGGAGAGCACTTTGAATATGGAAAAGGAAAGAGTGGTCTCAGGTTATGTTATTTTGTCTTCCCCAGGCAGAGCTCCTCGGCCATTTGCTAGCCCTGTAACATGAGTCAGGACTCTCTGATTCAGAGAAGAGGGGATCCTGCATTATCAAGGGTTATGACAGGGCATCCTTCGTGTTGTGCAGATGATAAAAGCATATCCTGAGCAGAACGTTTCCAAGTCACTTTCCAAACTCAAAGAGGCTTCTGTTATCATCAGCCTGTTAAGAAAGGAGGATAATGCTGAAGGCATGTTTCTGGCAGTCCCCTGGAGCCTGGTTGATCCTGGACCAGTCCCCCATGGAATGCTGACTTGAAATGATTAGTTCCAATTGGCCATCCCTATGCAGACTACTCTTTCCTGTCAAAGGAAAAATGAAAATGAAAAATAGAATAGTGAAGGCCATCAATGAAATCTACAGGTTCTAGCCCTGCGTATCTGTTCTCAGAATATAGTGCTCTTATCACTCACCCCAGGCCATGCCAAGGAGCACAAGACAAGGAGAACCCAAGAGTCCTCTCAGGTCCCCGCAGGCCCCAGAGTTGGAGGAACTCTGATTCCCCTGCATGATGGTAAATTTTATGTGTCAACCTGACTGGGTTAAGAGATGTCCAGATAGCTGGTAAACATTATTTCTGGATATGTCTGTTAGGGTATTTCTAAAAGATATTAGCATTTGAATCAGTGGACTGAGTAAAGAAGATCACCTTCACCGTGGGCATTGCTATGGTCTGAACGTGCTCCCCAAAAGTCACGTGTTGGAAATAATTCCAATGCAATAGTGTTGGAAGGTGGGGCCTAATGGGAGGTGTTTAGATCGTGAGGACTCTGCCCTCATGAAGGAACTAATACCACTATAAACAGAGGCCTGTGAGGCCGTGTGTGGTGGCTCATGCCTGTAATCCTAACACTTTGGGAGGCCAAGGTGGGTGGATCACTTTAGGTCAGGAGTTCGAGACCAGCCTGGCCAACATGGTGAAACCCCCATCTCTACTAACAGTACAAAAATTAGCCAGGCATGGTGGTGGGTGCCTGTAATAGCTACTCAGGAGGCTGAGTCAGGAGAATCACTTGAACCTGGGAGTTGGAGGTTGCAGTGAGCCCAGATCACACTCCAGCCTGGGTGACAGAGCCAGACTCCATCTCAAAAAGAAAAAAAAAGGGGGGCCTGTGAGAGTGAGTTCACCCTCTTCTGCTCTTCTGCCAAGAGAGGACACATAGTTTATCTCTCTCTTGCCCTTTTGCCTTCTATCATGCGAAGCTGCAGAAAGGCCTCACCAGATGCCAGTGCTTTAATCTTGGACTTCCCAGCCAAACTGTAAGAGAATAAATTTCTGTTCTTTATAAATTACCCAGTCTCAGGTATTCTGTTATAGCAACAAAAAAAATGGACTAAGGCATCATCCAGTCCATTAAGGGCCCAAATAGAACAAAAGATAGAGTGAGGGGAATTCTCTCTCCCTCCTCTTAAGCTAGAACATCCATCTCCTGCTCTCAGACATCAGCACCCTGGTTCTTGAGTTTCAATTGGACTCTGATTGGGACTTACAGCATTGGCTGCCCTTGTTCTCAGCCCTTCTGATTTGGACTGAATTGCACCACTGGCTTTCCTGGCAGAGAGCAGATCATGGGACTTCTTGGCATCCATAATCACATGAGCCAATTCCCATAATAAATCTCATTTATCTATTCATGTTTCCTACTGGTTCCGTTTCTCAGGAGAACTCTGAATAATAATACCCTGGAATAATATGATCTGGATCTTTTCTTTTTTTTTAAGTTGGAGTCTTGCTCTGTCACTGGGGCTGGAGTGCAGTGGTGTGATCTTGGCTCACTGCAATCTCTGCCTCTCATGTTCAAGCAATTCTCATGCCTCAGCCTCCCAGGTAGCTGGGAATACAGGCACGTGCCACCACACCTGGCTAATTTTTTGTACTTTAGTAGAGATGGGGTTTCAGCGTGTTGCCCAGGCTGGTCTTGAACTCCTGAGCTTAGACAATCCGCCCACCTCAGCCTCCCAGAGTGCTAGGATTACAGGCATGAGCCACCGCACTCAGCCATATGAGCTAGATCTTTAACACTGGCCTTTCTTCAGATTAATTTTTAGTTACTGTACAAGAAGTCTTAAAGATTACTTTTTCGAGAGTGCAACTGCGTACTACTTTTCAATCCAGAAAGATAATGAAGTGGTTCAATACTGTGGTTCTGTTGTACAGCCCTCTAAGTCCTGCCTATACTTAGTTGGCTTCAGGTACCACGTTTCAAGGATGAGCCCCTGTGTAAAATAGTTAGTTTTTGGTTCATATTTTTCCCTCAAATTTTGGAATGTAATAATTTCCTGCCAATGTTTGGTAATTTTTTCCAATATTCCAGATTAAAGACAGAACAGTTAAATTGCTTCAATAACCATATTGTAAAATACACATTAAACAAGCATTTCTTCCATGCCTTCACCTGGTATACATTTCTTTCCAACGTTCTAATCTCCAGGATTTGTCTGTTTTTACTTAAAGAGGCCCATGAACCTCTACTTTGATGCACCGTAATACTTTCCCATCATATAAACTTGCAGGGAGCAGTGTAGTCAATTTAACAAACAGTTGTTGGATTGTCCTCCTCTTAGGAGAAAGTGGCTCCGCAGGGCACACTGTGAGGACTTAACAAGATGAATCCACAAGCTCCCGGTCTGATAAGAAATGCATGAAAAGAGATTCCAATAAAAGCACCTGCAACAAGAACCCTACCGAATGACTTTCTTAGATGTGTGGGGAAAAATAAATCAAGTCTGAGTGTCTGTGGGAGAAGGGGAATGGGAGGAACTCTGACAGGGACTGTCTATCACAGGAAAGGGCTTCAGTAAAGATTGGAGACAGGGGGCTGGGCACGGTGTCTCACGCCCATAATCCCAGCACTTTGGGAGGCCAAGGCAGGCAGATCACCTGAGGTCAGGGTTTGAGACCAGCATGGCCAACATGGCAAAATCCTGTCTCTACTAAAAATACAAAAAATAGCCAAGCGTGGTGGCAGGCACCTGTAATCCCAGTTACTTGGGAGGCTGAGGCAGGAGAATCAGTTGAACCCAGGAGGCAGAGGTTGCAGAGAGCCAAGATTGTGCCATTGCACTCCAGCCTAGGCGAAACTCCATCTCAAAAAAAAAAAAAGATTGGAGACAGGGAAATATGAGGAGTAGTCGGGAATCACCTACTTGCAACTGCTCACTGTTTTCCTACCAATGCTCAATACAATTAGGTCAAAATGTAAATTTCTACATGCAGTGAACGTGCTAGAAAGTGTATTTATTACAAGTCAAGTAGCGAGAATTGTTTCATTAGGTTTCCCCACCCCCACAGCCAACTTTCAAACTAGGTATTCAGATAATTAATGAGGTATGAACAAGTATCACAGTAATGTGGAAATTGCCATTCAGAGGCTCTGCTCTTGACTGAATTAATATCGAATGGATTAACAACAATTTAAAGTTTCTTGTTTTCTGTAAACAAAATTGAATTATTTGTTTGTACCTTGAACATTGTAACTGTGTACTTTTTCTATATTTTGTAAGTAGTGGGAGAGCACGCTTATTTAAGAAAAAAAAGTAATCTGCTTCCCTTTCCTTCTTATAGGAAAGGAAAGAAGGGTTCTGTACACTGCTACACTGCCCTAGAGGAAAAATAAACATCAATGGATGTGGCAAAAGGATGTCCATTAGGGACACTTCACAGAGCCAAAGAGATGATGGATTGGATGGGTTAAGTTGAGAAAAGGTAGACAGAGGTTGAAGAAATCTGGACTCAGGGCACTCCAACATTCTGGTGAATCCTGGACCACCACACATATATACATATATAATATATATGTTATATGTTGTATAAATATGCGTGTATATACATATATATACACACATATATATGTATATGTGTGTGTGTATATATATGTGTGTGTCTGTGTGTGTGTCTGTGTGTGTGTGTGTGTGTATATATATATATATGGACAGATTTTTGCTCTTGTTGCCCAGGCTGGAGCGCAATGGCACAATCTTGGCTCACTGCAACCTCCGCCTCCCAGGTTCAAGCGATTCTCCTGCCTCAGCCCCATGCACATATTTTTAATTTTAGATGTAGGGGGTACATGTGTAGGTTTGTTGCATGGATATATTGCCCACCACCGTATTTAATACTAACAATAATGCCTTCCATTATAAGAGGAATCCCAAAGACTAATTACCCAAAGACTAGACTAGACTCCTACACAGATCACAGATACCATCTAATAGGTTCTTTGCTTTTCTTGAACTTTTAAACCAAAATTAGAAAAAAAATTATATTGGGCAATAACTAGAACTCATTCAAAGTGTATTTGCATTCAGATTCACCTACATACAGGCAGGCAGCTCTGCTCGGCTTCTTGGGGATACACAGTGGTCCCAAGCCCCAATCAGCCAACCTGTAAAATCCAGGTCATTGGAAACCACAGGGGATTCAAATATGTGACCTATTAGTCAGTAGCATAAGTTCCTACATAAAGCATGGCTCAAGTGCATAAGCATGCCAGTTAAATATAACCAGGTGTTGCTGTCCTAAATAGAGGATGCTATTCAGTGCATCTATCCATTAACTTCCTGCTTGTAATCCTATTGTGAAAGATAAACATTTGAGCAAAATCAAACCTAATCAACAAGCATTTGCTGAAACCTTGTAATGTGCAAGGCAATACAGGTGATATAAAGATATATATGTCTAAATTACTTCAAATTAATAAGAGAGATGATAGCGGGCATGGTGGCTCATGCATGTAATCCCAGCACTTTGGGAGGCCAAGGGGGGTGGATCACCTGAGGTCAGGAGTTCAAGACCAGTCTGGCCAATGTGATGAAACCCCGTCTCTACTAAAAATACAAGTGGGTGCCTATAAACCCAGCTACTCGTGAGGCTAAGGCAGGAGGATCACTTGAACTGGGGAGGCAGAGGTTGCAGTGAACCGAGATTGCATTATTGTACTCCAGCCTGGGCGGCAAGAGTAAAACTCCATTGCACTCCAGCCTGGGCAACAAGAGTGAAACTCAGTCTCAAATAAATACATAAAAAAGAGAGATGAGAAGAAATAATTGGGAAAAGTAAGGAAGAAAAAAGATTTAACTAATAGCCCAATAAGAGTTGTCTCAAAGTAGTTGCTGGTGAATATCAAAACTTACAAGAGAAGAGACAAATTACTTCCAATTAGATAGAAGAAAGGGAGGTTTTATGAAGAAGGCAGAGCCTTCTTGAATGGAAAACTGGACTTGAATAGGTGGAGAGGAAGGAGAAGCAGAGGGTAGAGGGTATGGTGCAGTGCAGTCTGGGATTATCCTATGTAAACTGATCCTCTGCTTCTAGAAAGATGTGACCTGATCTTTTTATACCTGAATTCCCTGATGGAAAAATAGTATGTATATCATAGGGTTACTATGAAATGGAAATGTGATAACACATATAAAACACATAGAATAGGGCTTGGGACATAGTAATCACTCAATAAATGTTAGTTATTATTAGAATTTTAACGTAGGCTACACGTTGTTAAGGGAAAATAGAAGACTTATTCAGGAAACAGGAAGGAAAGCAATTTACCTACAGTAGAAAGTTTATCCAATGAAGTTAATAGATATTTAAGCTGGAAATAAAATTTGAGAGTAGTTATGAACTTTAGACTGTGAAGACTTTGATGTTTCTTTTGCAAGTGAATTATATAGCACAATAAAAAATGAATATATAGCATTTCAGGAAGATATATCTGACAGCAGCTTGTAGGATCAAATTAAAAAAGAAAACCTAGAGATGGGTCAGTTAGATGGCTTTAGAGAACTTCATTCCCATTAAAAATTCTCAAATGCCAACAGTCTTCTTGAAATTCTTGTTCATCGTACTATATTACAGTAATGGATACAATAAAGATAATTCCCCAAAGCGATTACAGTCAACAACAGAAACACAAGCTGAACATGTGCCCTGTTATTCTTTGCCGACAGAACAATCACACCGTGCTGCACGCTTCTTTGCCAGGTGTTGTGCTGGGCGCTGGGCATGGGTGGGAGTGAGAGGGATGATCTACGAAGGTGACTGAGACAGCCTCAAAGCGGCACGTGTGTGCATGAACTCGGGAAGATAAAGATGGGAAACGAGGAAACGGAAAAAGGAAATGGTTCTCATAGGCTGAGGGCAGACTGAGCAGATGTTCCTAGTCCAACGTCAAACAGGTTTTTTTTTGTTTGTTTTTTTGTTTTTTTGAGACGGAGTCTCGCTCTGTCACCCAGGCTGGAGTGCAGTGGCGCGATCTCGGCTCACTGCCAGCTCCGCCTCCCGGGTTCACGCCATTCTCCTGCCTCAGCCTCCCGAGTAGCTGGGACTACAGGCGCCCGCTACTACCCCTGGCTAATTTTTTGTATTTTTAGTAGAGAGGGAGTTTCACCGTGTGAGCCAGGATGGTCTCGATCTCCTGACCTTGTGATCCACCCACCTCGGCCTCCCAAAGTGCTGGGATTACAGGCGTGAGCCACCGCGCCCGGCGAAAAAGTTTTGCTAAAGATATGTGAGGGGCCCATTGGTCACTGGGAGAGCAGTCGCAGGCCCTGTCTATGGAGGGAAATGAGATCTGAGCTGAACCCTGAGGAAGGAGAGGAGAACCAACTCCCTGAAAGAGCTCTGGCGCCCCACGTGGTCCTGCCAAGATCAGGGTCTACCAGGACATTGGAGCACAGAGAACATGTTCCCCCAGTCGCTAAGAAAGTCAAATCTATATTACGAGTACTTCCACAATGCTTAAACCTTTCTGGTTCTCTGTAGAAATCTTTTTGAGCTCTTCTAATGTTGCGGGCACAATTCTAGGTATTTTACATGTATCATTTGATTTAATTCTTGAAATAACTTTGCAAAGCATATACTGTTAAATTGGAGAGTTGGAAAACAGGCCCAGGCAGGCTGACCTCAGAGCCAGCCCTCTTAACCACTGTGCAACATTGCACTCATCTTCACCGTTCAATGTCAAGACCAGGGGTCAACAAACTGATGCCCACTTTTGGCCTGCCACCTGCTTTTGTACACAATATTTTCTTGGAACACAGCCACTTACACATTTAATTGTTGTCAGTGGCTGTTTTAAAGGTAGAATGGCTGAGTTGACAAGTTACAACAAATCATGTGGCCTGCAAGGCTGAAAATATTTACATCTGATACTTCACAGAAAAAATTGCCAAAGCGTAGTCTAGATCATGAAGAACATTTAGTCAAAAAAAGATTTTTGAGTGCAAGCAAACTGCCTTGGGCCTGGTACACTGTGGTGAGCTCCAATCTAATACGAGTTTGGCGAGTTTGTTCTTTCTCCCACCTTGAATGAGCATGACACTTCTCTAAGCTTTTGTAGCCAACCTCCCTCCTAAGTGGAATCTGTTTCATTGCCATAACCAGGGTTAGAATGACTTTCCTATTTATTTAGAGACAGGGTCTCACTCTGTTGCTCAAGCTGACTGCTGGTGATCATGGCTCACTATAGCCTCGACTTCCTGGGCTCAAGTAATTCTCCTGCCTCAGCCTCCCAAGTAGCTAGGACTACAGGTGTGCACCACTATGCTTGGCTAATTTTTGATTATTTGTAAAGATAGGGTCTCACTATATTGCCCAGGCTGGTCTCAAACTCCTGGACTCAGGTGATTCTCCCACCTCAGCCTCCCAAAGTGCTGGGATTACAGGCATGAGCCACCACACCCAGCCCCAACTTTCTTATTTATTTACAAGTCTTTACGACTACTGATGCCTAGTAGTGGTCTCGGAGGCCATGCCGAGAACACCAGCAAGGACATGAGCTACATGGAACTGCCCCACCCCCCACAGTGCTCAACCTCCTTGTCCTGGCAAACACTTTCCAGTCTTTTCAGAAACCACTGAGCACAGCAAGGTAGAGGCTACATCCATTCCCCCCTCCTTTGGGGCTCATTTTTCATTTCCTACATAATTTGTTTTAGATAGTGTCTCACTCTGTCACCCAGGCTGGAGTGCAGTGATGTTGTCACAGTTCATTGCAGCCTCAGCCTCCTGAGATCAAGCGATCCTCCTGCCTCAGCCTCCGAAGTAGCTGATACTATAGGAGCACTTCACCATACCCAGCTAACATTTTGGGTTTTTTTTCAGAGATGAGGTCTCCTATATTGCCCAGGCTGGTCTCGAACAACGGGTCTCAAGGGATCCACCCATCTTGGGCTCCCAAAGTGCTGGGACTACAGACATGAGCCACTACACCCAGCCTCCTAGATAAATTTCAAGGAGAAACAGAGACCTATCACCACCATCAATTCACACCACCCTCATCCCACCCTAGAAAATCCTTGGGAGAGTCCGAGTACACAGACCCCACAGGTAAGACATCATGTCAGAGCAGCAGCACAGGGAGCTCTGTGCCTCTCTGATCAACAGCTACAAGTTCAGCGGCTGGGCCCATGGCCAGCTTCAGGAGGTTGCAGGAGTGTGAGGGCCAGAACTGGACTCACAGCACAGGGATGGATAAGCCGACGAAGGAACCGATTAAAAAAAAAATGACTAATGAAGAGATTTTTGTGACATACCAAGTCATTTTACTGGGAAATTTTAAAGAGCAAATATAGACAAAAGCAATGGAAAAGATTGCACACAGACAGTGAACAGAAAAATGGTGAAATCCAGGACTGACTATTTAGGAAAGATTGAACATTACAAAATAATAAAGTACTAAGTTTCCTGGTTGGCTCTGACTTTATCTGGTTATCACCGGCTGCTCGGTTGCCCGTTTGTTTCACATTGTGTGGTCTGGGCAAGTTGGTGCCGTGTGTGGGCAAAGGAAGATCCCAGAAGGACAAAGCACAAGGCACATGAGGCAGAAGCCAAGGGGATCTGCTGGTGACAGATAGGTTAGAAAAAGGATTAGACAGAATGGGGTTAAGCAGAGCCTTGCCAGCAGGAGACAGTGAGGGTTCCCACAGCTCCTGGGCAGGGGTGGAACCAGGCCGGCCACCTAGCAGCAGCATTGCTTCTGGCAGCAGCATTTCTGCTGGCAACAGCCCTTCCCACAGCCACAGCCACATGAGTGGCAGGTGCGGCGGCAGCAACAGATCACGGGAGTGCTGCAGCAGCCTCCACAGCAGCCACGGCAGCAGGGGCAGCAGCTGGAGCAGCAGCCCACCCGGTAGCACCTGCAGGTGGTGCAGCTGCCACAGCTACCACCACAGCCACCACCGCAGCCACCACCGCAGCCACCACCACAGCCACCACCACAGCCACCACCGCAGCCACCACCACAGCCACCACCACAGCCACCACCGCAGCCACCACAGCGGCCACCGCAGCCACCACAACCTCCACAACCACAGCAACCCATGGTGTCAGTAGAGAGGACTCAGGTGAAGTGAGGAGGACTCAGGAGAGGTGAGGAGGTCTGATGCCTCCTTCTGCTGGGGGAGGCCCTTATGTACCAACTCTGGGGAGAGGAGAGGGAAGACACATGACCACTTCCTTGTTATTGTTTATTTCAGTTTCCACAGGGAAACCTCCTGTTTATGTCCCTATTAGGCACCTTTCATCTCATTAAGTCATTTATCTTCAGTTCAGCTAAATTAACCTCTGTTCCATCCAGTGGGAATATTCAGCCAAGGACCTATCCCTATTTTCAAATACAGCCAGTCTTGAATAGATGAGCCAGAGAGATATATCTGTCATTGATGGTTTCCTTGCTTACTAATATTTTCCCAGGAGAATCATATATTTCCCTTGACATCTCTCCAAAAAAAATTCCTAGGGTTTACTTGAGTAGAAGGAGAACACAGAAGCTAACATAAAGGAAGTTCCCAATCTTTGCTATTTTCTATCACTGGTCTGGAAGTCACAATTCAAAGAGGCCACCTGCATCTAGGTTAGTGGCTATGTCTGATTATTCTACCTGGGAGAGCCCTCAGCACACACAGTGAGCTCATTTAGGGAATTATCAAGATCAGCCTCATTAGAGAAGCCCACAGCCCTCAGATCCGGCTTCAGTACCTTCTGGTCCTCGGGTTTCTTCCTCCTAATGAATTCTTCTCGCATGAGTCACACTTTGTAGGTCCCACCTTAATGACAGAGCTGGCAGCAAGGCAACCCCAAAGTAAGGGTCCAGAGGCCCCAGGAAGCTCCACTGTCCCCAGAGATGCCCTCATCTGGCCTTGCAATGCTCCTCAGAACTCAGGACGAAGGGGACTAATCAATGTCAGGCTTCCCAAAACACATTTGGTAGAAGATTCGTTCCACAGGACATTAAAAGGCAACACACAAAAAAGGTTTGACTATTTTTGAGAAATAATGAATTTAAATAAAGCCAGACAGGCTTTTTGACTCTGTCCTCAGTGGCTTGCCTTTGTCACGTGCTCTGTGACTCTCTAAGTGGGAGGGGGAGTACCGCACTCCGCACCCCTCACCCCGCCCCGAACTTCCTTTCAGTCTGGAAAGCAAGGCTTTCATTTACTTCTCAGGTGTGGAGTCCCAGGACGTCCTACGTTCAGATTTTAACGGTGGATTTGGAAAAGCACATTCACACATTGACCAAAGAGAAGAGAAAGGTTGGAGCAGTGGTTCTCAAACTTATTACTCTCGGGATCCCTATGCTCCTAAAAAGTATTGAGAACTCCAAATTGTCCTTGTTATATGGCTTAAATCTATAGATACTTATTGCATTCTAAATTAACACTGAGACTTTTAAAAAGTTTATTAATTCATTTTTAAATAATATAAGCCCATTACATGATCACATACATAATACATTTTGGAAAAAAAACTCCATTTTCCAAAATAAAAAAGAATTAATGAGTACAGTGGCCATTATTTTATATTTTTGCCAATCTCTTTAATGTCTGTCTTGATCAAAGACAGCTGGATTCTCATTCTCCTTCTTTGATGAATCTATTATCCTACAGTGTTTTGGCTGGAGTAAAAATCCAGCCTGACACAGATATGCAGTTGGAAAAAGGAGGAGTATCTTAATAAGCTCAGGGCCTCCAGAGGTCCTTAGATCACACTTTGAAGACTGCCAGAGCAGAGACTTGGAAAGATTTTGGTCCTTGAGGAAACAAACTACTTTAAAATAGTCCCTATTATTAACTATGACCTCATGAAGTATAAATCCTTATACATGGTCAGTATATGGTATAATGATGTTAACACAATTTTATGAAATTTTTGTGCTTCTGTATTTTAAAAGCTATCTTGTGCTGCTCTATATTCTAATGTTCAACATTTCTTTCCTACTCAACAATTCAGACTCACTAGTATGGCATTAAAATGCCCTCAACAATCCAGCTTCAGGCCAGGTGCGGTGGCTCATGCCTGTAATCCTAACACTTTGGGAGGCCGAGGCAGGTGGATCACTTAAAGACAGGAGTTTGAGACCAGCCTGGCCAACATGGTGAAACCCCGTCTCTACCAAAAATACAAAAATTAGCCCTGCGTGGTGGTGCAGTCCTGTAGTCCCAGCTAGTCGAGAGGCTAAGGCAGGAGAATCGCTTGAGCCTGGGAGGCAGAGGTTGCAGTGAGCCAAGATCACGCCATTGTGCTCCAGCCTGGGTGACAGAGCGAGACTCCATCTCAAATAATAATAATAATAATAATAAATAATCTAGCTTCAATTTATCTTTGCAGCTTAATCTCCTGTCTGAGGCTCTAGAGTAGCCCAAGGCTACATGAGAAGGGCAAGTTTGTAATTAACATCATGACTACTAGTAGAAGTTAATATCTACAGTGCAGGTACCACGTGTTCAACACTGTACCACACTCTTAGAAATAAGACAGAGACAAGAACAATGAAGGGGGCAAGATTCACCAAAGGACAGGAACGAAACCAACAAAGCAAAGGACACTTGGGAGTAAGGGAGCAAATGCAGGGCAGGCACCAGGTTGCTCCTCTGACACAGACCCTTTGCTTTCACACAAGAAACATGCCAGCCGCATCACCATAACTTGAACTTGCCTCCTCCCCCACCTCCCTTGTGGCTGTGCCTTAATTTAAAGGGCCCTCTTCCAGCAGGGACGTCCCAAGCATTCCTCAAAGACACAGTTCAAATGTCATCAATCCCCAATCACCCCAATTGAAACTTAGCTGTCTCTTTTTCTCCCCCTTCTGTTTTGGTCATATCTCCACGAAATTATAACAAAAGAAGGGAGAGCAACAGTGGGAAAATGAGGAGGCAACGGTGTGGAGGCAGGAGAATAAAGAGGGGGCTGGGATCTGTCATCACCACCACAGATGGCAGCAGAGGGAGCTGCCTGCCCTCCTCCAGGTTCTCCCCTTCTCCCATCAGCTGGCCTGCCCTCTTCCTACAATGACTACTTCCTATCTTCTCCCCTTTCTTCAGATGTTGGATGCCTTCTCCGACCCCTTCACTCCAAGAAGGCACTTCCTACCATACTGTGCAAAAAAGTGCTGGAATCCAGTCAGTCCTCCTCTTCTTCGGTTAACCATGGAGGAGGAGGTGGGTGTGGATCCCACTCCCACCATCCAAGACTGGCCCCTGCACCTGTGCACTTGAAACCACCTCCATCTGGCTTTCTAAATCTCCTTTCTCAGGCATCTCTTCCTCTCATTCCCTCACTCCACGGGTATTTGCTGAGCATCTGTGAAGTGCCACCCATCCTAGACACTACAAACACAGCAATCAACACTCCCCCAACCTTCCAGATTCTTCCATCCACATCAAAACCTTGTAAGTGGCATTTCTCCTCCCTTCAAGCAAAAAAAGCACACTGTTGAGTCCAGTGCCCCTCCAGCTACTGCCTTTGTCTCTCCTCCCCTTGACAGCCACACTTGCAGAGAGCATTGTCCAAAAAAAGCCAAGAAAACAACAACAAAAAAAAACCTCCCTCTAGATGATAGGCAGGGGAACAGTGACACTAAAAAATAGGTGTTGGGTGAGGAAGCAGGAATGTGGGATGAGGAGTCAGCAAAGTACGCATAGGATTATATACAGCGGCCAGGTGCAGTGGCTCACGCCTGTAATCCCAACACTTTGGGAGGCCAAGGCGGGCAGATCACTTGAGGCCAGGAGTTCGAGGCCAGCCTGGCCAACATGGCGAAACTCTGTCTCTACCAAAAATACAAAAATTAGCCAGGCATGGTGGCACACACCTGTAGTCCCAGCTACTTGGGAAGATGAGGCAGGAGAATGGCTTGAACTTGGAAGGTGGAGGTTGCAGTAAGCCAAGATCACACCACTGCACTCCAACCTGGGCAACAGAGCACAACTCCGTCTCAAAGATTATACACAAAAAGCCAGGCACAGTGGAGCATGTCTGTAGTCCAAGCTATTTGAAAGGCTGAGGCTGGAGAATCCCTTTAGCCCAGGAATTTTAGGTCAGTCTGGGCAAAATAGCAAGACTGCTTCTCTTAGAAAGAATAAATAAAAAAACTTTTAAAAGATTATACATAATAAAATGTGTTGACATGTCTTTTAAAATATAAAAAATATGAAGAAACAAAATATTACCTATAATTCTATTTAAGTATAATTAGTGATATTTTTCTACTATGAAAGTTATACATGCTTATTGCAGAAAATTGAAAAATACACAGAAATATGAAGAAAAAAATTATCCACAATCACACCTTATGGAAATAACCATTCTTCACTTTTTATTTTTCTTCCAGAATTTTATGTCCACCCATCTGCACTACTTAAAAACAAAATTGGGGATTATGGTACATATATTGAGTTATTGTTTTTTCACTTACTATAAAAAATAAGAATCTTCACCAAAAATCCTCCAAAACTTCCCCACTTCTCCCTAGACAACCCCTGCATGTGAAATGCTCTAACTCAAATCCCCCGTGACCTCCACTGCGGCGGAGTCCACAATATGCTCTTTGACAGTGTTGCAAGATGACTTCTCAGCACTATGCAGTTGACAAATCTTTCTTAACACATTCTCATCTGTTGACTTTTATGAGACAAAATTCCTTGTTTTTCTCCTACTACTTCTGTTATTCTTCTCCAGTCCACTTTGCAGAAAATGACTCTGGGAGGTTTGAAACTTGGTAAGTAAGTCTTCCTTGTTATGTCTTTGGGAGAATTTCACTTTCTTTAGATCTCATTGACTTCTTTGTTGAATACTTTAGGCTTTATTACATGGATCTACCTTTTTAAAATTCTGATTTTTCAGAAGACCTCCAGTCTCAAATATTTTCAATTATATCTTCCTACATGTAGGGTCACTTTTTCTTTCTGTGGGGACAGGAGGCAGGTCATCACCAGGTCTTCCGATAGTGATCTGAATAATAAGGCAGCTGTAATTCTCCATCCACTTGGATCTGGACCAGAGCTGCCCAGTTGGACTTTCTGGAAAGATGGAAATGTTCTATTCTGAGCTGACCAATATGGTAGCCACTTACCACATGTGTCTATTGAGTACGTAAATGTAGCTAATGAAGCTGAAGAACAAAATTGTTTACTTTATTTAATTTTGATTAATTTGAACTGAATTAGCCTACATTGTAAGTGGCTGCCATATTGGACGGAACAATTCCAGACTGTAGTTCTTTGAAAGGAGGAACTATACATTATCCTTACTGGTATCAATTTATCAAAAGTTTAATAATACTGTTATACATTTCAGACACTGTGTAGCACTTGGGAGAGTAAGATGAATGAGAGATGAAACTGGCCCTAAAGAAGCATGTAAGGTCCATCAAATAAGACAAACACAAAAGCAAACCATAAGAAAATATGAAAAGCCCTGAAACAGAAAGCCAAGTGGAAAACATACAGGGGATCAATTATTCAAATTCCCAATGCCTAGCACGGTTCCTAATATGTAATACAGTCAGTTCTGGTATAACACTTGTTTTTGAAAATGTAAATGTGTTCCAAGGAGGCTGATGTATTGAGAAACAACTGGAACATAAGGCAAATTTTGCATTTGCTTATATGTGATTTTGTCCTAGAGAAATACCAAGTAGATACAGAAAACTGCACCCAGCTAAAATGCACGCATGCATACTTCAAACAACTACCTACTAGCTACCTGCTCACCAATGTGCTGTGAATGAAACCCTTCTGCACATAACAGTTACAACTTTCTGTTTCATTTCAGATACCACTCCCTTCCTATCACTTGACAATACCACAAGCTGCAACCCTTCTTATGCCCACTTCCATAAGCAAACTTCAGGTAAAATGCCACATTTATTACATGATATATGTATATCCTGTAATACACACACACACACATATATACACACATGTTATGTATAGAACTGTGCACCCTTTTTACTAAGTTCTCCATCTTTTCTTTAATGAGTCACTGATGAAGTTTTTTGAGTGCTGTTCCCAAAGCTCAGTGTTAGCCATGAGTCCTATGCTTTTATTGCACAATTTTGTACAGTCTCATGATTTTTAGGAGCACATATGTTGTGTTATAGAAGAACTGACTGTAGGTGCAGAAAACAAATCCTAGCAATGAGTGCAGTTAGTACCCAGATCTTGGATTCTAAATATCACTATCCAATAAAAGGAACCAGAATCCTTGGAGAACAGGCTGATTCCAGATCTGGGACAGGAAAAGGATGAAATGGGACCTTGAACATCTTGTGCCAGAATTTAAGTTAGTACTTCAAAAATTATGGAGATATTTTTTAAAACCACAGACCAGCTTGAAGGTGCTACCAATGGCAAAATTTGGGACAACTTGAGCATCAGAATAATGACAGTAACAGATTTATAACTCAATGAATAGAATAGGGTTCGATCAGCCAATATTGATATAAATGATTAAACAGGAGAATGCATATCTTTGACCTAGCCAGACGTTGCTTAATTGCTCTCAGAATTGGTTATAGCAATTTACACTCCCACCCAACAAAGTATGAGAATTCCAATTGTTTGACATTCTCACCAATATTTGGTATTGTCAGACTTGAACATTTTGATAATCAGGTGGGTATAAAATTAAAACCATGGTGTGGTTTTAATTTGCACTTTTCTGATTACCAGTGAGGTTGAGCATCTTTCTGTGTTGAATTTTGTCTTCTATAACTCCTCAATTCATATTCTTCATTCACTTTTCTAATAATTTGTTTTCTTTTTAAAATTAATTGTTCTTTAGGCTAAAGTTTATTTTAATCTTTATTTTCAGCATTTTTTTGGTTTGTTTTTTGTTTTTGTTTTTGTTTGAGACGGAGTTTTGCTCTTGTTGGCCAGGTTGGAGTGCAATGGCACGATCTTGGCTCACTGAAACCTCTGCCTCCCGGGTTCAAGTGATTCTCCTGCCTCAGATGCCCGAGTAGCTGGGATTACAGGTATGTGCCACCACACCCGGCTAATTTTTTGTATTTTTAGTAGAAACGGGGTTTCAGCATGTTAGTCAGGCTAGTCTCGAACTCCTGACCTCAGGTGATCTGCCCACCTGACCTCAGGTGATCTGCCCACCTCAGCCTCCCAAAGTGCTGGGATTACAGGCATGAGCCACTGCACCCAGCCAATTTTCAGCATGTTTTTATGTGAAAATGTTTTCTTCTCTTTCATTTGAAGTATTTTCTATTTAATTCATATTTTTCTTTATTGTTTGGATTTCTCTATTCTAAGAAATAATTTATCCTTGATGAACATAGATGCAGAAATGCTCAACAAAATACTGCAAACCAAATCCCACAGCACATCAAAAAGCTTATCCACCATGATCAAGTAGGCTTTATCCCTGGGATAAAATGTTGGTTCAACACATGCAAATCAATAAATGGGATTCATCACATAAACAAAACTAAAGACAAAAACCACTTGATTATCCCAATAGATGCAGAAAAGGCTATTAATAAAATTCAACATCCTTTCACATTAAAAACTCTCAATAAACTAGGTATTGAAGAAACATATCTCAAAATAATAAGAGTCATCTAAGACAAACCCACAGCCAATATTATACTGAATGGGCAAAAGCTGGAAGTATTCCCCTTCAAAACTGGCAAAAGACAAGGATGCCCTCTCTCACCATTCCTATTCAACATAGTATTGCAAGTTCTGGACAGAGCAATCAGGCAAGAGAAATAAATAAAGGCAACCCAGCACTTTGGGAGGCCTAGGTGGGCAGAGCACCTGAGGTCAGGAGTTCAAGACCAGCCTGATCAACATGGAGAAACCCCATCTCTATTAAAAATACAAAATTAGCCAGGCATGGTGGTGAATGCCTGTAATCCCAGCTACTTGGGAGGTTGAGACAGGAGAATCGCTTGAACCTGGGAGGTGGAGGTTGCAGTGAGCCGAGATCGTGCCATTGCACTCCAGCCTGGGCAACAGGAGTGAAACTACATCTCAAAAAATAATAATAAAAAGATAAATAAAGGGCATCAAAATAGAAAGAGAGGAAGTCAAACTATCCCTGTTTGCAGATAACATAATCCTACATCTAGAAAACCCCACAGTCTCTGCCCCAAAGCTCCTTAAGCTGATAAACAATTTCAGCAAAGCTTTAGGATACAAAAATCAATGAACAAAAATCAGCAGCATTCCTATACACCAACAACAGTCAAGCTGAGAGCCAAGTCAGGAATGCAATCCCATTCACAATTGCAACAAAAAGAATAAAATACTTAGGAATACAGTTAACCAGGGAGGTGAAAGAGTTCTACAATGAGAATTACAAAGCACTCCTCAAAGAAATCAGAGATGACACAAACAAATGGAAAAACATCTTATGCTCATAGATAGGAAGAATCAAAATCATTAAAATGGCCATACTGCCCAAAGCAATTTACAGATTCAATTCTTTCCTATCAAACTACCAATGACATTCTTTACAGAACTAGAAAAAATTATTTTAAAATTCACATAGAACCAAAAAAGTGTCTGAACAGCCAAAGTAATCCTAAGCGAAAAGAAAGAAGCTGGAGGCAACATGTTACCTAACTTCAAACTATACTACAAGGCTACAGTAACCAAAACAGAATGGTACTGGCACTAAAACAGACACATAGACCAATGAAACCGAATAGAGAGCCCAGAAATAATGCTGCTCACCTACAACCATCTGATCTTTGACAAAGCTGACAAAAACAAGCAACAGAGAAAGGACTCCCTATTCAATAAATGGTGCTGGGATAACTGGCTAGCCATATGCAGAAGATTGAAACTGGACCCCTACCTTACACCATATACAAAAATCAACAAAATCAACTCAAGATGGATTAAAGACTTAAATGTGAAACCCAAAACTATAAAAACCCTAGAAGAAAATCTAGGCAGTACCTTTCAGGACATCTGCATGGGCAAAGATTTCATGCCGAAGATGCCAAAAGCAATTGTGACAAAAGCAAAAATTGACAAATGGGATCTAATTAAACTAAAGAGGTTCCATGCAACAAAAGAAACTATCAACAGAGTAAATAGAAAACCTACAGAATGAGAGAAATTATTTGCAAACTATGCATCTAACAAAGGTCAAATATCCAGCATCTGTAAGGAACTTGAACAAATGTACAAGCAAAAAACAACCTCATTAAAAAGTGGGCAAAGGAAATGAATGGACACGTTTCAAAAGAAGTCATATATGCAGCCAACAAGCATATGAAGAAAAGCTCAGTATCACTAATCATTAGAGAAATGCAAATCGAAATTACAATGAGATACTGTCTCACAAGTCAGAATGGCTATTATCAAAAAGTCAAAATGTAACAGATGCTGGTGAGGATGCAGAGGAAAGGAAATGCTTATATACTGTTGGTTGGAGTGTAAATTAGTTCAACCATTGTGGAAAGTAGTCTGGTGATTCCTCAAAGAGCTAAAAACAAAACTACCATTTGACCCAGCAATCCCATTACTGGGTATATACCCAAAGGAATATAAATCATTCTACCATAAAGATACTTACACACATGTTCATTGCAGCACTATTCACTATAGCAAAGACATGGAATCAACCTAAATGCCCATCAGTGGTAGACTGGATAATGAAATTTATCCATTTAGAAATTTCTTTATCCAGTCTACTATTATGGAATATTATGCAGCCATAAAAAAGAACAAGATCATGCAGGGGCATGGATGGAGCTGGAGGTGATTATCCTTAGCAAGCTAATGCAGGAACAGAAAACCAAATACCGCTTTTTCTCACTTATAAGGGGGAGCTAAATTATGAGAACATATGGATATGAATAGAAGAACAGCAGACACTGGAGTCTACTTGAGGGTGGAAGCTGGGAGGAGGAAGGGGATCAGAAAAAATAACTATTGAGTACTAAGTTTAGCACCCAGGTAATGAAATAATCTGTAAACCAAACCCTCATGACATGAGTTTACCTATAACAAACCTGCACATGTACTCCTGAACCTAAAAGTTAAAAAAAAGAAAAATAATTTATTGTGTCTTCTTAAAATATCAAGCTTTGCTTTTCATTTTTAGATCTCAAAAATCATCTGGAACTTTCTTTTATGTATGGTGTGAAGAAGGATGCTAGTGTTATTTTTATCCATACGGATAACCTGTTATTTCAGTACTAATATTGAATAGTCAATATTTTCTTCTGATTTGTAACTGTTCTGCCATATATCAAATTCCAAAATCTATGTGATTCCATTTCTGGGCTCTCTATTCCTCTCCATTAGTCTATCTCTCTCAGCAACAAAATTTCTCACTGTTTTAATGACCATGGCCTTAGAAGGAGTCCCAACATCTGATAGGGCAAACTGTCCTTCTCATTCCTCTTAAAACATGTATTTGATATTATTGACCTTTTGTTTTGTCAAATGTATTTTGGGGGCAGCTGTCAAGTTAAATCAAAACAAGAAAAGTTTGTACATCTCTTAGTGTTTTTAATAGAATTGCAATGAATTTATTAATTTATTTGGAAAGGATTGACATCTTTTAGATGTCAGTTGAGATGTTCCATCCACAAACCTCTATTTCTTTCTTCTTTTATGTCCCTCAGTAGAATTTAAAAATTTTTTCCATCAAGATCCTGCATGTCATTGGAGTCATATATCATACTTTAATTTTATTTTTGTTGCTATTTCAAATGGATTCTCTAAATCCTTGTTTTGAGTAAACCCATTCAAAAAGTAATTTTTTAACTACATTTTCTATTTGATATGAAATCTCTTTATGTTGAATATTGATTTTTGAGACTCCCTTTTCCTCCAGGACTTCCTATTACCTTTAATATATTAATGTGAATTTCCCAAATGGAAACAATATGCAACATTTCCTGGGCTTCTTTGATGACAAAACTCATTTTAATAAAGACTCTATATACCTAATGTGTTGGGGTTTTTATAAAGGGTGATTAAGGATAATACACATAAAATGTATATACTTAGAGTAAAAGACAGATACATTTTGAAGAGGACTCTTTCCTCTGGGCAGCTATTACTGATTTGCGAAAGACGAGGAACGGCTGGATCTCTTTGGCTTAGACCATTGACTACTATCAAAATAATTTTACCCTCAGGTAGACAGATTGAAACAATGCAGTGTTTTCTGAAAAAAATGTCAGTTCTGATTCCGTTTTTGAAATAGAAGTGAATTTATCTAAAATTGAAATAAAAAATCAAGTTGTGTACACCCCTGAGGAAGTAATAAACAGGAAACAAAAGTTTGCCACGGAAAGTGGCCAAAACAACAAGGAAGTGACTATAGTCATGTGCCAAGCCCCAGCAGCAGTATTTAAGGGTCCCTTGCAGAGGCAAACATCAGACCTCGTCACCTCTCACATCCTCCCTCCTCACTTCACCTGAGTCCTCTCTACTGACACCATGGGTTGCTGTGGTTGTGGAAGTTGTGGCTGCAGTGGTGGCTGAGGTGGTGGCTGCGGTGGTGGCTGCGGTGGTGGCTGTGGCAGCTGCACCACCTGCAGGTGCTACCGGGTGGGCTGCTGCTCCAGCTGCTGCCCCTGCTGCCGCGGCTGCTGTGGAGGCTGCTGCAGCACTCCCGTGATCTGCTGCTGCCGCCGTACCTGCAGCTCGTGTGGCTGCGGCTGTGGGAAGGGCTGTTGCCAACAGAAATCCTGCTGCCAAAAGCAATGCTGCTGCTAGGCAGGGCACCTGACTCTGGAAGAGTTTGCTGCATCTTGCTTGCCCATTGCAAGCCTTCCCCCAACCTCGCCCTGGTTCTCTTTCCATCACTGGGAGTCACACATGTGACTGGGAGTCACACAAGGGCTGTAGATTTGATACCCTCCTCTCTGTCACATCACAAATCTATAATTTCAAAATATTGAGTGATATTCATGTGAACAATGAAAACTATGAAAGCAAGGGACAGCCCAGCTCCTGCAAACAATTCACGGTTGAAGAAATGGAAAATGAAATCATAGTTACTAACTTTTATGTTTTTCTGAAATTCCTTAACACAAACTTCAGTGCCTGCCTTCTTTTCACTGTGCTGTAAACTACATGCTATTTCTACTCTATTCTCATATCCAGCAGTTCTGTACTGCTAAAAACTAAATGCACAGAATAATGTACCATATATTGATGGCTAACCATCTCTTTTACTTATTGTCTTGCTATAAAAGGACCTTTTGTGCTGTATAAATTCACGCAAGTTAAATAAAGGAACCCTGTTGGGAAGAATTTCCTCTACTGTGAGATTCATTTCTTTTATGATCAAACTTGTGCTAAAATGCATTATGGGCTCAATATCCAGGGCAGAAATACTTCGCATGTGGAGCAGGTCTCAGGGAAGCCTTATTTACCCAATTTCAATTTCCCTGTCTCACTGTTTGTGACAGTCATTTCTTTGGAGTCAATGTTAATGTAATTTACTCCCAAATTGCCTACATCTCACTTCCACTCATTGGGTCAGGTCAAAGGAGCATGAACCCAATTTGGGTTGCTGACATGCCAAAAGAATAGCAGGTGCTTTACCCCAAATCAGCCTAACCCATCCCTGAAAATGATAACCTTAAAACAAATGTAATACATTTTCAAATCTGCCTTAAATCTTTCCTTTTCTAATCCCAATTAGAAGTATATGACCTTAGGGCTGGGCACAATGGCTCACGCCTATAATCCCAAAACTTTGGGAGGCCGAGGTGGGTGAATCACCTGAAGTCAGGAGTTTGAGACCAGCCCGGCCAACATGGTGAAATCACATCTCTACTAAAAATAGAAAAATTAGGTGGGCATGGTGGCAGGTGCCTGTAATCCCAGCTACTCAGGAGGATTGCTTGAACCTAGGAGCTGGAGGTTGCAGTAAGCCAAGATCGCACCACTGCCCTCCAGCCTGGGTGACAGAGCAAAATTCCGACTCAAAAAAAATAAAAATAAAAAAAAGGAAGTATATGACCTTGGATACAAAATACTTATCACAGAGAAGGATTTTCAGAAGAGGCCACAACCAGGTCAGGCCAGCAGATATCTGCCTCATGCAGAATTGGCTCTGTGCTGGGATGGGTTGAGACGTATTGGGAGCAGATGTGCATGCAGGTACTGACAAAGTCTAATGAGCCCAGGTTAGGCCCACCCTGAAGAAGTAGAGGTTTCAATCTCTTTGTTTTTACTCTAGCATTAATCTTAGAAATGGTGATAATGGCTTAATTTTATATTTGCCAGTTTCTAAGAGCAATTCTTCACCTCATTCCCATGAGGAGAACAAAGCAAAAGTACAAAATGGACCTAAGATGTTGATCAAGGATCCACCGTACTATTTACATGCATTCACGTGCAAGGGCATGAAGATTTTTTAAAGTCTCTCTGCAACATGCAAATAAAAACTGAAATTACACTTAGCCAATCCAAACTAAGAATATAATATAAGTACCTGATTGTTCATGACCCAGGAAGTTGCTCCTCATGTGTAACTAACAGAATATAAGTTAAACAGAGGCCTGGCACAGTGGCTCATGCCTATAATCCCAGCACTTTGGGAGCAGAGGCGGGTGGATCACTTGAACTCAAAAGTTCAAGACTAGCCTGGGCAACATGGTGAAACCCCATCTCTACTAAAAGTATAAAAATTAGCCAGGCTTGGTGGCGCACACCTGTAATCCTAGCTACTTGGATGTCTGAGGCAGGAGAGTCGCTTGAACCCGGGGAGGTGAGGTTGCAGTGAGTTGAGAACATGCCACTGCACTCCAGCCTAGGTGACACAGTGAGACCCTGTCTCAAAAAAAGAAAAATAAATAGTAAGTTAGAAAAATTAAACAGAAAGAAAACATCTACATAACTGAAGAATTCAATGGCAACACCTAGTAGACTTAGAAATTGGAAAGAATTAATCTACACTGATTTTGTGATATATCCTACATTTTAATAACTTAATCATTTACCTTTAGACAGGAGAATTTCTAAAAAATTCAGGATAAAGGGTGCCTGTTCTCTTTAGAAGGAGTCCAGGTACAGAAAATCCATGCCCTCTATTGCTAGCCCATTTCAATGTACTATTATCCTCCACTTAAAAGTCTTCCATACACATGATTGAAATCTTCCCTGCTTTTGTGTTTCCTCTTGTCCTCTGTAGACCAAAGAACAACATCTAAAGATCTGCTCAACAAAACCCTTTATAGACCTGGGACAGTCTGGTGTTTTTAACAACCAGATCTCGTGTGAACTCATTACTGTAGGGAAGGCACCAAGCCATTCATGAGGGATCCGCCTCCATGATCCAAACACGTTGCACTAGGCCCCCCTCCAACACTGGAGGTCACACTTCAACATGAGATTTGGAGGGAACAAATACGCAAACCATATCATTCTGCCCTTTGCCTCCTAAATCTCATGTCCTTCTCACAATGCAAAATACAGTCATCCCTTCCCAAGAGTCCCCAAAAGTGTTAACTCATTCTAGCAACAGTTCAGAATTCCAAAGTCTCATTTGAGACTTAAGGCAAGTTCCTTCCTCCTATGAGCTTGTAAGACCAAAATCAAATTATTTACTTTCAAGACATAATAGTGGTACAGGCATTGGGTAAATATCCCCATTCCAAAAGAGAGAAACTGGCAAAAAGAAAGTGGCAACAGGCCAGACACAAATTCAAAACACAGCAAGCAGGCATTAAACTTTAAAGCTCCAAAATAATGTTTGACTCCAGGTCTCCTCATATCCTGGGCACACTGGTGCAAGGGGTGGGCTCCCAAGGCTTGGGCAGCTCCACCGCTGTGGCTTTGCAGAGTGCAGCCCCCATGGCTATTCTCATGGGTCATAATTGACTCTGTGGCTTTTCTAGGCTCAGGGTGTAAGCTGCTGGTAGCACTACCATTCTGGGGTCTGGAGGGTGGTGGCCCCCTTCCCACAGCTCCACTAGGCAGTGCCCTGCCGGGGACTCTGTGTGGGGGCTTGATGTGGTTTAGATACTTGTTCCACCCAAATCTCATGTTGAAATGTAATCTGCAATGTTGGAGGTGGGGCATTGTGGGAAGTGATTGGATCATGAGTGCAGATCCTTCATGGCTTGGTGCTGTTCTTGTGACAGTGAGTGAGTTCCTGTGAGATCTAGTCGTTTAAAAATGTGTGGCACCTCCCCCTCCAACTCTGTCTCTTGCTCCTGCTTTTGCAGTGTGACATGCCTGCTCCCACTTTGCCTATTGCCATGAGTAAAAGCTTTCTGAGGACTCCCCAGAAGCCACACAGATGCCAGTGCCATGCTTGTACAGCCTGCAGAACTGTGAGCCAATTAAACTACTGTCCTTTATAAATTACCCAGTCTCAGGTTTTCTTTACAGTGATGCAATAGCCTAATATGGGGCTCCAACTCTAATTTTCCCATCAGCATTGCCCTAGTAGAGCCTCTCTGTGAGGGCTCTGCCCCTGCAGCAGGCTTCTGCCTGGGAACTTAGGCTTTTTCATACATCCTCTGAAATCTAGGTGGAAGCTGCCAAACCTCTGCATTCTGCATGCCTGCAGGCTTAACACCACGCAAAGGACACTAAGGCTTACAGTTTGTGCCATCTGCAGTGGTGGCCAGAGCTGTACCATTTACCCTTTGAGCTGAGGCTGGAGCCAGAGCTGCCAGGATTCGGGAAGCAGTGTCCCAAGGCTGAACAGGGCAGTGGAGCCCCAGGACTGACCCCTGAAACCATTCTTTCCTCCTAGCCTCTGGGCCTATGATGGGAGGAGCTGCCTCAAAGACTTCTGACATGTCTTCAAGGCCTTTTTCTCATTGTCTTGGCTATTAGCACCTGGCTACCTTTTAGTCATGAAAATCTCTCTAGCAAATGGTTGCTCCATGGTCTGCCTGAATTCCTCTCCTGAAAATCTGAAAATAATTTTTCCTTTTTTACCACACAGCTAGGCTGCAAATTTTCCAAAATTTTACACTCTGCTTCTCTTTTAAGTTCCAACTTAAAGTCATTCATTTGTTTCCACATCTGATCATAGGTTGTTAGAAGCAGCCAGGCCACCTCTTGAGTGCTCTGCTGCTTAGAAATTAATTCCATCAGATATCCTACGTTATCACACCTAAGTTCAACCTCTCACAAATCACTAGGGCATGGATACAATGCAGCCAAGTGCTTTGCTAAGACATAACAAGGGTGATCTTTTACTCCAGTCCCCAGTGAATTCCTCATTTCCACCTGAGAGCTCATCAGCCTGGCCTTCACTATCCATATTTCTATCAGCATTTTGGACAACCACTTAACCAGTCTCTAAGACATTTCAAACTTTTCCTTATCTTCCTGCCTTTTTCTGAGCCTGCTAATTCTTCTAACCTCTGCCCATTACCCAGTTCCAAAGCTTCTTGCACACCTTTAGGTATCTTTATTGCAACACCCTGCTCCTGGTACCAATTTTCTGTGTTAGTCCATTTTGCATTGCTATAATGGAATACCTGGGACTGGTATTTATAAACAAAAGCACTTGGCTCACAGTTCTGTAGGCTATACAAGCATGGCACCATCATCTGCTTCTCTTTTGGTGAGGTCTCAGAAAGCTTTTATCCATGGTGGAAGGCATAGGGGGAGCAGCCATGTCACATGGTGAGAGAGACAGCAAGAGAGAGAGGGAGGGCCCAGTCTCTTTCTTTCTCTCTTTCTCTTTTTAACAATTAGATCTCATCTGAACTCATTACCATGGGGAAGGCACCAAGCCATTTATGAGGGATCAGCCCCCACATTCCAAACATCTCCCACTAGGCCTCACCTCCAACATTGGAGGTCACACTTCAACATGAGATTTGGAGAGGACAAATACCAAAACCATATCAATCTGACAAGCCCAATTTTTTTTTAGCTTTCAGTGGAATTAGGAAAGGACTATAGGCTCATATCTGAACACATAACATATATGCAATTTTAATATGAACAAATAATAACTCAGATCTCATTTTCTCAACTATAATGCCCAATTCGGGGTTTGGAAGTATGTTTACTCTAACAACTCCAGGCATTGAACACTCTTCTAATGATGTCAGTCAATTATACAATAAGAAATGCAAGAACAATTCTTGGCTTCACAGCTGCTGGTAAATTGCACACTGGTCCTATCCTCAATGATCAGTGTTGATAACCCCAAAATTACTTACCTTGTCATCAGTTCTTAAATTAATAAGTAAAAAAAATAAAGCATGTTCTTAGAGTAAGTACATTCAGTCCTTTTTTTTATAGAGAATGTAAAAAAGCTTAGAAAGATATATAGCTTGCATGAAAGTTCTTTTAGGCCAGCTGTCTCATTCTAGACACATCAGAAGAGCCAAAAATACCTAACTCAGAGAGTAGTGTGGCTGCATGAAAAACAACAAAATCTCTTTCTCTAGAGGCCATGGTCCCTCTTCCCCAACACACACAAACTCACAATGAACCACAACCAAATATCACGGGCTCCCATGGATGCAGAGGTATTCTAATCCTTACCCAGATGAAGATTCCAGAAATTTAGGATTTGAATCATGTTTGAAAAATCACAATTTTGGGACTAGCAATTCTCTTAGTGTTTTACATTCATAAAAAAGGTACAATCTTCCACCTAAGAAAAGGTTGAAAAAAGAAAGGAGCACTAAAAATGAACTGCATACTAACAACAAACACACAGAAACAAATGTAAACCAATAATACTTACAATTGCTCCAAAAAAAATGAAATACTTAAGTGTAAGTCTAACAAAACAAAAACATAATCTGTATCCTAAAAATCACAAAACACAGATGAAATAAATCAAAGAAGACCTCAATAAATGCAGAGCTGTATCACATTCATGGGTCGGGGAAGACTCAACATAGTGAAGATATCAGTCCTCCCCAGATTGATCTACAGGTTTAATGCAATTCCCAATTTCTAGCAAGAGTTTTTGTAGACATAGACAAGTTTATTCTAAAACTTGTATGGGAAGGCACAGGACCTTCCTTTCAAAAATAGCTAAAACTATTTTCGAAAAAGAAATAATAAATGAGAAGAATCACTCTACCTTAGTCCAGGATTATCATTCACATACAGTGATCAAGACAGTATGGATAAGAAGAGGGACAGGCACAGAGATCAGTGGAACAGAATAAAGACTCTAGAAACAGACCAACACAAATGTGCTCAGATAATATTTTTCCCTTTTTTTTTTTTTTTTACCAAAGGAACAAAAACAATTCAATAGAAGAAGGATTGTCTTTTCAACAGACAATGTTGGAGCAATTGGACATCCATAGGCAAAAAAAAAGAATCTCAACCTAAACCTCACACTTATACAAAAATTAACTGAAAATTGATCATGGATTTAAATATAAAACTAGAAAATCTTTAGACAAAAAAACAAAGAAGAAAATATTTGGGATCTAGGGCTAGGTGAGTGGTTCTTAGACTTAACACCAAAAGCAAGAACCATAACAGGAAAAATCGATAGAATGGATCTTACCAAAATTAAAAATGTTTATTTTGTGAAAGACCCTGTTGAGGGGATGAGAAGATAAACTACAGACTGTGAGAAAATGATTACAAAGAGGACATATTGCTGGCAAATAAGCACATGAAAAGTTGTCTGACATCATTAGATGTTAGGGAAATGCAAATTAAAACCACAATGAGATACCACCACACAGCTATCAGAAAGGCTAAAATTTAAAACATAGTGACAACACCAAATTTTGGTGAGGATGCAGACAAACTGGGTCGATCACTCATACATTGTTAGTAGGAATGTAAAATGGTATAGCTAATCTTCCTGCCACATTGGGACTGTAACACACATGCCTATTTACAAGACCTTGAAGTTCTTGAGGGAAGAAACCATGTGTTTTTTTTTGAATTCCCAGGTCCTTTCACAGTATATGGCATCAATAAATATTTGATGAGTGAATGACTTCACCCTCTTTCCAGAGGATGACATCAGGTGGTCACATCACCAAGAATCCATTTAAAGCCATTTACAAGGCCAGTGATGATGGGTATCGAACAGTGTATTATGTAAGGTATATGGGCCAGAGACAGAAGACCTAACACTTCCCTTCTCACTAAAGCACAAAATACAGCTGTGTCACTAAGTTTATGGCCTAAGACATTCTACACAGAAAACTCCCAAAACAAAGCAGCAAAGCTGCAAAGCTACAAACCAAAAGCACAATTGAATCTTACAGGAATATTTTGAGTTAAAACTTTCTTAAAAAAAGGCACAGTGTCTAAAACATCAGAGAAAAGCAGGGCTCATAATAACAATACAATGAATTTCATTCAAAATAAAATCAATAGTTTTCAAAACCGATGTCTAAGTGACCTCTGGGAGTCTACCAAGGTTCCAGTAGGTCAACATAACGGGTGATGGAAACTCAATAATAAAGTCATCTTGAAAGCAGATACTCCTTCTTATAATTCCTGCTATCATAAGATCATGCTGATGCTTAAAAAAAAAAGAAAACCATTAAGTTGATTCCCCAATTCATTTAGAGTATTTGTTGTTACTGTAATTTTTATTGCTTGTTACCCAAAAAAACTATAATTAGATACAAGCAAAACTGAGTTACAAAACCAAACAAAAACCAGGCCAAATATGTGGGCAATGAAAAGAAAACCTTCGCAATGAAGTGCCTAAAATGTCTAATCTACGTGGATACTTCATAATGCCCTCCATTTAACTGCCTCAATAGGTTTTCAATAGTCTGGAAACTCACCCTCCAGAGAGACTTGTCCGCCAGTTGCCTCCCACCAAGCCAGCACTGGCAAATGATGCCCATCCTGTGACCAGCCTGGAGCTCCTTTGTTCAGTTCAACCACCAGCCTCTTGATCCTGGGGTAAAATGTTTTGCCAGCAAGACCAAAGCAAGAACAAAGAGACACACTCTTTCCTGGGACCCAAGGTCTTCAAAATGGCTTTTGACTATTTTTCAAGGAGGACGTTAATGGATATTCTTTTCCCTCTGAGTTATTCTGACACAAAATGGAATAAAGAATTAGAAACTAAGAGCCATTTAAGGGAACATAAAATGCAGGTGTCTGGGCAACATTGCCAACCCACTAGGAGCCAGCAGGTGGTACCAAAATCTTCATCAAATATTTCTCAATGAGAGCCATGGGATATGAGGCTGAGCACTTTTGCCCAGAAATAACCAGCTCTGTAATTGTTCATTAGACTGTGGGAACACTGTGTGGGAGGCCATAATTACCACCGGCAGCTCTAAGAAGCCTTTTGAATTTGAGGTCAGAAAAGAGCCTGGGTGTTGTAAGGCCAATGAACCAGGATGGGTCAGAAAGATATGAGATAGGTGATGTGTACTTGAGTGTACAGACAGGGCATTGAAGGGTCACATAATATAGAGCCTTAAGGGCAAGTGACCTGTCTCACTATTTATCTTTTTCTTAATACAGGAGCTGGTGCCTTGGAATGAACATGGAATGGGAGTGGGAGGCAGTATGCTCGGGTTTTGTCCATATTACTGTGCAGCTATCTTCTCATCAATAAGTCACCAAATCTCCATTTCTAATAAGTCTGTCTCCATTTCTTCCCTTGTAAACACTGGAGGTCAGACTCTCCCAAGGGTTCTTTCTAGCTCTTAAATTCTTGAGTTCAATAATAATACAGAATGATCCATGTTAACTAAAAAGTATTCCCTGGATATATGCTTATTAAGGAGATTTGTCTAAAGAGGGGAGAAGGGGTTATTTTTATTTGATCTGGGTTGAAATTTTCATTTTTATGCCCTTGATACATACAACTAATGTACAAAATGATTTTAGTCAAATTTCTTTTCATGGAGAGAGGTTAAGCAGATAATGCTAGAATTACAATGTAAACTAATTTAAGCATATAGGCCCCAATCTTACTCTTAAAAGTCAGTCTAGACCTAAAAGAAATTTAGACTCTGAACTTGAAAATAAAGCCTATGTTGACAGGTAGGAATAGTTAAATGGTTAATAATTGAATAATAGTTAACATTTATTGAGGGCATACATACATCGATCTAATTTAACTCTGATGACAACCATGAAATCGTTATCATGATCCAAATTTTACAACTAGAAAAACTGAAATTCAGGGAAACTAAATAAGCTGCCAAAAGTGCAAGTCTTCAGAGGTATGGAGCTGGAATTTGAATCAAGATTAGAGAGATTTTACAGCTCACACTCTTTGTTCCTGTACTGTAAACACCAGCAGAGTTACAGAAACAGTGGGTTCCTGGATAAACAAGGGCAAATGACAGGGTGGGGACGACTAGGCACCTGTGTATATTTTAGCAGTAACTACTAGCATTGTTCATTCTTTTTGGATAAGGAGAATCAACTTGTCAGGAAATATTTGAAAGACAACTAAATTCTTGATTTGAGCTGTGTCAGCTTACTATTACATAAAAAGTAGCAGAGAAACACACACCAGGTTCTAAATTAGGGGAGGATGATTTTCCATTTGTACCTTGGCTAGTCGTCGCCCCCTTTCTTTTCTCACTGCCATTTGTATCTTCTCTTCCTCCCCCAACCTTTGATGTAAGAAGTTGGATTCTTTCATGACAAAAACATTCCATCTGGTTTCTTGATCCATGTTATCCTGCTGTTCTATATGAAACCCTAGAATCATCATCAACAAAGTGCTGGAACATTATCATGATGACGAGGCTGCTCACATCACTTGAACAAGTGGATCGTACTGGGTAAGTGGCTGATGGCATGGCAAAAGCCATTTTAGGAAGGAAAGTGGTAGAACCACCAACAGGGAGAACAGACATCAGCGCTGGGACATGAGTCATAGGGACCCAATTTTATCACCCCTGGGAAGAGAGTCAAAGGAATTTTATTTAGGATATCTGCATTTAGTTCACTCATTCATTCACTTGTTAAATTGCTAAAAATAAATAAATAAAAGGAAAAAGAAAAAAAGGGGAGAGAGAGAGAGTGCCTACAACCTGCTGGCTTTGTGCCAGAAGTTTAGATAAATCCCCATTGTTCAGTAAAGGAGAATAAGTATTTGAATATTTTTATCCACACATACGATTCTTTAGTGTACAATTCAATGGTTTTTCATAAATTTGCAAAATTCCCTATTTAATTTCAGAATATTTCTATCATCCCATAAAGAAATCTTGTACCCATTAGTAGCCATCTCCTATTCCTCCCTCCCCACAGGCCCTGGAAACCACTGCTCTACATTTTGTCTCTTTGGATTTGCCTATTCTGAACACTTCATACAAATGGAAACATAAATATGTGGCCATTTGCATTTGGCTTCATTCACTTGTTTTCAAGGTTCATCCATGATGCAGCATCAGTTATAGGCTGAATGATATTCCATCGTATGGCTACACCATTTATCAGTGGATGTACATTTGGGTTGTTCCCACTTTTTGGCTCCTATAAATGAACACTTGTACATACAAGTTTCTGTATCAACATATGTTTTTATTCCTCTTGGGTATATACCTAACAGTGGAATTGCTGGGTCATATGGCAACTCTGTATTTAACTTTTTGAGGAGCTGCCAGCCATTCTCTAAAGCTGCTGCATCATTTTGCATCCTCAACAGCAATGTATGAGGAGTCCAATTTCTCCACATCCTTGTTAACACTTGTTGTTGTCCATCTTTTTGATGACAGCCATCCCAGTTGGTGTGAAGTGGTATCTCATTTTTGATTTGTACTTCACTAATGACTCATGATGTTGAACATTTCCTCAAGGGCTTCTTGGCCATTTGTATATCTTTTTCAGGAAATGTCTATTCATATCCTTTGTTCATTTTTTTTTTTTTTTTTAGTTTGGTTGTCTTTTTATTGTTAAGTGGTAAAAGTTACTCCATACAAAGGTATAAAAAGGAATATATTACACATTATATTAACCCAAGTTTCAAATACAGGCTTAAAACTAATATATAAGCATAACATCCTTGTCTTACAATTTGGATAATTTATAAATTGGTATTTAGGAAATTGGGCTCCATTCACAGTTATTATAAAAAAGACATAAGAAGTGCTAAAATCTCAGGCCAGGCACAGCGGCTCATGCCTGTAATCCCAGCATTTTGGGAGGCTAAGGTGGGCGGATCACTTGAAGTCAGGAGTTCGAGACCAGCCAGGCCAACATAGTGAAACCCTGTCTCTACTAAATATACAAAAATTAGCCGGGCATGGTGGTACACACTTGTAATCCCAGCTACTCGGGAGGCTGAGGCAGGAGAATTGCTTGAACCCGGGAGGTGGAGGATGCAGTGAGCTGAGATTGTGCCACTGCACTCCAGCCTAGGTGACAGAGCAAGACTCCGTCTCAAAAAGAAGATGTGCTAAAATCTTTACAAATAAAAAATGAGACAGATAGTAAAAAAAAAAAAAAAGTGACAAATATATTTAGATTTCAATACAGAAGAATAAGCAATTTCTCAACAGCCATGATATTGAGTTATCTATTAAGCTCTTTGTAGACTGTCCACATAACTTTTCCAGTGATAAGCAATTAGATGTTTAGCAGCCATCAATACTTGATTAATGAGTCTTCTTATAATTTGATCACAAATCTTTGTCGAGTCAATTTCAATAACACTCTTTTCTCAAGATGCCAAGACAAATGTTATGCGTATTTATTATAATAGCTCATCAGGAACGTAAACTATTTCATTTTTAAGATGGAACATCTTCTTCCAGTATAGCTTTCAATCTTTGAGATATTGAGCTATCTTGGAGTCTTAGCAGAAATGATTTCAAAGTTTTAAAATGGTACTTTTTTCTCTACCACCTCAAATGGATTTTTATATTTAACCCTATAGATAATTCTGAATTACTCCCAATGATTGGGTGTTTCTGCATATATACTCTCCAGGTCCTGGCTCCCAAGTGAGGCCAGACCAGGTAAGACAGGGGCTGCTCACTAGGATGAACAGGGACATTCATTTCAGGGCCTTGTCAGAGTGAGACGAGAGTCACCCCAAGAGTTGTTGAGAATGCACTAAACCAAGGACAACATGGCTAGATGGAGGCCAAAATCAAAGCCAAGAGAAACTAACTCGTGTGCTAAACTAAAGGGTACGGTGAAGATAATAGCGGATGGAAAACCTCTCCCTCACTAGGACTAAGTTCCATAAAGGTAGGGGTCTTGCTTTTTGTCTTCACTGTTGTTTATCCTAGCCTGTGGTACAATATAGATACACGGTATATCTTCAGCAAATATTTGTTGAGTGAATAAATAAATGTAAAGCTGGAAGCCTGAAAGGGGGTGGGGGACAAGCTGAAAGAACAGAGCATTCTTACCTATGTGTACTGAGGGTCCTGGGGAGAAGCGGCCAAGAGCCCAGTCCGTGTGTGCTGGAACCCATGCAAGTAGAGTCCTTGGTAACATGTGGGAGCAGAATTCACCACTGGGCACAAAAATCTACATTTGAAAGAGCAACTACCAATTATCCTACCCCTGACATATAAACATGACTTCTCACTATATGGTAGTGCAGCCATAATTGACACAGCCTAAAAGTTGTTTATATAAATACATTCTCATGTTAGTTTATGTGTTCTTTTTATTTCCTGTGAAAAACAAGAGGAAGTAGAGTTGTTAGATTTAGCAAATAAAAATGCAGGATGCCCAGTTAAATTCGAATTTCAAATAAACAATAAAGAAATTTTTGGTATAAGCATGTCCAAAATACTGTATGGAACATACTTCTGTTTATTGTTTTTCTGAAATTCAAAGTAAACTGGGTATTCCATATTTTATCATAAATTTTCCCAAAAGGAAAAGAAGGCTCTGGCCACGTATCAGCCCCTACCTCCTGGCAAGCAGCAGCTACTAGGCTATGCTTTGGATCTAGATGAGCTACAAACACCTGGAAGTGGGCTTGGGGCTGTTAGAGCTGAGATCCCTGGGTTCCTCGTTGCCTGGGGCATGGTCTACAAGAAAGACAAGCCAGGGAGGGGGTCATTTCATGGATTCCTTCCCCAATATGGGCACATGAATGGAAGAAGAGGATCAGAATTAAGCCCCTTAAAACTCAGGACCCATGGCAAGAGTCCCTCTCACCAAAATCTATGGGTGCTCTGCATGCAAACTAGGCCTCCTTTGGAAATGCAATCAATTTGGTCTTAGAGGAAAGGTCCCATCCTCTCCTGCCCCTCCCTGCTGGGACTCATTTTTTGGGAAATGTGGCCAGTTTCAACCATACCTCACATTACTGGATGAAAACTTCTCAAGTTATTCCACCTGTAATATTCTTGTCTCCTTACTGTTCCAAGTGCTCCCTCCCAGACCTAACCTTGCACCACTTCTCTTTTGTTAAACCTTTATTGCTGACCTCTAGAATCTGCTTTCCAGGCTCAAGTCCATTACATGCTCAGGACTTCAGGGATGCTCCCAGCCTATATTCCATGGAGCCTATACTCCACCTTCACACTGCCCTCCACCCCCAACCCTCCGCAGGGTTCAAGTGGAATCTGACCCTACTGTCTTCTCCAGTGGAAACTGATCATGTCCTCACACTGCATTTATCCAGGATGGGTGTTCCTTTCCCCATTGCCCCTGCCAGATTTTATTCCTCATATAAAATTTCTACCTTCTCTCTCTTCTGTCATCTATTAACCTCTGGTAATCCTCCAATTCAATGGTGATTATCACCTCCCAACTCCACCACCATCATTGAGGCTGATGAGCAGTAGATCCCCTATATCTTCACGTAAAATCCATCAGGCACCCTAACCGTACTTCCTTAATATCCTTAACAGACCACACCCCCACTGAATTTTAGCTACTTAATCATCAAGGTCAGATCTTAAACTTGTCATCACTTAGAATTACATTAAAATTTCAAGTCCAAACATACTTCCCCAGATAACTTTTATCCTTTTAAGTCCTTCCATTCAGATATTCATCTGTTCTTCCATACCATTAGAAGAGCTCCTATCCATTTGAACCCTCTATTTTTGGCTCAATGCATCCCTTTAGTTCTTTATTCTTTCCTCATTCATCTTTCATTCCTAGGACAATCATTTCCTTTCCAATATCCTCCACTATCCTTTTCTTGCACATGCCCAGCAAAACTCCAACCCTAGATTAATCCAAGTTCTTGTCTTTTCTGCATGTACTATCGGACAAAAATTACACTCTCAAGGACTTAGTAGTGCTATACTTTATGGCCTTAAGTCTTAATTGCATAGGAATTTGTCCATCATTTTTGTTGCATGATACTCTATGTTTATAATACTTTTCCACTGTACAATTTCTTGTATCAAAAGACTAGAAAATAACCTGTGCCCTCGATTCACCCTTTTCCCCCAGGTAACTCCTGGCAACCACTGATCCTTTTACTGTCTCCATAGTTTTGCCAAATAGATTTTTCTTCTTTTTGGGATTCCGAACCTTTTTGGACTCATATCTATAGTTTTCAGGAGGGCAAATTTTTAGCCATTATTTCATCAAATATTTTTTCTTCTGTCATCCCACTCTTTTTTCTTCCTAGAACTTAATTACATATAAATGAGATCTTTTGGTATTATTTCATGGCTGACTCAGGCTTTTTGTTTTCTTTTAAATCTTTTTCCTTTCATGGATAATTTCTGTTGATCTATCTTCAAGGCCCCAGACTCTTTGTCATCTCAAATCTACTGTTAAATCCATCAAGTAGTGTTTTTTTGTTTGTTTGTTTTTCTTTTTTTGTAATTTCAGTGACTATTTTTTGGCTTAATCATTCCCATTTACCCCTCTGGTAGTTTCTCTAAAATTTCACGCCCCACCCCCACCCCCCCTTTTTTTTTTTGAGACAGAGTCTCACACTGTTGCCCAGGCTGGAGTGCAAGCTCCACCTCTCAGGTTCACGCTATTCTCCTGCCTCAGCCTCCCGAGTAGCTGGGACTATAGGCACCCACCACCATGTCTGGCTAATTTTTTGTATTTTTAGTAGAGATGGGGTTTCACCGTGTTAGCCAGGATGGTCTCTAACTCCTGACATTGTGATCTGCCCACCTTGGCCTCCCCCTATCTTTTTATTCATTGTTTATATTTCCTTTACATGCTTAAGCATAATTGTGTTTGCTGCTTTAAAATCCTTGTCTGGGTTATTTCTGTGTTGGTCTCTATTCATTACCTTTTCTCTTGAGTATGGCTCAAATTTTCCTATTTCTTTGTATACTTGAGGGGTTGGCAAACTGACCTGCTGGCCAAATCCAGTATGTGGTTCATTTTAATAAAGTTTTATTGGGATACAGTCATGCCCATTCGTTTACATATTATACATGGCTGTATTTATTCTACAATGGCAGAGTTGAGCAGTTGCACCAGAGGCCTAAAATACTTGTAACACCTAAAATACTTATCTGAACATTTTTTTGTTCAGATCGGCCTCTGGTACACCTAGTTTCTTATTCAATCTTAAACATTGTGTTAATTTGTTGCCAAGACTCTGGATTCTATTATATTCCTCTGAAAACTATTGTTTTACCAAGCAGTAAACTTTGCTGGACTCAAAAGTCCAAACTATCATTCCTGAGATTAACATCAGGAGAAATCTGTGTTTCTTTCTTTCAGCCTTGGCTGGGCTGCTTGGAGTCTGCCTTGTGTATACCAAATTCAGTCAAATATACAAGTAGAGTTCAATTACAGTTATTTATTTTTTGTCAAGCTTTAGTTGTTTCACATGAAGTTAACTGGGGCCTGTGTTCAGGCAACAAGCTATAAAGACAGAACACTCAGTGCTATTTTTTTCCAGTGTCAACTCCCCCTCCAGTTTCTGCCTGTTATTGGTTGCTCTCCAGTGCTTTTACTTTCAGTATTTTTCCAGAATTGAGAATGAGTTACGGGAGGCCTGGTCAGAAAGGAATTACTCCTCCATTACCTGAAGCTGGAAGTTCTTCTATAAACCAAGTGTCTCCTTGCCTCCAGTCTTATTCCTGTAGCAAATCCATTCTCCGCTCTGCAGCAAATCCAAAGTCATTTCTAAACTGCAAATCTGATCATATTCAACTGCTTAAACCCTTCAATGCTTAATCACTCGTCCTTCACTCTGCTCTAAAACAAGCCAAGACTCCTAAAAAGAAACAGCAGTCTTTCAAGATCTGACTTCTATCTGTGCAGCCTGGTCTCTCATCATTTTGCCCCCAGCTTCCTTACATTCTTCCCTACTTTGAAATTCCTCTAAAGCCTCATTTCCTGCAAGCCCTAGATTTTTGCACTAGGTGATTTCAATGCCTGCATTTCTTTTGACACTGAACTAGATAATTCTTCCTCATTTTTCAAGCCTTAACTCAGTATTTCCTTTTATAGGAAACCTCTCAATGCTGCAGTTTAGGTTGGATGCCTCTCCTATGTGTATTCACAGTGCCTGAGCTTCTATCATAGTTATTTTATTGAGCACTTGTGTTTATATCTCTCACTACACCGTAACTTACAATTTCAAGTTTTCCACTAGAACTCGGGACAGCCACTGTGTATTATTTACTGTTAAATCCCAGGACCGAACCTGGCTCTTGGTTCATAGCATATACTTGATGTGCTGAAGATAACATTTTCAAACGGTATGAAGTGATAACTCTTTTCAGAACTGTTATATTACCAGTGCCAACTCTCATCTTGCCACGGGTTCATCCAAAAGCCATTCATTCATTCAACCTACATCTATTGAGTGTTTAGCACGTGCCTAGTCCAGTGGTGGTCACAGTAATCCAGAGGTAACTGACAGAGCTACTGCCATGGAAGAGTTCACAGCCTAATTTGGAAGCAAATGAATAAATGAATTATAAATATCATACTAAAGCAGAAGCATGAATAAGTAACTAGAAATAACAGCTGATGGTAATAAAATTACATTTGGAATTAACACTGGGGAATGTAAGAGTTTCCAAGCAGAAAAAATATTGCATTTACACAAGCAATTAAATGTGCTCAGGGCATAAATAGGCAAATCCAAAAAGTGGATCTAGAACAAGCAAATTAACATTTGGAAAAATAGCTTCTCTAGCAATTTAATGACAATGAGACACTGTTTTTGCTTAAAGTAATGCCTAAGGCTACTTAAAAATTCCACAACTGAGGGGCCGGGCGCGGTGGCTCACGCCTGTAATCCCAGCACTTTGGGAGGTTGAGGTGGGTGGATCACAAGGTGAGGAGTCCGAGACCAGCCTGGCCAACATGGTGAAACCCCCGTGTCTACTAAAAATACAAAAAAAATTAGCCAGGCTTGGTGGCACATGCCCGTAATCCCAGCTAATCGGGAGGCTGAGGCAGGAGAATTGCTTGAACCCGGGAGGCGGAGGTTGCAGTAAGCCGAGATTGGGCCACTACACTCCAGCCTGGGTGACAGAGCGAGACTCTGTCTCCAAAATAAATAAATAAATAAATAAATTCCACAACAGTAAAAGTTGAGGAAAATGAACTTTCATATTCTCTAATGGTGGGAGCATAAACTTGGTAAAATGTCTTTGGAGGGCAATTTGGCATAAGATAAAAAAATCTTGAAAATATTAATTCTAGTAAGTCTACACCTGAAAACCTTTCACAAAAAGCAACACTATATATATATATATATATATATATATATATATATATATGCACACACACACAAATTTATGTAGAATGGTATTTATTAAAATATCATGTGTACTAGTGCAGACTAGAAATGGTAATGTTTAAATTACTGTATATCCGTTATACTATTCAGGCATTAAAAATCTTGTTTTCCCAATATTTAATGACACAATATGTGGTTAAAAATGCATATACAACCATACAAACCATTTTACATTTTGGTGCATAAGATGTTCATACATAAACTAACAAAAAGTGAAATTATGGACAATTTAAAATTTTTATACTTTCTGCATTTGCCTAATTATCTAAAGCAGAGGTCAGCAAAGTTTTTCTGTAAAGGCATACTTCAGATTTCGTGGGCCATAGGTCTCTATCATAACTACACCTCTTGTTGTAAGGCAAGAGCAACATAGACAATATGTAAAGAAATGAGCGTGACTATGTTCCAATAAAACTTTGTTAGGTGACTAGCCAGATTTAGCCAGCAGACAGTACACTAGTTTACTGACCTCTGATCCAGCATGAAAGTGTATTAGTTTTACAATAAAACATGTCATTATTCCTTTTAATGATTCTAGAATACGAGGAAAATGGGGAAAAAATGGAACTTATTTTTAATTATCCCTCCATGTGTATATGTGTTTTTTTTTTTTTAAGACAGTCTCGCTCTGTCACCAGGCTGGAGTGCAGTGGCGCAATCTCAGCTCACTGCAACCTCCAACTTCCTGGTTCAAGTGATTCTCCTGCCTCAGCCTCCTAGCTGGGATTACAGGCATGCACCACCATGCCCAGCTAATTTTTGTATTTTTAGTAGACGGGGTTTTACCATGTTGGCCAGGATGGTCTCGAACTCCTGACTTCAAGTGATCCTCCCGCCTCGGCCTCCCAACGTGCTGGGACTACCGGCGTGAGCCACTGCGCTTGGCATGTGTTATTCTTTTAAAATAAGTCATAATCTCCTTTTGGGCAGGCCCTTTATGCTTCTCTTTATCCCTTATATGCTTTATGAGTTGTCTATTCTCAGGAAGTATTTGCTGCCTTTAAAAAATAAATGATTACTTTCTTAATAACCTATGGTGAATCCAGGATCAAACCCTTGTAGCTAAGACACGGCACCATGCATGGGATCGTAACACACTTTCTTGAGGATTTTTCTAAAGCTATCAAATGGGCAACTCTTTCTGGCTCTTCCTTATAAAAACTTCCAACTAAATCATCCAGCTCATCCAGTGAATTAGCATTTTAATCCCTGCAGTTCCCTCACATAGATGACTAAATTTCAGATTAGCAATAACAAAGTGCTTCTCCAGGAGAGGCTGTTTGGACAGTATAAGCATTCTAGAATACTGGCATTTTTGGTGTCTTGTCTGCCCACAAATAGGCTACTCTTGGCCTATCCCTTCCCCCACCCCGCCCGCCCCCCACTCAGTCTATCTTCCACCCATCCTACTACCCCTCTATCACCACCTCTTCATTATAAGAGCTCCCCTGTCCCTTTTAAAATACATATACCCATCTAACTTCCTTCTAGTTGTCCTTTGTCTTTTGTGAATTTTTGAAATTTTGAAGCTGAAATCATCCTATGCTGCAAGAGATCATACCACTGTTGTTTAGCACCCCCACCTTTTTTTTGAAGACAGGGTCTCACTCTGTCACCCAGGCTGGAGTGCAGTGGTGTGATTTCGGCTCACCGCAACCTCAGCCTCCTGGGCTCAAGCGACCCTCCCACCTCAGCCTCCCAAGTAGCTGGGACTACAGTCATGTGCCACCATGCCCAGCCCGTTTAGGCTTTTGATACAAGCTTCATATCCTTGACTTCTAAATTTCCATGAGAAATGTGTATTATCCTATAAACACTGGACTTTCTCTCTAGTATTACTCCTAATAACTTTCCCCAAAAGTTAAAAAATTGTATCAACCTCCAATATTGATACAAAACTAAACCACAGAAATACTATGAGAACACACAGGTTTCTATTTTCATAACAGTGGTTTAGTAAAGGGTTTCTTAAGCATGATCAAACTTGCAAATTACAGAAAAGATTGCCTTTGGTACCAAATAAATGAAAAAAAATTATAGAAAAGATGGACAGCTGTGACTTTACACAAATATAAAACTTATGTAAAAATCAAAACAGTAAATTGAAACATGAAAAATACATAACATGGTTTTCCTACAAGGTCTAAAAACAATTTTTTAAACATGAGTATACTAGGGAAGAGTAAATCTCATGAAAAGGTAATTCACAAAGCATGAAAAGATGACCAACCTCACTAGTAATTCAAGAAACATGAAATACTCGTTATCACCTTCGACATATCAAATTGATAATTAAAAATAACCAGTGTTATCAATATTCCAGAGGAATAAACATCCTCAAAAACTTACAAGAACCCAAAGTTGGAAAAACTTTCTGGAGGACTATATGAATTAAAAGAAACATCCACTGTAGGGATTGATTTATGTGGAAACTAGTGTTGGGCAAAGATGTTAAAAGGCAGCTCATGACCAGAAACAACGTCAACAACCTAAGGTTCCATTAGACAAAGGAGGACAAACTATGACCTGCAGGCCTGGTTTTTGCAAGAAAAATTTCACTGGGACAAAGCTGAGCTCACTTTTTTTTTTTGCTTACAGCTGCGGCTGTTTTTGTTCTAAAAAAACAGAGTCCAGTAGTTAGGACAGAGACCATATCACCAGCAAAGTCTAAAAATATGTATTAGCTAGCCACTTAAAAGTTTGCAGACCGCTGTACAGGAGACCAGTGAAGAAATTTATGCTCTGACCAGAGACAGTCATATAGTGCAGTTACTACACATGCTTTTGCACACTATTTAATGACAGAAAAAGGTACTGTTAAACCTTTAAAGCAGATAATAGTTACACAAATTGTACACAATAAAACAATTATATAGAATGTATATACACACACAAATTAGCTAGGGAAAAAATATACACCAAATATTTTGATAGCAGTGATCTCAGGATGATGAGGTCAAGCATATTTTGGTGGCAGAGGGCTCTCTTTAAAAAAAGTTTTGTAAAAAGGCAAAACAGATGTGTAAAGTGAATGCTTTTAAAATTTCAAAGGCAAATAGGGTGTAAGAAAAACAGCTTTAAACAACATTTCTTTAATATCAGGAACCACTGCGGCTCTACAGCCAGTTTCCAACATCCGGGCCATACCTTGGCCAGCAGGGTGCTTAACACATGTATCCTCCTCCTCAATGATGCCACTCCTCTGAGCTACTGCTCAAATGTGCACCAGCACCAAGAGATATTTCGGGTGTCCTCAGGTGCTTTTGTCATCTGCAGAGCTTCCTTCCTCTTCCAGTGACTGACTTCATGGTGATAGCAAAACCTGTGCTCTTCCAATTTTCCTCTTCCACAATATCTTCCAGAGGAAGTCTACTGCCTTTGCATTTATCTTCATTGCACGGCATCGCCTAATGACTTTACCTGTGTGACGCTGATACCAGCATATTTCTCTACTTTTTAAATAAATAAATCACTCACTGCACGAACTCCTGACTCCTAGCAACACATGTATAAAACTACACACACACCACAAGGAACTTAATTCAAATGTACTTTCACAGAATTTTTTTCTCAATCTCCTTTTTAAGATTCTCCAGAGTGATTTTAGTATAACAAATTAAAAGCTATATACAAAAATGATTTACGTAACATAGACAGAGCCTAAATCAGTGCCTCTTTTTCTTGAATTTGCATACAAATCACCTAGGGATTTTGTTAAAATGCAGATTCTGATTTATTACCCTGGGATGGGGCCTGAGATTCTGCATGATTAACAAGCTTCAAGGTGACTACATCCAGGCTGTAGGTCCTCAGACCACATTTTTAGTAGTAAATGACTGTAATCATCTTTAATGCCTTAGGTGAAATAATATATGCTATACAGAATTCCAATCGAATACTACTTCACACTAATTTTAAACACAACTATTATTAACTGTTATACCTTGTTCCATGTTCTTCATGCCAGAGAGATCTGGAAAGGAATTATTTTGCATTAAGTACTTTCACCAACAGTCAGACACACACACACACACACATATACCCCCACACCCATACCCACACCTACCACCCTTTAATCAAATGCCCTGAAGAGAAAACCTGTCCAATGTATTTTGGACCCCAATACAGCATAACCCCAATATACAGGCCTCTTTTCTTCCTGCTTCCTTTTCTCTTCCCCCCTTAGTCTTCCATCTACTGCTCCTTCATAAATCTGTATTAGGTCGGATTGAGATGTCTTTACTCTCCCACAGCCCCACTTCCCTGCCCTTGGTGTGGACTTACATATACACCATACTCCCTTCTAGAAGACCAGTTCCTTCAAGGCACTGTGGTGGAGTGGTTCTGCATACCTACTCTTGAGCTGGATTCAAAGCTCAGTTCTGCTACTTACTTTACTTGAGCAAGTAAACCATCATTTCTACGCCTGTTTTGTCTGGTAAAATAGAAATCATACCTACATATAAGATTGTGAAAATTATAGGAAATATTATTTTAAAAATCACTTAGCAAAGTGGCACCAAATATAACACCTACTAAATGGAAGCTACTACGACAAGGACATACAGCATTTAGTGTGATTTCTTTTACATGAGCAGTTCTCAAACATCACTGAAGTCAAAATTGTTCTGCATTTTAAAGTATTATTTCTTAATAAGAAAAAAAACATTCAATGTCTCTGGCCTGCTAGAATTTGCAAGTTTCTCTAACATTTCCATAGTTTAGAATACTGGAAATCTTATCTGGAAGGCCTGGCAATTCCTCTCTTCTCTCCTTATTTGGGAGACCTACCCAAATACAGTTAGCAACTAAAATAGAAAGGCTGAAACAGTATTGTTCTAAAATCATATTATGACTTATGTATTCTAAATTTATATTCTTCTTTGATAACTTTATAGAAATTTAGTCTGAATCGATACTGATAACCATAAACATTTTAAATGCTTAAAACCCTTCAAGGATTCCAAAGAATTTTACTTAGTTCCTTCTTTAAAACGTTTAAAAACCTTAAAAGTTAATGCAGAAAATAGGGCAATTAATACTTGAGTACAGGATGGCTGAGAAACTTGCAGAGCTGGTAGCAACACACACACACACACACACACACACACACACACACACACCCTCCCACCCACCCACCCACCCACCCAATACAGATTCAAGCATATCAAATCCCACGCACAACACAAAAATAAAACATCCACATTCAGACACATCACAGTGAAACTAACACACACCAAAAAAACAAACAAAAAAAACAAAAACAAAAAAATACAACAGCCATTTCTATGTGTTCTAGATGTAGGGTAGGGTGAAGAAATAAGCTTTTAAGTCTGCATAACAACCAGTTCAACCAGAGGATCTGAATAAGTTATCCTTCTCTGATTTTTAAAAAATTATGAAACTAGAAGGAAGTTTAGCAGTTATCTAGATTTTTCAATCTCTAGATTACAGATTAAGTTATTCAGCCTAAAAGTTAAATGACATCATTAGCAATACGAAAGTCCCAGTTTGTGCCTCTGAAATCCCAAAATGAGATAAATGAATAAAAACGTAAATTTAGTTGATCCAATTAATGCCTTAAACTTTTAACACAATTCATAAATGAGAAAATGCAAGTAGAAAATCATGAAAAAAAATCCAACTCACTAGTAATCAAAAAAAAGAAAAAAATGAAGAATCCCCTGAAATCAGCAATCATTAAAAAGAACTGGAGTAAAAATGGCCCACGTGCCTTTTTTGGTATTCCATAAATTAAAACAATCTCTTTAAATAGTAATTAAGTTGAGAGGATGTTAATCCTTATAAGCCAATAGTGTGATTTACAAATATTTAATTCCCAGACATAATCCAAATGAAAAGTTAGAGGTATTCAATTAACATTATGAAAAATGACAAATGACCACAAAATCTACATTGCAGTACAGAAGAGGAGACGTATCAATGTTCTTAAGATGTACACTGTTCACTCGGCAATTCAATTTCTAAGAAAACATGACTCCAAATCATGTGTACAGGTAAAATAAAAATAAAAACACAGGTAAAATTCCTGATGTTGAAAATTGGAAACAATATTAACATTTGTCATAGAGATTAATTATGAGAACTCCATATAATGAAACTTCATTGGAAGAGAATCTGGTTCTATATTTGACACTGAAAGAAAACCATGATATATTGAGGAAAAGGTTACAAAATAGTAAGCATAATATGATGCCATTCTGTAAGAAGTCTTTATACTTATCCATAAAACACAATCCAGACATACTTATACCTGCACAAGATTACAAACTTTTCTCTATTTTCAAATTCCTTACAATAATTATGTATTTTCACCATCAGAAAAAATAACAAATGTAAATGTATTTTGTTTGGAAGAAAACTCGTATGTAGGAAAAATTCAACATTAATCCATTTATGCTGGAAGTTGCAAATTTTTTTGTGAAAAATTAGACCTTGGCAATGACCTTGAGCAGTAGGATATAAATAATTCCCACAAGCTTAGCATTCCAATAATGGAACACTAGGCATAAATGGGTTAAAAATTAACTGGTTATGATCACAACAAAATATTTCACATTGGCAGGAAGCAAATGTGGAAGGAAAAAACTCCAAATTTGGGGTAGGAAGGCTGTGAGTAGTCCTTACAGTTTCCAACAGTGCTTGTGAAACAGGTGTTTTTTTTTTTTTTTTTAAATATCCATACTCATTAAAACTGCTAGAATGAGGAGCTTCAAAGCAGGAATACAATATTGACAGGAAGATTAATTTTAAAGTCAGACAGAATTCTACTCCTGCCACTTACTAATTAGCTGTGCAATCCTGGTCAAGCGAACACTTGTGTTTTCTTCTGACAAATACTGCCTTAAAGGGTTTTTGTGTCCATTAAATGGGATCAATTAGATGAGGTAAATGGCACAAGTTGGTGATTTAAAAATTGTCAAAGTTGCTGACACTTGGCAATTTTTATCTACAAAAACGTGTTTTCTATGTTCAATCTAACAACTATTATTTTTTAATTATTATTATTTTTTGAGACAGAATCTCACTCTTGTTGCCCAAGTTAGAGTGCACTGGCGCAATCTCAGCTTACTGCAACCTCCACCTCCCTGGTTCAAGCAATTCTCCTGCCTCAGCCTCCTAAGTAGCTGGGACAACGGGCACCTGCCAACCATGCCTCATTTTTGTATTTTTAATAGAGATAGGGTTTTAACATGTTGGCCAGGCTGGTCTCGAACTCCTGACCTCAGGTGATCCACCTGCCTCAGCCTCCCTACAGGCGTGAGCCATTGAGCCCGGCCTAACAGCTATTATTCTGAAATGTTTAATTCCACTTTCCAAAGCATTACTGTCTAATTTAAACACATATTCCAAATGGTTGTGGGCAATTTTGTTTTGAATGAGATCTCATTTTAAAGTTGGAAAAGTGGAATTATCTGAATTTCCCAACCCAAAGCCAGTTAATGGCAGAAAAGAACACAGGCAATTTAACTCTGGTATAGTACTTTTCACAGAGCCCCAAATCTTGAGGTCAGCAAAAATCATTAGCATACCATTTGAGAAAAAAAATGAAGAAAAATAATTTGAATAGTTTCTCATTAAAGAGGCTAAAACAAACATTAGTTCTCTCCTCCTTGTCCCCCACCCTCAGGTGGTGGAAATACTCATTGATTCTAAGGAAACAAAATTTTCTTCTGTGTTCTGGTGATGGTTAGTGAAAATAATTTAAACAAGATGTACAGAATAATCAAGATGGACTCATAACAAATAATAGTCAGTGACCACTACAGAGAAATAAGATTAGGGATGTGACAAACACAGTTCAGCATTTACCTTCTAAACTTCAACAGTAGTAAGGTAGGTAAATTCCCATTACAATGCTTTCTTAAAACCAACTTCCATCAATGTGTACTCCAGAAAAAAAAAAATCCATCTTTGAAAAAAAAATATTGCAAATTAAGTAACAAATAGATCCTGCTTTTTAAAAATGAAGACTTTTTAATTGAAAAATACAGAAAAAAATGGCAAAACTTATTAATTAATGGAAAACACGTTAAGCTGGAAGTAAATGCATGAGCTGCTTTACAGAAATGCATAATGTGAGTGATGAAAGGAACAAATATTCTTCCAATTTTCCAGATTTGACACTCATTTAAATGAAAGAGGCTATTCCCAAATGGTACACAAATTCAGAAGTCTTTATTTTGAAAAAAATTCTTCCAACAGTATTTCACAATGAACAAGAACTTAACCAAATTTATCTATCATACTAAAGTATTTCAGAAATGAATATTGAAAACAGCCTGTAAGTTTTCATCCAATATTTAAAACCACCTCCTGAACTAAAATTGGTCTTCAAAAATCATGGCGTATTAACATTTTCCAAACATGCCCTGCTGACTAGAAGGTCCTGTTATTCTTTCTTTTGAACTTCCCAGTAAGTTTCCTTGTTCCCTATTCCTAGGATTTAAAGTGCAAAGGTACTTTTTATGAGCTATTAGGACAAGTATTCTTCATTGAAAATAAACTTTTGCAGAAAACAAATCCTGTGCTTGACTAACAGCAAAGACATGTTAAGAAATTTCTGAGCTCCAAACCATGAGGAATCAGAATCACAACTTTCAGAGTAATAACTCACATTTTTTCTAAAGCATAGGAAGCTAATTTTGTATAATGAACAAATGTGGTTGTGCCAAAATAGGTTTTGCCACAGTTAATTTCCACTTTCTCTTCTTAAAAATAAGGTATAGTCTAAGCTAATGTAGATAAGGAAAGGCACGATACCAACAAACTGCAAAACAAAGTATAGCCCCAAGCCATGCACTTTTTAGAGTCATGAGTAGGGACAATGAAAAAATTAAGGTGCAAAATAGATGTGAACTTCCACAATCTTTCAATGGACTGTCTTAACAGTTTAATTTAAAAGCATAGGCTTTTTCATATATCTTCAGATAGTCAGAGAGATTTTTTTTCTTCTTTAAATGGAAGAATTTCTTAAATGGAAGCACAAGATCATACCTACACAGCTGGTGAGCCTCAAAATAGAATAATGTCTACTTTATTAATAAAGTTTCCAGTCAGGCAGAATCAAGAGTAATCTTCATATATGCATAAGGATATTATCATTATAACAATATTTTTAGTAGAAAAGTCTATAAACAAATGTTCTCCCAAAGGGACATCCATATAATGGAATCCTGGAGACATTAATGTTAGAGCTGGAAGGTGGCAATATGGAAAGACAACCAAGTTAAACAAGAACCAAGTCACAAACTTGAACATTTAAAATAAGAACAGGAAGAGGCATACAGAGAGAGAGCCATATATAAAATAAACGATAACATTTCTTAAAGACTACACAAGAATACAAGAAATTATATGCCTCTGGGGTATGAGAATAAAGTCACAGAGGGAGACACACTTTTTGACTTTATGCCCTTTGTGTATACTGCATAATTTTTAGAAATCATAAGCATATATTATAGCATACAAAAAACCTTTAAAGTCTTTAAAAAACCTGATTGTAACCAAAGCATTCTATGAAACATTGACTATGTAAGATTAGTTTACAATCCCTTGCTGCCTTTAGTTAATGATCATATAGTCAAAATTAGAAGGCTCCTTGGCGTTTGCTTCCTCTGTCTCTCCACTCAAGAATGAGGGAAGATGCTGAGAATTTAGAATTCAAATTTTACTCTCATTGCTTAAATTGTAACTTGGATAACATCTCAAGATTTCAGAGAACCGATTAAAAAATTAATCTATGGGCATTTTAATCACCATCTAAAATATTTTATCTAGGATCACTTATCTTTTTTTATAAAAGCTCAAATCACAACATTCTCTTTTCATCAGTCCCTACAGCCCTGTGTTGGACAAGCACAGATGTCAAAAATACACTTAAATATACGTTGAATTTTTATCCACTAGAATAAAATAAGCAGAATGATATGCATTCTTGGCGATAGTCTTCACTGGAAAATACCACTGTCAGCCCAAACTTACACAACTGACTTCAAAATCAGACTAAGATGTGGCATAAGAAGAGCTATTTCCTACCTTCACTATATATTCAGGATTTGCCAACTCCAAGGCCTTGAAAAACATGTGAATGTTTGAGACTAAGAAAAATTGGGAATGGTAAGCTAGTGGCCACCTTAAGAGTACATGCCCCATTTCAAAAAGATGGATTCAGAATGCAACGTTTTAAAACACTGTGCTGGTCACACAAAACAGAACTGCAGACAGAATTCAGTGTAAGCCTTGAATGTGCAACCCCTATAAGAGCACAATAATTGGACTTTTTAAAACCAAGGTTCACGATACTTGGGTCTTTGCAGATTAAATACCTCAGTGCCCAGTATATCTCTAAAAATAAACAAGTGTTCAAATGCTTGCTAAATGAATTAACAATATAAAAGCTCTCCAAATACTGGATATAATCATCAAATGACCAATACATTTAATTAATGAGTTGTGGAATTGTATGTCCTTTGCTGTGCTGAAGCTGGTTTGCCAAGGCTTGGGAAAGCCACTGGTTGGCTATCTCTTTCATCAAACTGCATTTAATGACATCAGATTGGCAGGTAAAATCACCATGAAGACAGTATTTATACCATAAATATTAGTAAATGCTACAAAACAGGGCCTTTTTTCTTTCATGAAAGATGGTTGTTAAACATTCAGCAGCACAACACTGGATTACATCGTGGTTATATATTCATCTGTTCACAAACAACCACGTGAAAAGTTTAATGTCACTAAGTTTTAAAACATAAAAAGAAAAACTTAACTAATGAGGATGAATACAACAGGTTAAATACAAATTTTAATATCACCTTTTAAAAAATAAATTTTAAAAGTGTATAGGCCACAAACTGTATCAATAAAGGTGGAATGCTTTACAAAATAGGAGTCTGTGATACTTCAGATGAGTCTTCAATCTAAAGCACGCTCCACTAGTTACCATATTAATTTACTTCTAAAGTTAAAAAAAAAAACCAAGAATAAACTGTACTGATTTCATCAAATTATGAAAGGAATTCAAGTGATTAAAGTTTTTTTAGATATACAAGACAAGAACGTTAACTTGTTCAGAATTTCAAAATATTAAGAAAGAATGCATTCATATATAAATGTGATAGCATTTAATCCAAATCTGTTCCCCAGAGCAAAAAGCTGCCACTAGCTTAACCTCTCTATGCTTTGCTTCTTTCATCCTAAAAGTATAGGTCCACTGCAGGGATTGTAAGAGATGAAATATGAAAATTGTTTTACAAATGACTATCTCATACACAGCCCATAATACCACTGCTATTATTACCTTGAAGTAGTGTTAAAAAGTCTGCAATTTCAGTTCTCACTAGCAAACAAAAAAAACCCAGGGAATAGTTATGTTTGCCCTGCAAGTAAATACTGTTCTAGAAATACACAAATTTAAAGTATAGTGGTTCTCAAAGAGTCTGGAGACCCTTAATGGTCCCTACAACCCTTTCTTTGAAAGGCTGTGAAAAGTCAAACTATTTTCATTGTACTACTGAGATATTACATAGTTTTCATTCTCCTGATCTCACAAGTGCACAGTGGAGTTTTCCAGCGTGTGTATGCTGTGTAATTTTTAAGTTGGAATGCAAAAGCAGCATGAAAATCTCACTGCTTTTATTAAGCCAGATTTAAATGCATAAAATGTAAAACAATGTTCCTGTTCTCATTAGTTTTTGTTTTGGAAAAGTTATTTTTATCAAAAATGGTATTTATGTTAGCAAGTTATTAGTTTATTACTGTTATACTTAAATAAATAAACATGTTTTAAAAATATCTCAGTATTAATTTTAATACAATAAATTCTCAGAGATACAAGCTACATCAACAAAGCTGTTGGGGAGTGTTAAGGTTCTGAAACTAAAATGCTCCAGAGATGTTGGTACAGTGGTAAACCAGCAGCCAGGTCACCCTCTCCATGTTGCCAATTGACAGGAACTGTACTAAAGTGGGTGTGTGTGCAGGGGGGCGGGGAATTTCACAGGTAAAGCACTAATGTGCTTTTACAAATTAACAGAAGGACTTATTTTGAGGAAGAAAGTGATTACCAAAACTCTATTTTCACAAAAATAATAAAATATTCTCTATTTCAAAAAATGGGGAAAAAATGTCTTTAAACTATGTCAAAAGTTTGCCATCCTGAAAAAAGATCTTTCCTGAACAGGGATATCTGCAGATACCTGAACAGGAAAAATGATGTGACTAAACCAGTAAGCCAGGAAATTTGAAGGTCTTCAGCCTTGTTACCTTCCAGGATTTTTTCTCCTTTTTAGTACTCAACATAATTTTGATGGTCTATATAAAACTAGAATAAATCTAAATGTAAAAGTCTAACGAAAGCTGATTTTCTTTAATAATAAACAGTGAATATCATGAGAAAAACCACTTTAAAGCTACCTCTCTTCTTTTTTTCATTTTTTAGAGATGGGATCTCACTCTATCCCCAGGCTGGTGTGCAGTGGTGTGATCGTAGCGCACTGCAGCCTCCAACTCCTGGGCTCAAGTGATGTTCCCACCTCACCTCCAGGTAGCTAGGACTCACAGGCTCTCACACCACCATACCCAGCTTGGGTCTCTTCTTGAACTAAACATTTTTATTTTATAAGCGCTAATTTAAAGTCAGTAAGAGCCCCCATTTAATTACAAACTTCAATAGTTACCCAGAAAAAGAAATAGTCTTTAAAATCATTTTGATAACAACTGTTTAATTTACTATTCAGATGGAAAGCCTGGTAGGATATTTGGGTAATGGTCTGTAATTAGGTAGCATAACTTTGTACACATGAATCAACTGGGACCCGATACAATCTAAAACAGAAATTCAAATATATTTTCCCTCAATGAAAAGGGCTGAGGAAGTCCTCCAAAATGTGGAGACATTTCAAGTCTACATCAACACACATCTGGACCTGTGCAGCATTCATTTAATTCTAAAAGAAGAGGCATACTGCTCAGAAAAGGGGCAGAGATTTCCCAGTCATCTTGCTTATTAAAACGGTTTAGATAAACCACACTTTTAGCTAGATGTACACTAGACAGCAATGTTTTAACAAGTCTAAAACACTATACAGGTTTTAAAATACTATGATAACAACTCAGTCATCATTGCAAAAAGGCATTCAACATGAATAAAATGTTTGAGGAAACTGATGTTTACCTCTTTTAATACCAAAGCTTTTTAAAAAGTTTTAATCAATTTAAGATAAAACTTTTAAAATATGTACTACATATCTGTGTATGCAATTTCACCTTTACTTAATTACCTAGAGGCATAATAAAGAATAATCATCAGATGATGTAGTATAGTGATGTCCTCTAGGCTGGGTAGCGGTCCTTACACTAATGGCCTTGGACAGTGTATGCTCTCAGAGTGTTTTTCAGTCTCCTTCCTTTCAAGCCATCCCTTCTAAACAGCTAATATGCTATAGTCTGGACAAGCAAATAATTAAATTTATTAAAATCTCTCATAAAAACAAATGCATAAGCTCTAACACACAGACTTTGTGACTTATATGGGTTGCTCAGAGGCATTTTTAAAAAAAACGATTCCAAGTTTCTGAGTTGTGTTCGGTTTTCACAAGACTGCCAGATTACCTCTAGATGAATGAGGCATTACTGTACATAGATACTTAAACAAGTTCATTTGAATATTAACAAAAAGATATAACTAAACTTATTATCTTTTCCTTTAAAACAAAGTATTCCGTAACTTTAAGGTAACACTGAGTTCCAGTTTCTTTCCCCCAAAAAACAAACATAAACAAATATCCTATAGATAATATCAGTTTGCCCAAAAAAAGAAAGAAAAAAACTGAGGTGCAATAATGTCACAGTTAATGCATGTCTACTTCCAATACATTCAAAGACAATTTTTTTTAAAAAAAATCAATAGTTAAAATAGGCCTTTTGCAGTCTGAGAATTCAAGATACTTAGAAAAATTTGTAAATACACATACATGCAAATTCTTCATATATACAAATTTCACAAAATTAATAAGCTGCAAAGAAATTAGTAGGATTATGGTAAATCTGACAAGCTACATTTAAATGCTTTACCACTGGCATATTCCTGAATGTAGCAGTCATAGTAGTTTTAATAAATTTTCTACATGGCCTTTTTATAAAAAGTCACTAAGAAGTCTTTTAAGAATTCAAGATGTTCTCAATTCACTACTCATATTTAAGGCCACTTTGGTAAAGGCATTGCAGCAAGAACACAAAAACAATAGCATATTTTATAATATTTATTTTTTTTCACCTGCAAACTGTAGCAAAACATGATCAGCTTTATTATGCAGACAGGTATCCCTCTACATTTTAAAAGAATTTAGGCATGTATAAATAGAAGAGCTCTTTAGAAAGGAAAAATTCAAGAATGAATAAAACCTTCCAATTTTGACTCTGTTACTTTCCAGTAGCAATGGTTAAAATGATTTTAGGTCATTCATTCCAAGATATATGACAGCACCTTAAAAGTGGCTGATCTATTTCCCCAGTAACATTTCTCACATAACAATGTGTTAAAGTTACAAATACTGATATGCACAAATAGCTAATTTCTAAGAAAAATATGTACAGTACTGCAGCATAATGAATGTGGTATCTGCAATAACTTAATATTAGCCAATTTTAATATACATGATACCGCTACCCTTTTCTGCCAATTCACAGGTTAGAAGGTGTTACTGGAGCCCTCGGTTTTGCACATATTACCTGGTGTTTAATACACAATGCAGGCTTTTTAAAGACTTCTCTTGTGTTTAAAGCTAAGATCAGTGAAACAAGACAACAGTGCAAGAGGTGGAGAGATGTAATGTGACCACATAAAAGTTCGTTCCAGTAAATTGTCTATATAAGGCTATAAGAAAGGATTGGTTGATGAGCTTCCTGTTGGAAATTGTCCTGTTGGTGCACCAGTCTAAAGGAAAACATAAGACAAATAAATAAAGAGACAAAAGTAGTGCATGTACAAAATATAAAAACATTAAACTGAATTTAATTTTTTTAATTAGACTTTTTGGTTAAGAATTATTTTTTAAATTATTGGCAATAATATTTGTTATTGGCAATAAGCTATATCAAACTACTATGTGTCATGAACTGTGCTACGTCTTTCATATCCAGTACTTCAAACAGTTCTTGTAATAGATTCTAAGAAGAATCTTAGAATGGTCTTAGAAAAGCACGTGTGATTCAAACAAAACTTCTGACTCTTAAGACCTCTCTTTTATGTTCACTAATTCCTAGGGCCTCTCATAAAGTGTTATTTTGACAAGAAAGCAGATAAGTTTCATATTATAAAATAGCTGATCTACTGTCAATGCTTTGATTTGCAACTAATTTTTTAAAAACTATCAATGCTTTGATTTGCAACTAATTTTTTAAAAGGTCAGAAAAGGATCACACATAATGGCTCTGTGTCAATTTGTACAATCTTATGATGTCACTCATATCAATATAACACCAAATACCATCTAGGAATATTAACATCCTGCTATTCCTAATTTTAAAATAAGATTTAACAACTTATAAAGTATTTAATTTTAAATTTTGCTTACCATAAAAGGATTACTAGATACTCCAGCAGCTGCAACTTGACCAAAAGGGGTTACTACTGGCTTTGTTTGTCCAAATGCTGCAAAACCTGCACCTTGTTAAAATAGAACCACCAATTATAACCCATACCTTCAAGAGACAATCTGATGCTTATAAAGCCTCATAATAACTTTCAGAGACATTCCTACCAGAGCAGCAAAAATAAAATGTTAAAGTTAAGTTGTTAGGCCTCAAGCTCTTTCAGATACCAAAGACAAACTTACTGTAGCATGTCTTAAAATAACCTTTTTTTTTTTTTTTTTGAGACATGATCTCACTCTATTACCCAGGCCAGAGTCCAGTAGCATGATCATGGCTCACTGCAGCCTCAACCTCCAGGGCTCAGGTGATCCTTCCACCTCAGTTTCCCGAGTAGCTGGAACTACAGGCACACGCCAGCACGCCCAGCTAATTTTTGTATTTTTTGTAGACAGGGTTTCACTACATTGCCCAGGCTGGTCTCAATCTCCTGGACTCGACTGATCCACCTGTCTTGGCCTCCCAAAGGGCTGGGATTATAGGCGTGAGCCATCACACCTGGCCAAGAGAACTTTCATTCAGCTCTTTCATTCTAACTTGTCTCAATAACTAAAATTTATAGAATTTCATTACTAGACGAGCTTGTGACTATTTGGAACAGGCTGTGCAGACAACACAATGATTTCTATGTAAACATCACAGTATTTTGTAGGAAATATTTTTATTATTTATGGCTCTTCCAGGGTCCATATTTCAGATTTTTTTTTTTTTTTTTTTTTGAGATGGAATTTCACTCTTGTCACCCAAGCTGGAGTGCAATGGCGATCTCGGCTCACCACAACCTCCGCCTCCCGGGTTCAAGCAATTCTCCTGCCTCGGCCTTCCTGAACAGCTGGGATTACAGGCATGTGCCACCACGCCTGGCTAATTTTGTATTTTTAGTAGAGACGGGGTTTCTCTATGTTGGTCAGGCTGGTCCTGAACTCCCGAGCTCAGATGATCCGCCCACTTCAGCCTCCCAAAGTGCTGGGATTACAGGCGTAAGCCACCACGCCCAGCCCATATTTCAGATTTTTAAATAACCACTTACTTAAAAAAAAAAAAAAAGAAAAAAGAAACCACATAGTTGTGATTCAAGAATCTTCAAATCTATGCACTTCAAACTGAAGCAAATGAAATACGTAAAAATGTCGAGTTAATCTTCTTGTCTCTTTCTAAAATCAAATAACAAACTCTAACTACAGTATAGTTACCAAATTAGAAAAGTAGTCTATTTCACACACAAAAAGGTACACATTTCTGTCCTGAAAGGAAAAAAAAATCCCAACATTCTAGGTCTATAAATTCTCCTTTTAAAATCAAGAGGTATATTAGAACATGTAAGACGAAATAATCAGAAAAAGGCAATAGAAATTCTGAGAATGACGGGATGCTCTTTACATAGTCACTGATTTCCCATAAATTGTAACCTGCTCACAAAAACTTGTAAAATCACTTAGCTTTCTGAGGTCCAAATCACCAAAGGCTTTTATTTTTGTGTAAACACTCAGTAGATAATACTATAGTATTCTTTAGAAAAGTCTTCCTGCCCAAGCACACAACATTATGATATAAAAAGGATACATAAAATGAACTTACAGCTCGCCAAATGTTAGATCTTACCATTGGGCTGTTGAGAAAAAGCTGTCTGTTGAGGGAAAGCTGCTTGGGCTGGAAAGGCAGGCTGCTGAAAGCTGCCACTAAAGCTGGTGGGAAGACTGTAGGGAGCAGGAGTGCCGAATCCTGTGGGCATGCTCATGGATGCAGTGCCAAAGGTTGCCGCTGACAGAAGAGAAGGGCTGATCAGTTACATACAACAGGATATGTTTAGTTTCTCACAACATTGTAAATGTAAAAAGACATCATTTACCTTGAAAAATACTAAGATGTACATTAAAGGCAGGGTTAATTCCAAAATTCCAACAAAGTTAATGAGTTTTAGTGCTACACAGTTTAACGTAACTTGTAGAAATTTTATTCTTCTAAAACACAATGACCAGAATGAAACTAACTACTAAAGCTGTTGTTTGAAATCCCAAGACAATTTCTCAAATTATAAATTCAAGTCTAAACAGTAGTCTTGTGTTTTAAAGATCATGCAATTAATATGTATACTAGTATACATTTTTGTTTTTAGTTTTGTTTTGTTATATGCAGTAAAATAACAGCCAAAATTTTATCTCCTGAAGTATCTGTCATAACATAATATGTGTTCCTGCAAAAAAAAATTTTAAACCGCTGAAGAATAGTTCGCTAAAAAGAACAGGACTTATAGGACAAATAGTTAGTTACAGGCAGACCACTCAGAACCTATGCAGCTTTGTAACTACAGCCAGAGAAGAGAGATTCTCTTAACAACACTAACACAATTAAAAGGATATTTTCCTATTAAATCAATTCCATACACACACACACACACGACTCCCACCCTCTTATGGAAGGTAAATGAAGACAGCTTTGCGAGACTGAAGGAAGGTTAGGGCAACTGAGCTATCGAAATTAGTGTGAAATCCATAAAGATTAGAAGTGAAATAAGCATTCCTAGAAGAATGCAGAATAAATGGCCAAAGTGTTCAATGCTACTGTATTCTTCCTTGGCTTGCCATGCCTCGCTGGTATTACTTGGTGGACAGAGTATTACCACATCGGGAGAAATGTGTGTGAACAACTGCTACATATGTGGAATGCTGCCATCATTTCCCTCTTTACTATTCACTTACAGTATGTTATTTATTACTAGTGAATATTAAAAACAAAACCTCCAACTATGTGTTTTAGGAAGGGTCTCAGTAAAATAAGAGCCAATAATGTTGCTTTGAATATAGACTATTAGTAATTACATAATGAAATATTCTTAGCATGATGCAATCAAAATACCATGAAAATTCACTAAATTTCCTGATTTTAACAAATTTACCAATTTGTTCATTGATTTAAGGCACAGAAATTAAATACTAAAAAATATTACACGGAATGTCTTTTATTTTTAAAAAGCTGAAAAACAAGTAATAGATGTTGCCCAAAGTAATCCCTGTAGTCGTATGTTTGTAACAATGCAATTCTGCTCAATGAACCTAATTAGAATATTAAAAAATTACTTTTTTATTACTGATGCGAAAAAAAGGAAAAACAGGCCATTGGGAAGCAGGTGAATTAAAGAATAATAAGCACACTGCAAGGGTAACAGGAGGGCTTCATAACAGACGACAATGCACCGACGTAACTTTGACAAATCACTTTAAGAGAGCACTTAAAAGCAAAACTTGAATACAGTTAAGCAAAACCAAACTCCATGGAATAATGCAGTAAAATGGTTTGGTATATCAAAAAGGCGTCACTCAAAGTACCATGAATTCAAACTCAAGAAAAAGAATCAAAATGGCTATTAACATTCTAATATGACCATGTAGGTAAGCAGTAATGCTTTTCAGCATTTACACATAAATCACTAAAAACATTTCCATGTAATTTTAAATACAATGTAATCCCAATGCCACACATCCATGCCCACTCCATTTTAAAACATGGAAAAAAACTTAATTCCACATGCAGGGATCCAGAACACTAGCAGAAGCTTCCACAAGCAGGTAGACAAATTGCCACACAAATCTAGATATTAATTGTGGCCACCTACCAAAATGAGCGTGAGGAAACACTTGAGAATGCATTGCTCCAGAAAGGCCTTATGGAAAGCCATAAAGAGACCAACGTCAATTAATTTATAGATAACTATTGTTAAAATAAAAGTATACTTGTTTCATTAAAAAGTTATAAAATTCGAGTGTACTGTTGCTAAGGGGGTAGCATAATACATAACAAAAACACATTCACAAAATAAGACTTTTAATTTCAACCATCTTCATGACCTGTAATATTTATACTGTTTAAAATAAAGGGGAGATTAGAATAATAAATAACAAATTAAGAAACAGTGATGAAATCAATTTTTTAAACAAATAGGCATCAACTTTTTTACAGTCATTAAAAAATGCTTTGTAGGCATCATAAGCTACATCTAAATACGCTATTCATAGGATCATATGAGATTATCCAGCATCTACATTTAGGATCAAAACCAAGTCTTGGGAGAGAGTGCATGAACAATGCTAGATTGTTTTATTTACAAATCAGCACATTAACTAGAAATACACAAATAACTCAAATGAACTAATTAAGTATTACAAGGGAAAAATTATTAAATATTCTAGTTCAAGAGAAAGGTAAGCGGTATTTACAGGTTAAAATACAATGGCTGAAAAGAAGAGAGAAAAAAGAAAAAGGCATCTTGTACAGATCTTACTCACCTGGCATGTTTGAGGACAGACAGGTTACATATAAAGTTAATAGAAAGTAAACTTAAATTGTTAAATACTAGTACCTTTTGTTTGTTCGGTTTAACAATCTGAAGATTGTGTCTAAAATATATTTCCATGGATTTAAAATTAGAATACTTTTTAAATTGGCATAAGAATGATTAAAAAATTGAATGGTTCTGAGTTGTGGTTCTGTCATTTTCTGGCTGCATGATGTTACTTTATTTTATAAGCTTCAGTTTCCTCATTTGCAAATGAGGTGGAGGGATAGAGACAATAGTATCTATACTTCACAAAGCTGCTGTGAAGAATAAATGTAACAACGAATTAGAGTGCTTTGCAATAAATACTCAATGAATGTAACTTTCTTGCTAACTTAAAAAAGTGTCACTGTGTTCCAAATACAAAAAAAAAAAGGTTAACTGAGGGAGAAGGGCCTGTGAAAAATTAATGTGGCCCTTATATTTATCTACTTTCTTTTTTTTCTTTTTGAGACGGAGTCTCGCTCTGTCGCCCAGGATGGAGTGCAGTGGTGTGATCTCGGCTCACTGCAAGCTCCACCTCCCGGGTTCACGCCATTCTCCTGCCTCAGCCTCCCAAGTAGCTGGGACTACAGGTGCCCACCACCATGCCCAGCTAATTTTTTGTATTTTTAGTAGAGACGGGGTTTCACCGTGTTAGCCAGGATGGTCTCGATCTCCTGACCTCGTGATCCGCCTGCCTCGGCCTCCCAAAGTGCTGGGATTACAGGCGTGAGCCACTGCACCCGGCCTTATCTACTTTATCTTAAAGCACTTTACAGGCTCAGAGCAGTCTTGCATTAATGACATTGATTAAACTGTGTTTATTCCAGCATTTCTCATATGTATTTAGACATAGAACACTTTTCCACAGAATTTTGCTAACAACATTACAGGAGACATGTTTCACAAAACGCACTGGCAAAAACTGACTTTTAGCCAACAGTGACTGTTAACCAATATTAATCACTATACCTCAGTCTGCAACAAAGATGCCCCCCAAGCTCTGGTCCTGAACTGCTCTAAACTTTTTTTAGACTTTTTACAGCTTTCTGAAATATAGTTCACATACTACACACAATTCATTCACTTACAGAATTCAATGATTCTTTAAATATATTCACAGGGATGTACAACCACCATCAGAATCTAATTTTAGAATATTTTCATCCCCCTCAAAAGAAATGTGATACCTATCAGCTGTCACTTCCCATGCTGCCCCACCACTACTAAAACCCTACCCCCTGGCAATCATTGATCTACTTTTTCTTTCCAATTCTGGACATTTCATACAAATGGCCACCACAAATATGTGGCCTTTTGTGACGAGTTTCTTCTGCTCAGCAGAATGTTTTCAAGGTTCATCCATGTTGTAGCATGTATCAATGCTTCATCACTTTTTATTATCAAGTAATTTGTCATTGTATGACTATTCGACATTTGGTTTCATCAGTTGACGGGCACTTGGGTTGTTTCTACTTCTTAGCGATGATAAATACTGATGGTATGAACATTTGTGTACAAATTTTTGTGCAGATCTATGTTTTCATTCCTCTTTGGTATATTCCTAATAGTGGCACTCTGTTAGGTTATATGGTAACTCCATGATGACCATTTTGAGGAACTGCCAAAATGTTTTCCAAGGGGTTGTACCATTTTATATTCCCACAAGCAATATACGAGGTTTCTATTTTCTCTACCTCCTTACATTGTTCATCACTGTCTTTTCTTTTATTGGCCATCTGTATACCTTCTTAGAGAAATGTCTATTCAAATATTTTGCTCACTTTTTAATTGGGGTGTCTTTTTATTATTTAGTCGTTACGAGTTCTTTGCACATTCTGAATACAAGTCCCTTATCAGATGTAGGATTTGCAAATATTTTCTCCAGACTGCTATTAAGCTTAATTTTTCTGTTGTGTTAATTTTTACAACTTTCCTGTCTTTCTTGTTTTGATTACCACATTGGCAACAATTTTCATTTCTGGCTCCTTTTTAAAATACCAATTGTAGATTATTAAATATTAGAGATGTCCAAATATTAAGAGTAAATTGAGAGGGAAAGAGCACAAGGAGAGCAAATCAGCAGCAATTCTATAAACAAAATATATCCTTCACAGCCCAAGGTAACTTTCTACTTAGGGTTTTTTCTTTGCTTTTGCTCAGCTACCTCCAACCCTTTTTTGTATTAATCCTCACTTCCTGAGTATGCTAGGCAAGTGAAGTGAGCCTACTAAGTATTTAGATATAAGGAATAGTGCATAATGTTAATTTGTGTATGTTTCATCAATGTGAAACTGAAGTATAAATATGGAGGCAACTGTACTGGAACAAAAACAGTGTTGGTTCAGAAGCATTCTGGGTATTAATATCAGATCAGCCATTACTGAATTTTGAACCTTTAAGGCAAATTCATTAATCTTAGCAAATTGGTTTCCACCTAGGTAATAAACAAAGATCTGAGGGCCAGATGCCATCCAATAAGCTCTGCATTTTGGTAAGTACCTTTCCTTAGGGAAAAAAAATCTTTGAAACCATTCATTCATTAAAATAAATGGTAGGAAATAATGACTATCCATTCAGTGACAAAGGAGAGACCTAAGAGTTATAAAAATTTCCTACTATTTAAAAATTATTTTAACCTCTATTAATTAGATTTAAGGGCTCTGAGGGGGGAAAAACACTAAATATCATAGAATCTGAAAATTAGGCCACAATAGGCTAATCTCCTAATGAGAGTTACTATGTAATATTACAGTTTTTTAAAAAGCTACAGCCCCAGAAGGGAGTTCCAAGATGGCAGAATAGGAACGGCTCCAGTCTACAGCTCCCAGCGTGAGTGACGCAGAAGAAGGGTGATTTCTGCATTTCCAACTGAGGTACTGGGTTCATCTCACTGGGACTGGTTGGACAGTGGGTGTAGCCCACGGAGTGTGAGCCGAAGCAAGGCGGGGCATCACCTCACCCGGGAAGTGCAAGGGGTCAGGGAATTCCCTTTCCTAGCCAACAGAAGCTGTGACAGACGGTACCTGGAAAATCGGGACACTCCCGCCCTAATACTGCACTTTGCCAAAGGTCTTAGCAAACGGCACACCAGAAGATTATATCCCGCGCCTGGCTCAGCAGGTCCCACACCCATGGAGCCTTGCTCACTGCTAGCACAGCAGTCTTGATTGAACTGCGAGGCGGCAGCAAGGCTGGGGGAGGGGCGCCCGCCATTACTGAGGCTTGACTTGGTAAACAAAGTGGCCAGGAAGCTTGAACTAGGTGGAACCCACTGCAGCTCAACAAGGCCTGCCTGCCTCTATAGACTCCACCACTGGGGGCAGGGCATAGCTGAAAAAAGGCAGCAGAAACTTCTGGAGACTTAAACGTCTCTGTCTGACAGCTTTGTAGAGAGCAATGGTTCTCCCAGCATGGAGTCTGAGATCTGAGAATGGCCAGACTGCCTCCTCAAGTGGGTCCCTGACCCCCGCAGTAGCCTAACTGGGAGACACCTCCCAGTAGGGGCCGATTGACACCTCATACAGCCAGGTGCCCCTCTGAGACGAAGCTTCCAGAGGAAGGATCAGGCAGCAACATTTGCTGTTTTGCAATATTTGCTGTTCTGCAGCCTCCGCTGGTGATACCCAGGCAAACAGGGTCTGGAGTGGACCACCAGCAAACTCCAACAGACCTGCAGCTGAGGGTCCTGACTGTTTGAAGGAAAAGTAACAAAAAGAAAGGAGTAGCATCAACATCAAAAAAAAGGACACCCACACCAAAACCCCATCTGTAGGTCACCATCATCAAAGACCAAAGGTAGATAAAACCACAAAGATGGGGAGAAACCAGAGCAGAAAGGCTGAAAATTCTAAAAACCAGAGTGCCTCTTCTCCTCCAAAGGACTGCAGCTCCTCGCCAGCAATGGAACAAAGCTGGACAGAGAATGACTTTAGACGAACTGACAGAAGTAGGCTTGAGAAGATCGGTAATAACAAACTTCTCCGAGCTAAAGGAGGATGTTCAAACCTATCGCAAGGAAGCTAAAAACCTTGAAGAAAGATTAGACGAATGGCAAACCAAAATAAACAGCGTAGGGAAGATCTTAAATGACCTGATGGAGCTGAAAACCATGGCACAAGAACTATGTGAAGCATACACAAGCTTCAGTAGCTGATTCAATCAAGTGGAAGAAAGGGTACCAGTGACTGAACATCAAATGAATGAAATAAAGTGAGAAGAGACGTTTAGAGAAAAAAGAGTAAAAAGAAACAAACAAAGCCTCCAAGAACTACGGGACTATGTGAAAAGACCAAATCTACGTCTGATTGGTATACCTGAAAGTGACGGGGAGAATGGAACCAAGTTGGAAAACACTCTGCAGGATATTATCCAGGAGAACTTCCCCAATATAGCAAGGCAAGCCAACCTTCAAATTCAGGAAATACAGAGAACACCACAAAGATAATCCCTGAGAACAGCAACGCCAAGATACATAATTGTCAGATTCACCAAGCTTGAAATGAAGGAAAAAATGTTAAGGGCAGCCAGAGAGAAAGGTCGGGCTACCCACAAAAGGAAGCCCATTAGACTAACAGGGGATCTCTCAGCAGAAACTCTACAAGCCAGAAAAGAGTGGTGGCCAATATTCAACATTCTTAAAAAAAAGAATTTTCAACCCAGAATTTCATATCCAGCCAAACTAAGCTTCATAAGTGAAGGAGAAATAAAATCCTTTACAGACAAGCAAATGCTGAGAGATTCTGTCACCACCAGGCCTGCCTTACAAGAGCTCCTGAAGGAAGTACTAAACATAGAAAGAACAACCGGTACCAGTCACTGCAAAAACATGCCAAACTGTAAAGACCATCGATGCTAGGAAGAAACTGCATCAACTAATGAGCAAAATAACCAGCTAACATCATAATGACAGGATCAAATTCACACATAACAATATTAACCTTAAATGTAAATGGGCTAAATGCCCCAATTAAAAGACACAGACTGACTTTGGGAGGCCAAGACAGGCAGATGACGAGGTCAGGAGATCGACACCATCCTGGCTAACAAGGTGAAATCCCGTCTCTACTAAAAATACAAAAAATTAGCCGGGTGTGGTGGTGGGTGCCTGTAGTCCAAGCTACTGGGAAGGCTGAGGCAGGAGAATGGCGTGAACCCAGGAGGCGGAGCCTGCAGTGAGCCAAGATCGCGCCACTGCACTCCAGGCTGGGTGACAAAGCGAGACTCCGTCTCAAAAAAAAAAAAAAAAAAAAAAAAAAGACACAGAATGGCAAATTGGATAAAGAGTCAAGACCTATCAGCGTGCTGTATTCAGGAAACCCATCTCACGTGCAGAGACATACATAGGCTCAAAATAAAGGGATGGAGGAAGATCTACCAAGCAAATAGAAAACAAAAAAAAGCAGAGGTTGCAATCCTAGTCTCTGATAAAACAGACTTTAAACCAACAAAGATCAAAAGAGACAAAGAAGACCATTACATAATGGTAAAGGGATCAATTCAACAAGAAGAGGATCAATTCAACAAGAAGAGCTAACTATCCTAAATATATATGCACCCAATACAGGAGAACCCAGATTTAAAAAGCAAGTCCTTAGAGACCTACAAAGAGACTTAGACTCCCACACAATAATAATGGGAGACTTTAACACCCCACTGTCAACATCAGACAGATCAATGAGACAGAAATTTAACAAGGATATCCAGGACTTGGACTCTGCTCTGCACCAAGCAGACCTAATAGACATCTACAGAACTCTTCATCCCAAATCAACAGAATATACATTCCTCTTAGCACCACATCTCACTTATTCCAAAATTGACCACATAATTGGAAGTAAAGCACTCTTCAGCAAATGCAAAATAACAGAAATCATAACAAACTGTCTCTCAGACCACAGTGCAATCAAATTAGAACTCAGGATTAAGAAACTCAATCAAAACCGCAAAACTACATGGAAACTGAACAACCTGCTCCTGAATGACTACTGGGTGAATAATGAAATGAAGGCAGAAATAAAGATGTTATTTGAGACCAATGAGAACAAAGACACAACATACCAGAATCTCTGGGACAGATTTAAAGCAGTGTGTAGAGGAAAATTTATAGCACTAAATGCCCACGAGAAAGCAGGAAAGATATAAAATTAACACCCTAACATCACAATTAAAAGAACTAGAGAAGCAAGAGCAAACATATTCAAAAGGCAGCAGAAGATAAGAAATAACTAAGATCACAGCAGAATTGAAGGAGAGAGAGACACAAAAAACCCTCAAAAAAATCCATGAATCCAGGAGCTGGTTTTTTGAAAAGATCAACAAAATTGACAGACCGCTAGCAAGACTAATAAAGAAGAAAAGAGAGAAGAATCAAATAGATGCAATAAAAAATGATAAAGGGGGTATCACCACTGATCCCACGGAAATACAAACTACCATCAGAGAATACTATAAACACCTCTATGCAAATAAACTAGAAAATCTAGAAGAAATGGATAAATTCCTGGACACATACAACACCCTCTCAAGACTAAACCAGGATGAAGTTGAATCCCTGAATAGACCAATAACAGGCTCTGAAATTGAGGCAATAGCAGTCTACCAACCAAAAAAAGTCCAGGACCAGACAGATTGACAGCCAAATTCTACCAGAGGTACAAAGAGGAGCTGGTTCCATTCCTTCTGAAACTTCCAATCAATAGAAAAAGAGGGAATCCTCCCTAACTCATTTTATGAGGCCAGCATCATCCTGATACCAAAGCCTGGCAAAGGCACAACAAAAAAAGAGAATTTTAGACCAATATCCCTGATGAACATCGATGTAAAAATCCTCAATAAAATACTGGCAAACCAAATCCAGCAGCACATCAAAAAGCTTATCCACCATGATCAAGCTGGCTTCACCCCTGGGATGCAAGGCTGGTTCAACATATGCAAATCAATAAACATAATCCATCATATACACAGAACCAAAGGCTAAAACCACGAGTATCTCAATAGATGCAGAAAAGGCCTTTGACAAAATTCAACAGCCCTTCATGCTAAAAACTCCCAATAAACTAGGTATTGATGGAACATACCTCAAAATAATAAGAGCTATTTATGACGAACCCACAGCCAATATCATACTGAATGGGCAAAAACTGGAAGCATTCCCTTTGAAAACTGGCACATGACAGGTATGCCCTCTCTCACCACTCCTATTCAACATAGTGTTGGAACTTCTGGCCAGGGCAATCAGGCAAGAGAAAAAAATAACGGGTATTCAATTAGGAAAAGAGGAAGTCAAATTGTCCCTGTTTGCAGATGACATGATTGTATATTTCGAAAACCCCCTCATCTCAGCCCAAAGTCTCAGGATACAAAATCAATGTGCAAAAATCACAAGTATTCCTATACACCAATAACAGACAGAGAGCCAAATCATGAGTGAACTCCCATTCACAATTGCTACAAAGAGAATAAAATACTTAGGAATCTAACTTACAAGGGATGTGAAGGACCTCTTCAAGGAGAACTACAAACCACTGCTCAATGAAATAAAAGAGGACACAAACAAATGGAAGAACATTCCATGCTCATGGATAGGAAGAATCAATATCGTGAAAATGGCCATACTGCCCAAGGTAATTTATAGATTCAATGCCATCCCCATCAAGCTACCAATGACTTTCTTCACAGAATTGGAAAAAACTACTTGAAAGTTCATATGGAACCAAAAAAGAGCCTGCATTGCCAAGACAATCCTAAGCAAAAAGAACAAAGTTGGAGACATCACGCTACCTGACTTTAAAACTATACTACAAGGCTACAGTAACCAAAACAGCATGGTACTGGTACCAAAACAAATATATAGACCAATGGAACAGAACAGAGCCCTCAGAAATAATACCACACATCTACAACCATCTGATATTTGACAAACCTGACAAAAACAAGAAATGGGAAAAGGATTCACTATTTAAGAAACGGTGCTGGGAAAACTGGCTAGCCACATGTAGAAAGCTGAAATTGGATCCCTTCCTTACACCTTGTACAAAAATTAATTCAAGATGGATTAAAGACTTAAGTGTTAGACCTAAAACCATAAAAACCCTAGAAGAATACCTAGGCAATACCATTCAGGACACAGGAATGGGCAAGGACTTCGTGACTAAAACACCAAAAGCAATGGCAACAAAAGCCAAAATAGACAAATGAGATCTAATTAAACCAAAGAGCTTCTGCACAGCAAAAGAAACCACCATCAGAGTGAACAGGCAACCTACAGAATGGGAGAAAATTTCTGCAATCTACCCATCTGACAAAGGGCTAATATCCAGAATCTACAAAGAACTTAAATTTACAAGAAAAAAAATCAAACAACCCTATCAAAAAGTGGGCGAAGGATATGAACAGACACTTCTCAAAAGACAACATTTATGCAGCCAACAGACACATGAAGAAATGCTCTTCATCACTGGCCATCAGAGAAATGCAAACCAAAACTACAATGAGATACTATCTCACACAAGTTAGAATGGTGATCATTAAAAAGTCAGGAAACAACAGATGCTGGAGAGGATGTGGAGAAACAGGAACACTTTTACACTGCTGGTGGGAGTGTAAACTAGTTCAACCATTGTGGAAGACAGTGTGGCGATTCCCCAGGGATCTAGAACTAGAAATACCATTTGACCCAACCATCCCATTACTGGGTATATACCCAAAGGATTATAAATCATGCTGCTATAAAGACACATGCACACGTACGTTTACTGCGGCACTATTCACGATAGCAAAGACGTGGAACCAACCCAAATGTCCATCAATGACAGACTGGATTAAGAAAATGTGGTACATATACACCATGGAATACTATGCAGCCATAAAAAAGGATGAGTTCATGTCCTTTGTAGGCACACGGATGAAGCTGGAAACCATCATTCTGAGCAAACTATCGCAAGGACAGAAAACCAAACACCACATGTTCTAACTCATAGGTGGGAACTGAACAATGAGAACACTTGGACACAAGGTGGGGAACATCACACACCGGCGCCTGTCTTGGGGTCGGGTAGAGTGGGGGAGGGATACCATTAGGAGACATACCTAATGTAAATGACGAGTTAATGGGTGCAGCACACCAACATGGTACATGTATACATATGTAACAAACCTGCATGTTATGCACATGTACTCTAGAACTTAAAGTAAAAAAAAAAAAAACTAAAGCCCCAAAGTTTTATAAATCCAGAAAAAATGATTATTTAAACATCATTTTAAGAATGATCCAAGTGCAGTCGCTCACACCTGTAATCCCAGCACTTTGGGAGGCCGAGGCAGGCAGATCATTTGAGGCCAGGAGTTCAAGACCAGTCTGGTCAACATGGCAAAACCCCATCTCTACTAAAAATACAAAAATTAGCCGGGTATGGTGGCACGCACCTGTAATCCCAGCTACTCAGGAGGCTGAGTCATGAGAATCGCTTGAATCCGGGAGGTAGAGGCTGCAGTGAGCAAAGATTAAGCCACTGCACTCCAGTCTGGGTGACAGAGTGAGAATCTGTCTAAAACAAACCAACAAACAAAAAGAGAAATATACTGATAAAACTTTCCGAATTTCACATAGAACTATTATGCAATAAGGGTACCTCCTTTTTTTTTTTTTTTTTTTTTTGTGAGCTAGAGTCTCACTCTGTCAGCTAGGCTGAAGTGTGGTGGCGCAATCACAGTTCACTGTAATTTCGACCTCCTAGGCTCAGGTAATCCTCCCACCTCAGCCTCCTGAGTAGCTAGGAAGGACTCCAGGTGTCTGCCACCATTTATTTTTTGTAGAAACGGGGTTCGCCATGTTGCCCAGGCTGCTCTCAAAACTCCTGGGCTTCAAGCAACCCACCTACCTCGGCATCCCAAAGTGCTAGGATCAAAGGGTACCTCAAAATATAATTTCACAGTGTTAACATGTGTTTTTTGTTTTTTTTGAGACAGAGTCTTGCTCTGTCGCCCAGGCTGGAGTCCAGTGGCATGATCTCAGCTCACTGCAAACTCCATTTCCCTGGTTCAAGCGATTCTCCTGCCTCAGCCTCCCAAGTAGCTGGGACTACAGGCACGTACCACCGCACCTGGCTAATTTTTGCATTTTTAGTAGAGACAGGGTCTTACCATGTTGGCCAGGCTGGTCTCAAACTCTTGGCCTCAGGTGATCCACCCGCCTTGGCCTCCCAAAGTGCTGGGATTACAGGCATGAGCCACTGTGCCTGGCCAGTGTTAATGTATTTGAAGGCAACAAAAAATTCTTAAATAATATTAACTTTGATGGTATAAAACACTGGAAATTCTTAAGCGTAGTGCATCTGTCGAAGTATTGTTTATATTTCAGCTTCAATAGAAACATATGCAGTTAATGCTTGTGATTTGGTCAATTCAATAATAATCTAATAAAGGTGACCAACGTGATAAATTCAAAATGACTTATAATGGAAAAAATGTATTACCTTGAAATAAACATTTGTGGACACTGTCGTTTTACCTTTCTAATAAATTTTTGTTACTTAATACTAGAATTATCTTATATCATCTGCACATACGTTGTACATTTTATATTATTTTATATCCTATGTAGAACTTCAACTTTTACAAAACTTGCATACTCTAAATAAAATAAGCAAAAAAAGGCCCTTAACTCTAATGATAGAACCAACTCAGAGGTACAATCATGAAAGGAAAATAATAGGTCTGATTTACTGAGCATATGCTGTAACGCAAAGACCATACAGGGTAAATGTGCATCATCTAATTTTACAACAAACCTGCCAGCAAGAGAATATTGTTCACATTCTATAGAGAGGGACAACATGAAGGCTCAGAGAAGTCAGGTCAACATGATTAGGCTCAGTCAAAACATAATTTGAGTTTCCATTCATCAGTTCTTAAGTGAAGTTATAATATCTATAAATATCTCAATAGCATCTTGTGAACAACTTTATCACAATAAATGTTTGAACATCCCCCTATCATTCTTACCCCATTCATTAAAAGAACAAAATTCAAAAGGCTTTCTTATGGTCAACCTGCAAGTAACTATAAATCAGAATTCGAACACAAGTTTGGCTGGCTGTACTCAAAATATGTTCAATTAACTTTTCTGGGCCTGTTCCCTCAGCTGTCACACAATTAAAATATTTATTTGATGACAGCTGAGTGGATTAAATGAGGCAATGTACAAAAACCCATTGTATCATGAGACATTTTACAAACTCAGTCCACAAAATCAAAACAGTATGCTAAGAAACAGAAACACTGCACATATCACACACCTGATAAATTGTACAAATGGAAATTTAAAACAATCATTCATTAGGTACACTTGAATTAAACTTTTTTTAAAGTTAAATTTTGTGTGAAATTCCAATACTTATCAAACATCTATTATGCTACTTACCAACAGAGTATAAGTGAAGACATTTATGTGAAAAGAAAATAGTTACAGCTCAAACTCCTAATACTGTGATTCTTAATCTTGTCAATGACAAAGAGATTTACTAAAAACTAGTAATTCTTAATGGTTTGATTAAAATGTTACAAGTACCTAATCTCTCAAGAGTTCATATCAACATTTGCTATAACTGGAGTTTAGGCTTTAGTTCTAAATTATTGTGACATATACACAAAAACAAAGCATACAAACTCTAGATTTAATGGATACCCAGCCATACCAAATGCACCTGCTGACATTCCAAGATACTGGCAAATATCTCTGGTGTTTAAGGTAATACGACAAAAATCAGAGGTATAACATGAGAAAGATGTGAATGGCTTACAGTATGAATCAAAAAATAAAATGGAGACAACAAAGAGAATTAAGGGAAAAAATTATCAAAAGAGAAAATATTCAGTATTATACCCACGACTGAATCAAGTTTCCACAACTTAAAAAATGTTAACACCTGAAAGAGATATTCACTAGAAAAAGACCTAATAATTAAGAATTCATGTAGTAAAGTCATCTGATGCAATCTCATAGGGAAAATAAAAACTTCTCATAAAATGGTTCCATTAAGACTGCATGAGTGACAACCAGTAATTCTGAAACCAGACCACCAAATACATCTAAATTGCTCTGTTCAAGTCCTATCTCTGTCATAAACGTTCTGTGGAGTCTCATCTCCATGTCTGGGCTTCCCTACCTGAAAAATGAAAGCTTTAACTGGAAAGGGCAGACACTAGATAATTTCTAAGGTCCCTCTCAACTGTTAAATTCCAGGATTTTATGAACTTTCAGCTAGAATTTGTCTTTATGGACAAACTCTTCTATCCATTGCCATTCACTTCACTAAGAAAGAGGCCCCATTTTCTGGTGTTCTTCACATGGTGTCTTTGTTGATAAATGTCTTCCCCAAAACTTACTGTTCCACTGTCTCTTTTTCTTACCTGTTGCTCCTCTGGCATTGGTCTGAAATGGGTTTGTAGAAGATGCCACAGAAGGACCAGCAGCAGCAACAAATGGATTTGTGGAAGGCGTAGCTTTAAAAAATTATAAAATACACTATAAAATCCTAATACATTTTGTATTTAAGATTTAAATTATTTCACTATATTTATCAAGACAGAAAACTCAAGGATTCTGATAACAAATCATTGCTTTGACTCCTAAGAAAATGCTACACAATATATATTTGGGTTCTTTGTAAAAACCAGTGTATATACCAGAAGCACATACCTCCAAATGGAGCAGGCACACTTGATGAAGCAGGCTGTGTCTGTGCAGAAGCAACCACTGGCACTGTTCCAAAAACATTGCTGAGAACAAATATTGAAAGAGTTCATTTTTTTTCTTAAAAAAAAAAGAAAGTAACGATTTACAGGGTAGCCATAAAATAATGAACATATCGTGTATCACAGCATCAGTATCAACACAAAGAAAATTAAGACATTTAAGTGTAAAGATGTAATAAAATAAACAATTGTTACTGCTTCATTAAGAATCATCATAAAAAAATAAAAAATACAAGTAAAACTGAATGTGTAGTGGGAAGGAATATGACTATTGTAACGACTAGTACAGTTTGGTGCCACTATCTTAATATTCATGTTAAAACACCAGCAAAAACCATTATTCTAAGCAAACTATATCACAAGGACAGAAAACCAAACACTGCATGTTTTCACTCATAGGTGTGAGTTGAACAACAAGAACAACACATGGACACAGGGTGGGAAACATCACACTTGGGGGCCTGTCGGGGGTGGGGGGCTGGGGGAGGGATAGCATTAGGAGAAATACCTAATGTAAATGATGAGTTGATGGGTGCAGCAAACCAACATGGCACATGTATACCTATGTAACAAACCTGCACGTTGTGCACATGTACCCTAGAACTTAAAGTATTAAAAAAAAATAAAAAGACACCAGCAAGTTTTACTTGCCATTGTTTTCACACCATCAATGCAAATATCAATTAATGAAAAGGTAAACAATCTCTCAGAATTATTATAAAGAAAGTTTTAACCTCACAGACCCCATGAAAGGGTCTCAGGTACCCCAAACATTCCATGGACCACAGTTTGTGAACCCCTGATGTACTGTAATGTAATATCAATAAATCATGTATTATATATAAAGTATGTTTCCAGACTTTATGTTTCCGGAAGTGTTACAATCCTAACATTTCTTTCTAGAAAAGATGCTAAAGGAAAATAAGCTACCAGGATAACTAAAGAAATTAGTAAATACAATCCACAGGATTGGAAAACAGAGATGAATAAAACATTGTTATAGGTAAATCTCTTGTATTTCTGAGACTATTTCCGCAACTCTAAAATAAAGACTAGAAAAGTTTTTTACAAGTGTAATGTCCTAAAATGTGTTAGACTTCCTACTGCCAAGAATTCTAACAGATATATATGAACATAACAGCAGATGTGCTTATTTGTAAATATGAGGATGACACTGAAGAGATACAGAATTGATTTTGGGCTTTGGTGCAAACACTTCTAAAAATCTGTATTTACAACTAAGCCTATAATATGGGACTTTCACTGTTTAATCATCATGACTAAAAACTATTTTTAAAGTATATTATTTGACTACTAAATGGATTCTCTGCTGAGTACAATCTGTAAGGAACTGTCCATTTTGAGATGTGTACATGCTCTCAAATACGGTTTAGTGTTCAAGGACAGAACATAACAAAACGTCTGATTCAATGAAAAGATAAAATTATGGCAATTATTCAAGGATTATATTTTAATTAGCATTTAAATTCAAATTCCTCAAATTTACAAAAATATCCAAGAATTTTAAAATTATACCTTGAAACAGTCATTTTTTAATTGATTATTCAAAGTTGGAAAAAAAAGATAAAACACAAAGCAGGAGGGCTAGCTAAGACAAGGTACCTGCTAGCATTACTTGTGGAAGTATACGCATTACTGGAGGTGGCTGCAGAACTGAAAACGCTGTCTAGTTCTGCCAGAGCTGCATACTTGTCTGAAGATGCACTTGACTGACTGGGAACTGAAACCACAGAACCAACAGGAGCTTTACCTGTGGTCCCAAAGCCACTTCCCTGATCACCACCTGGGAACGAACAAAATCAAGTTACACCAAAAATTTAAAGTTACACTTTCAACTTATCAACCACATTTGCCATGAAACACAGGTAAACTTAAAATGGATTTAGAGTTAAGCAGGATTCCAAATCATTAATCTAATAAATAACCTGGACCATACTGGACAGGATTAGTTGTTATACATACCACTGTGATAAAGACAGAATATGTCTCTTAACAAAAATTAACACTCTGTACCAAAAAAATTTGTCTGGATTATGCATAAGAAAGAAACTCTCAAGTGCTCTTACGTTAACATCTCCAAGACGGGTGGATCTTGTTCACATGAACATATAAATTCATATAATGCTAGACCTAATGTGAACAGTCTATCAATAGCATCATTTCCCCAGCATTCTCCACAAAAAAATTAGAGATGGTAATAACGGGAAACATTTATTGAGGACTTACTATGTGCTAGGCACTGTTCTATATGCCTTAACATGCAATAATACTTAGAACACAACTCCATGAGTTTAATGCTTAGAATTATCCTCATTTTGGAGAGGAGGAAAACAGGCCCAGAGATCAGAATGGAGAATTCCATTTAGCAACACACACCTGCTATTCACCAGTGCCACATGCATTTGTAGAGGCTACTAGCCTTAAGATAAAACTGGATACAAGACTATACTGTAAAATTCATGAATTTTTTTTTTTAAATATAAAAAACCCACCAAGATGTTAACGGAAAATTGTTCGAAGTAAATATATTACAGAAACCACCAAATAATCCTCCATTCAGCTCTGCCAATGGGGTTTCTTGGCTCTTTATAGCCAAAGAAAAGTAAAGCACGCCTTCTAGGACAAAATAAAATTTTTCTCAACTAGTAAGACTGAAAGTTTACAAATCAGTCCCTATGTCTTCAGTTTTGTAGTTGATATTTCAGGTCTAAAATGTGTCAAGTGAACATTTTACTCAAAATGACAGTGCAGACAAAATTTCTATACAACAACTGAGAAAAGTGTAGCATGTTCAGATTTTAATAAATACAACCAAATTAAGAGCACTGTTTAACACAAATTTGTATTTGTTTTGCTTAAAGCTTGATACCTTGCCCGGCACTGAAGATATTGTCTAAATTAGCAAGTGCTGCATATTTGTCTGCAGTCTGTAAACCAGCTTTGTTCGTTGAAACTTTACTAACAGCTGATGCTGTTTGATGACTCTGGGAAGTATTGAAGGTTCCAAAATCAGCACTGGAGGATTTGGGGAAGTTATCAAAATGAGCAAAATTAGCATTTACTGATGCAGCACTTCCACCTGTAACAGAATAAACAGAGCACTTGAAATTTCTAAGCTTTTCCTAGTACCCTCTCATAGACTGTATGATCATTTCTTCCTAAATTAAATGTCCTATAAGCAATCTTACAACATTAAAATCAATGACTGGCAATGGCTTTTGACTACAAGTGACGTTTTCCAATTTTGTAAAAGTAGATTTTTCAAAGGCCTTGGCAACAGGTAAAGTAACATGTTTCTGTGTATTACCTACCCTGGAATGAAGAATGTAATTCATGGAGGGGTATCTCCACACTACCTGGTTTGAGATTCAGTTACTTTCTAGTCCAAATATACTACAGCCTTTCACTAGTTCTCCCTGAACAGACTGCAAACAAGATGCAAAGTATCTTACTAGGAGGATTTCAAACTTTTGTGGCTCCATGACGAAACAGTTTAAACAATCCCAGGGGTAGCGATTAACAATGTGTAAAATGTGTTACGGTGATCCAAAATTCCTTAAAAGATGGTCGTTGACATTTATACTTACTTCACTTGAAGAGCTACTATTTAATTCCACATAATAGTTTAATGTGTATACAATATCAAGATGTCCACTGTAAAATCATGCCGTACCATATAGTTCAAGGCATTAAAATTACAGTACATAATACATTATAGCAATTTTTGACTTTATAAACCACAATTCACCTAATGGCCACTATTATATATATCCTGTTACATCTTTAAAATCTGTTCTCTATTATAGAGACCTCCTTAAAGTACTATCAAAAGACTAAAACCAGTATATTTCATTCTATGCTTTTGATCCTACATTTTTGGGATATTAGTTCTTTATTTCTAAACTTTAGTTTCAGAAATCAAAACAGTATATATACACAGTTATATATTAAAGTGATAGAAAAGACAACTACAGATAATTTTAAAACAGAATGCATGAACTTCTATTAAAAAAACACGAACACTTTCTATCAAGCAGGTTTTTATACATTCTAAAAAAAATATACACTGATCAAATTTCTTTCAAGAGTTAAATCATGGTGGTTTCAATTAAAGGTAAGTAATATATGTTTGTATGTAAAATATTGTGACCTGTTACAAGGAGCTGGCAAACAAAGTACATACTAAACTTTCAAAATTTATATAAAGAATATTATTTCAAATTATTATTAAACCAAGTAACTCTTTGATTGTCTACTATTGTGTTCTCTAACTCTGAGTTTAATAAATAGAGTTGGAAGAGATTTTTATGAAGGATTATCACTAAAGAATTATTAACAATCTATAACTGGAAAAACCCTTGAAGTATAGCAAAAATATACAAATTAGTATAAGATGCCTACTTGACAACAGAACTTACTGTGGGTAGCCTGAAGAGGAAAAGCTGAAGTAAATTCACCAAAACTGCAGCTAGATGAAAGCATTCTAAATGCTGGACAGCCAGAAATTATGTAAATGATGAAAGTTAAAGAAAAAACAAAAAAGAAAATTGAAAGAAAAGGCTTTAAGACAATACACAGAGTTAAAAGTTGAAAGAAAAGTAATCAGCCAAAAATCTAAATAAGGGTTCCATGAGTTTACGAAAACAGCACAATTTATGGAAAGAGTATTCAATGTTTAAACACCAATTCCTGCACAGAAAACTATTTCCAAGTTTGACTGAAGTGATCATTAATCTACTCTTGTCTAATAAACATATAAAAATTTTTCTCAGGCTTGTTGCCCCGAAAATTACTTACATTTTTAGCTCTACAGAAGCAACCAGCTTCCTTTATTAAGAGGTATAATGTCAGCCTAAATCAATGGATTCTATGAACCTTAAAAAACTTATAGTACTGGCTGGGCACAGTGGCTCACACCTGTAATCCCAGCACTGTGGGAGGTCAAGGCAGGAGGATAACTTGAGGCCAGGAGTTCAAGACCAGCCTGGGCAACATAGTGAGACCCAGCTGCTACCAAAAAAAAAAAAAAAATTTAGCTGGGAGTGGTGGCATGTGCCTGTATTCCATCCTGAGGCAGGAGGATTGCCAAAAAAAAAAAAAAAGAGACAGAGAGAGAGAAATACTTATAGTAGTGTCATGCCTCTGTCCTGTGTGCATGGTAGATATAAGGAAGATTCATGCGCAGGAAAAGGAGGAGAATGGATGTTGTCAAACAGACAATATACCAAATAATGCAGAAAAACAAATGAACATAGAAAAAAATAAAGAGTTCAGGTTTCCCCAGAGCTTTTGAAGATAGAACCATTTTAAAGTCAGATAATTACAGAATTTAAGTTTAGACTAATTTTTCAAAACTACATTTAGAGAGTTTTGTTTTGTAAAGTAAACATTTAAGCACAATGCTGGAGAAGCTCTACCTGTAGTTTGGGGCTGAAAAGGAGAGTGACTTGCTGTGGGGAAACCTCCAAAATTACTCGAACCACTAGACTGTCCAAATGCATCAAAGTTTGCAAAATCTGCATTTGCAGAATTCTGAGCTGTAAATGGTAAGGAACAACATATGTTAATGAATATGAAAACTATAAATGAAAATACATGACACATGAGTTTAAGAATTATATGAAAAGTTTCTATGTATCAAAACTCACTTTATAGAGAATTCACTTAGCAATCAGATTTTAAACCCTACCAGCATGTAACCCAATTACAGGTAATTTACTAAGGAGTAACCAAGAATTTCCAAAAACACTTTGTGCAATGATAAATTTGGACACAATACTCTGTATATGACCTCAAGCACAGTACTATAAAAGTGACTCTATTAACAAAGGAAACTATTTCAGAGTACTGAGTTACAGTACTGAGTTATAGGAAAGCAGACAAAGATGTAGAAAACATCCTGGAAAAATTCACTGATTAAAAATGGTAATCAACTATGTGAATCTGAATAATAACTGAAATACTTAAAATAATAATACAAAAATGGTTTAATTAATAGAGCTTTTTTTAAGTTTACAAATGTCTCACCATGGTCATATATAAAAATTTAAAAAAAGGACAAGATCACCAAATAAATTGAAGATATTCATATTCTATTAGAAGCCTGCAATTTTAAACTCATTAAAATTTAAGAAACAATGAATGCTAGCATAGAAATTATAGCATATAATTCAGAGCCCCAAACATTAATAGAATACCTATTAAATAGGCAAGACAGGACTTTGTAGTACTTGTATCCATTTTTACTTCTAGGTACTGATCTATTCACTATCTTCAACAATCGATTATAAGTGCTGCAGAATGAAACTTTGGAAAACACAACTTTGCAAATTCAACACTAATAAATTCAGTAATACAAAAATTACTGTCTGGACACTCAGGCAATCTCTGTACAAAGAAATCCAAGCTAAGCAGAATGTAACACAATGGTAAAGCTGTTTCTTGAATAATCGTATTTCAAAAAGTACAAAGGAGTCAACTTAGTGTGGAACTTAAGACCCCAAATTAATGAGCCTGAGTCTTGCTAATAGTTGTCATTCCTCTTCAAAGAAAAACACATATTCATGAGACAGGAAGATAGATCATAGGACGCAAACTAGCAGCCCTCAGCAAATTCATCTGACAGATATGCTTTGTTTCATCTGTATAGTATTTAACATTATTTCCCATGAATTCCCAACATTTAAAAAGAGGGCACTTCACAATAAACAAAAAGACTTCTAGCTTCTCTTATTAAAAAAAAAAAATCAATATATCTAGTATCCTAAACCCCTATTTCCATGTGGTAACAGATTAGAACATCCCCTTTAAAAAGGGCACCATAGTTCTTTAAACACAACATTATACTACTCATTTGTGTTACCTGAGTTGCAAGGCAGTTGGGTTTAGATCCTACAGTATAGAATGTGACAAAAATCAATTACAGTTTACAGTGCACAGGTTTTGGGATATGATGTTTATCATCAGGCAAAATAACCAAATTCAGTAGGTGAATTTTATTTCTAGCTTCATGCGTCTTTCTGTAGAAGATGACTTTTTCTGAACCCAATAATGACCCCACCCAGCAACACACATCCACAAATACTATACCTCAGCCTGAATGCTCACATGAAGACTAAAGGCTTCTGGCTTTTAAGTCACACTAAATTATCTACAAAAGAAAAAGTTTCCCTACAAAACAATGCTAATGAACCAGACTGGCATATGTGAATAATTATCATTTGCCATTAATGGTTCCATCAGTCGTATCAAACTGTTCAGGATAAAATTTTCACCTAATTTTTTTTAAAATTAACAAGAATATCAGGATGAGAAGAAATTGGCAATCAATGACTTTCTGAACTATATATGGAAAACTAAGGATTCTGAATGCTTGGAAAGGCTCTGGAAAAAGACATTTCAGTTAAACCATGACCTAGTATTTAACTAAAAACTACTCCAAGGCAAAACGTCAAAAGATGGTATCAACCATAGTAGAAGGAAAAATAAATGAGTAATTCAGTAGTTTCTTCTTGTAACAGGCATATACATTTTATTCTCCTGTAATGAAACCAAAAGTCAAATAAAGTAAAGAAAAAAAAGGTAATCTGAGCAGTCATTTGTAATTAAGAACTTCAGACTAAAAAACAACTCCTCTCAGGCAGCCTGACTCACAGCCTACATGTAGCTATTTCATTCTTTCTTCAGACAAGGAACAAAACAGTTAAGATTAACCACTTTCTATCAATCTGATCAAAATATAAGATTCTTTTCCTTTACTGCATATCCTACAATTAAATGATGGCTATTGTTTTCAAAGTGCATTTTAAGGGAGCTGTTGAAAGTATTAGTGCAACCATGGTACAAATTAGTCTGTAGAGTTGCAGTGACTTGTCTAACCATTTTTGGCCAATAGGGCTACAAAGAAAAGTCCAACATTACCTGTGAAGACTCACAAACTGCATTTAAAGAGAGAAAAACAAAGGGAACAAGAAATAAGTTGCAAATTTACAAAAGAATTTGGTGGTTATCAGTAATTTTGCATTACATTTCAATAATCCTAAAATGGAGATAAAACCAGAATATATTCATAAATTACACAAGTTTTACTCTATTTATTGGCTCTCCCACCAACTCTTTTTACCAGCACTCAAACGCAAGAGGTGAAAAAAGAGAGTTGGGGTCCTTATCTGGTCAGGGGGGAAATCGCTTCTTATCTGGAGGGTTACGGGGAAAGAGGTTCTCCATGTTTTCTGGGATTTTGCAGCTCAGGTAACACAGGAGAAGGGAAATCTACCACAACTCCAACAACTTAAGCAAAAGAAACCCAAAATTTCTTATCCTTCTCAGTACAACCTTTCCTGAAAAAAGAGATCCATGTCATCCTAGGACTCCTTTTTAAAGCAAATACACAAATGAGACATATAAAAATTACGCCAGTTTCCTTCTAAAGCATGTCCTTAGAAAATGTTTTTATTAATATTTAAAACAAAAGGTTCCCTTATTGCTTGCTAGAAAGAAATGTGGCTGGAGAGAAGTTTTTCTACAATTTTTCAAACTATCCCAAACAGCATATTTTGGAGTGTGATTATGTATAATATACTTCATATTATCATTATCCAAAAAGAAGCCAGGTCATCAAATTGAAAGAAAACGAAAAACCATCACAATCTCACAGGTAAGTAAAATAAGGCAAAGTAAGTTCTAAAATACAAACAGGAAGTCCATTCTATCAGCACTGGATTCTGTTATGCTCATAAAATTGTGAAATACATCTTTTACAAAGATACAGTCTTGAATTTTTCTTGTCCATAATTTAACTTACATAATCTATGACAAATAAAAGAGTAAGCTTTAGCCAATACCTCATACACATGTGCCAAAATAATATAAAGCAAAGTTTTAAATTATCAAAATAAAGCTATAAAATGACTAAATTCCTAAATTAATGTTCTACATTTGGTTTGATACTTATTTAATCACTCAAAATGCAGACTGGTAAACTTTCCATGATATAAACATCACAGCTTACTGGCATCCAAAATAGATTCCATACGCATTTCCAACACAAATACTATGTATGCTTTTACACTGTTTAAGCATAAAGAAGCAACTGTAAAGACTCAAGAAATCACCAAGCTGTTAGGAAATGAATCTAAACCATTTGTGGAATCTTAACTAAGACTGAAACATTAAAACAGCATAAAAACTTGTCATAAAGTATGATCCTTTTTCTTAAATGCATGTAAACATACAAACATACATACATAAGTGTATATGTGTATACGTATGTACATATATATGAAGTGTGTATAAAAGAGAGAAGACAAACAATGTTTATTGTACCTTTTAGATGGTAAACCACTTAAATGCATCATCTCACTTGAACCTTGCCACTTATCAAAGACAATTTATAGAATAGAAAACTTAGAAATGTTAGGTAATTTGCCCAAAGTTACACAGATAATAAGCAAGAAAGCCAGCATCTGAACCCAGGTTGTCCCAACTCCAAAGCCCAGGTTCTTTTCACTACATTATGCCACTTCCCTATCAGACTATTGCTATTACAATTAAGGAGAGATACAAGTGACCAAATCTATACTTCAATAATCAATTTTTAAATATTACCTAACCTAAGTACCTCTGCAAGGTTTGCATGCTTGTTAACAAAATAAAACTCCATAAATCCCAATTTCTGGTGACATGCATTAAACATGTTTGTAACAAATATGTTAAATCTGAGAATAAGGAAGGGAGAAAAGGCCATTCAAAGACCACAAGAGTTCTATCAAAAAAGTATCTTTAGGGCCGGGCAGAGTGGCTCACACCTGTAATCCCAGTACTTTGGGAGGCCAAGGCAGGTGGAACACCTGAGGTCAGGAGTTCGAGACCAGCCTGGTCAACATGGTGAAACCCCATCTTTACTAAAAAACACAAAAAACAGCCGGGAGTGGTGGCGGGCGCCTGTGATCCCAGTTACTCAGGAGGCTGAGGCAGGAGAATTGGCTGAACCCGGGAGGCAGAGGTTGCGGTAAGCCAAGATTGTGCCACTGCACACCAGTGTGAACAAGGGAGTGAGACTCCATCTCAAAAAAAAAAAAAAAAAAAAAGAGGCTGGGCACAGTGGCTCATGCCTGTAATCCCAGCACTTTGGGAGGCCAAGGTGGGTAGATCACTTAAGGTCAGGAGTTCGAGACCAGCCTGGCCAACATGGTGAAACCCCATCTCCATTAAAAATAAAAAATTAGTATTTTGTATTACTAAAATACAAAATTTTACATTTGTATATAATTTCGGGTGCTGTGGCACACGCTTGTAATCCCAGCTACCTGGGAGGCTGAGGTGAGAGAATAGCTTAAACCCAGGTGGCGGAGGTCGCAGTAAGATTGTACCACTGCACTCCAGCCTCGGCGAGAGAGCGAGACTCCACCTCAAATAAATGAATGAATGAATGAGTTGTATCTATAGGAACCAACCTCACAATGTTCCTACTCCTAAGGTGGGCTAATTTGAGTACTACTAAGGATAATAATGACAGCAAACTGAGATGTAGCAAATGTTTTAATCTATGAAGTCATAATGATACTAAAGAAAAAAGTCACCATTATAAAATGCTAGGAAATCAACTCATTATTCTGATATCTGATGGAAAAGAATCATGTATTCTGACTTTCCTAAACAAATCATGCCACCAGATAAAGATTTTTAAATAGTATTTCAGCTAATAAGTGAAGGAATAAATTCAGAACATCATTATTTTTATGCAATGGACTCGGGTACTGAGCACCAAGAGCTAACATTATAAAAACACAATCCAAAATTACATGCCTCTTAAATCCCAAGTAGTAAGAATATCCCCAGCCACCCATCCTCCTAATAGGAAGAACCTGTAACTGATTAAGTCTCTGGATCCAACAACCTAATAACAAGAAATAGAACATAGGAACTTGTTACAGGGCACCATAGTGGTGCAATCAACTAATTCAGACTACTGAAAACTGTATAGGACAAATAAGCAAATTTCTTCACTAATTACAGAGGAGGAAAAAGAAGGAATACAGGAAAAATCTTATGAACTAAGAGACCTAAGAGACATGTCTCACAACTGCAGTCTGTGGACCTTGTTGAAAATCTGATTCAAACAAACTGTATGTATGTATATATGCATGTATGTACATATGTACGTATGTATGTGTATGGAAAAATCTGAACTATAATGAACATTTGAATCCTAATGAATTATTATTACTACTATTATTTAGGGAATGATGCTACTAATATGGTTATATTTAACAAAAAAAGTATGTTTTATAGATTGATATACACAATATTTAAGGATAAACTAATACTATGTCTAAAATTTGCTTCAAAATAATATGACAGTGACTGGAATGACAAATGAAACAAGATTAGCCATGAGTGATTAGCACATAAACGTTAGAGTATCCAATTACTTTTGAATATTTTCAATTTCATAAAGAATAAAAAATAGACATTACATCCTTTCCCCATTTTTCCACGGAAAGAGGTCATGCCAACCGACATTAAATATAATCTCTTCTGTGATTAAAAAGCAACACAATTATATGGTTACATATTACAGCTCAACAGTTACAAGTGACAAAACATTTTCAACAAAAAATGTTTACTGATCCTCAAAGTGTGATAAAGAATTGATGTTTCTTGGTGTTTTATATGCATCCCCAGCAAAAGCTGTTGGGAAAAAACACTTACCTGCATGACTGTTGAAATGTGCAAAGTTAGCAAAATTGGCTGTAGCTGTTGACTGAGGAGCTGGAGCAGCAAAGATGTCTGAGCCGAGATCACTTAAAAGGTCAAATTGCTTCTTCTCCTGCTGCTGCCCTTGAGAACGACCTACAACTGGGGACTACAAACCACATATTAACTATAAAGATATTCCAGTCGGATCTGCAAAATCTTTATACAAAACTATCTGCAAACTTAAAACACACTTATACATACGAAGAGTTACAGTATGCTGAGTTAACCTTTCTCATTTTTCACTCAATCTTTTGTGAAAACAGAGAAATTTATCTAAATGTCTTAGTATGTGTCATCAAAAAGGGCAGGATTTAATCCACAGTACTACGCCTCTGAACCATTCTTGTATAGGATAGAGGCTGCAATGCCACACAGTAACAGATCTGTCACAGCCCCATCAACTATAATAAAGTGTAGAAGACAAACTTTAGGTAGCAACTTATGAAAATATTCCATTTTGTTCATTTTTAAGAATAAGGTATAATGCAAAGTCCCTTGTGTTTCAATGATCAACATGCTTCACAATCACACATGTGGGAAAACTCTACTACTAAAGAAATCCCTTCCTAGAAAAGTGTATCAAAGAGACTATACATTCTAACTCTGATGGTCACCATAGATTCATGTTTTACAAATTGTATAACACATGATATATACATGTATACACACACACACATATATATAGCTATAGCAACATTCCTGTATAACTCACCTTTACAAAGTTGCAGAGAAGTCAAAGAAACTCATATTAGCAATAGCAAAAAGAACAAGTATATATACATTTCAACCACTTAACCAACAATTTCTTAATGTATAACAAACCATTGGAACATAATGCTACTGGCATACAAGATTATGCTGCTGTCTTAAACAATTCTCAAATTCTTGATACTCAAGCCCTCTTTAAGTCGAATTCCCTACAAAGATTCAAAGACTACTCACCTGACTAGGTGTGCCCTTATTTAAGTGCAGTGTTGGTGCAGAATCCCCTAAAAGAGATTTCAGTGGTTTGACCTCAGGTGTGCTGCTTGTGCTACTGGCAGAGGACCCTGAAATAGATGCATGAACTGATGCCACGACTTTGGCTTGTTCTGGCGGGACATACCTAAAACATGTAAAAAACAGTTAACTAAAAAAAAATGTAGGTAATTCTATATCAAAAAATGATAAGCTTAATTCTAACTTTGTACAAGATTGTTTCACCATTAATCTTATCTGAAAACCCTCTCACACAGAATAACTTTGCATATTTTTTAAAAAAGGAACGACAGCTTAAGACTACACCCATTAAATATTTGAAATACTCAGAGAAAAGAGAAGACTAACCACAAAACTTGTTTCAATTACTTATTTATGGTTTTTCTAAGATATTAAGTACAATATAAGAAATAACTGCTTTTTTTAAACAGAGGACCTACAATTAGTCATCACCATGAATAGTTCATACTATAATTTTTAAAATTATCTTAAGATCTAAATAACATTTGAAGAAAGATGAGGTAGGAAAACATTTGTAATATTACAGTTAACAGCCTAAAATATAAAGGCTTATTACATCTGTAAGAATAAGATCATCCCATTTTAAATGAACAAAAGAAGCAATTCACAGAAGACAGGAGACACAAAAATGAAAACACTTTTAACCTGACAAAAATGCAAATTAAGGTTTTATTCACCTATGAGCTAAGTGTGAACTTTACAATTTTTTATTGCTACCTACTAAAATATATAAATAGGTGTGCTTTGTGCACCAGAAGTGCCACTTCCAGAAACATCCTTAAGAATTGGTAAGTGTATACAGATGCATGTACACATGGATGTTAACCACAGTCCTCTCTTTATAATTTCACAAAAACTGGGAAACAAACCCAACATCTATCAAGGAAAAAAAATTTACGATAATACAATACTCATAGCTACTCTGCTTTGACATGGAAAGAGGAAACTTCACAGGTCTTTCAGATTTGATTCCAGTCATATAAACACATGATTTATGTGAGGAGGCGAGTCAAGAAAGGAGAGGTAGCAAGGATATAATAATGTCCAAACATAGGCAATCCTGACCTCTAGGTGTGGGATTATGTGAGAGCTTTTGCTCTTTGTAATTCTGGGTTTTGTCCTACCCTCCTTCTTATTCCCCATATGAAGTAGGTGAGGAAAGAAGGAAAACCATGCTTAAGAGCACCTGTTCCAGAGACAAGAGTTCAAATCCCAGCTCTACCACTAAATGGCTGTGAAACCTTGGGCAAACTATTAATACTTCAACTCTTTGTGCTTCCATTTTTTTCATTTATAAAATGGAGAGGCAGAGTTGCCTAGGTTTAAACAAGTTAACATTTGTAAAGCACTGAGAACAATTCCTGGTATACGTGTTAACTAAGTGTTCACTGTCACTAAACTACATAATAATCACAAACAACTGCTTTCAAGTAAATGGGAGAGATAAAAGATGTATGAGAATGAATACAAGAAGTTATATTTTCCCATAATTTAGCATACTACTAATACAAATTCTTCAGTATAGCCAAGTCTTATCAAAGGATAAAATCAAATGATAGTTATTGGTTCAAAAGACTCACCTGGCAAAGTAATATGCTACCATATTTTTACTATCAACCCACCTTCTAGGATTTTCTTCTTTCCTGAACTTAAATTTTACTGGTGTATTTTAATCTATTTTCATACCTGATGTCTTCTAGTATAACACAGAAAGTGATTTTGAGAACTGGTCAAAAGAACAGTTTCAAAATCCCTTTGGATAACACCATCATCACTGTTTTAAGTATAGTTACAGTGAGTATTTTTAGAGATGCTGCATCTGGATAGTGCTTATTCCATGTTAGAAACCAATTTCACTGCTTGCTAGCTGTATGTTACAGGTGTGCAGCAGTCTGGATTAAAAACATACAGGTCCTGGCCCTCTTAATGATGGTCACCTGTCCCACCACTTGAAGTCTCTATTTGTATAACTCTTATTATCCTGTTTCTCAGGAAAGAAAAAAAATAACATAAACTGTAATTATTTGAGGTTTCTAGGTATTTGCGTTATAGTTTGAATGAATAATACATTACTGTTATAAATGTGGGGGTAAGGATCTATGATTTTAATTCTACCAACTGTTACTCACACTCACTTTTCTGTTGATAGCTAGAGCTGACCATAAACTAATCCCTAACCAAACTCACTTTCTGAATTGGTAAAAGTAACACGGCTGAGAAAACAAAACTAGGTTAGGGCTATGTAAGGAGAACAGTCTTTCCTACAGGGTAGAATGTCTAGGAAATTCAGAACCAAAATGATAAAAGGATAATTATACCTTTCATTTTAAAAGAATCATTTATGCTACCATATTTTTACTACCAACCCACCTTCTAGTATTTTCTTCTTTCCTGAACTTAAATTTTACTGGTGTATTTTAATCTATTTTCATACTTGATGTCTTCTAGTACAGCTGAATATAGCCCTGACTAATCTTGCCTTGCAAAAAGTAGTCTATTTTAGGCCGGGCACAGTGGCTCACAACTGTAATCCCAGCACTTTGGGAGGCTGAGGCAGGTGGATCACCTGAGGTCAGGAGTTCAAGACCAGCCTGGCCAACATGGCGAAACCCTGTCTCTACTAAAAATGCAAAAAATTAGCCAGGCGTGGTGGTGGGTGCCTGTAATCCCAGCTACTTGGGAGGCTGAGGCATGAGAATTGCTTGAACCCAGGAGGCGGGGGTTGCAGTGAGCCGAGATCGCACCATTGCACTCCAGCCTAGGTGACAAAAGCAAAACTCAGTCTCCAAAAAAAAAAGAAAAATGTAGTCTATTTTGGAAAGTAGTAAGAATACAAATTTTGATAGAGCATGCAAGTCAGAGCTAATGTGCTCCTGAATGAAGGTAAAGACCTCTGCTGTAAACCACAACAAATGTTCCCTCAGGACCAAAACAGGCTCTGAACAGATTCTCTTGGGTTGAAACAGAGTTCCTCAAGCAAACAAGAAGCTCGTTACTTCCCCATTATTTATTCCCTCTATTTTGACTCTCTGCCCCATCTTGTTAACCTCCCAAGATGAAAGTATCCACTATGCAATACTATTAAAGAAATAACCAAAAGTTCATAGTTAATGAGTCTTAGTAACTTAAATTGTGCTCATATAGCTAAAAATGAAGAACCCTCAGTAGCTGAACACTAGCTTTATAGATATAGTCCCTATTCCATAGCAAGGGGCTTACTAGCTATATGTACAACCTGTTGGAATTAATTTTTAAAAATTAACATCTGATAGATTTAGTTAGGGAAAAGTAAATGCTCCCTTCTTAACCAGAAAGTAAACTGATTTCTTAGGTCAAAAGAAAAAATATTTTGAGCAAAGGCTACAACAGACAATTAAGTAGATGGATTACTACACCAGAGCTTTAGCATAGTGCCTAGTATACAGAAGATGAAACTCAATAAATTAAAAAAAGATATGACTCAGTAAATACTTGCTAAATTAATGATTTTTAAGAACGGAGGCTTTGTAGGGCAAAACATATTTAAAGAAGCTAACAGAGATAGGGAATGATTAGAAGGAAGAATCCCTAACTTTCCTGGTAATTATTACAACAAAAAGCCTGCTGCCAGGAACAGATGAGTTAAGATAAAGTAGAAGTAAAGGTTTTCAGAAACCAAACCAACAAAAAGCCAAGGGATAATGAATTATATACCTATCTAGTTCTCACTGTCTGTCTTTTATCCTTCATTGTGTCAGACTAACCTTACCCATAGTTAATATGTGATTTGGGGAGGCTTTATTCTACATACAAACTCTTCACTCACCATCTTTTCTTTTCATACTTTTCTTGTAGAAACTCTTTCACTTTTTGTGGATCCCTGAAGTCTGGAATTGCTGAAGATCTATCATCAAATAATCCTAGCCAAATCTGTTTACAGACCTTTGGAAAGAATTAAAAAAATATATGTTAAATTCAACATCTTCACTTAATGAAATTTTAAGGGGATACTATGATTCTTTCAGGAAGCTAATCTACATAATAATTTTAATAATATGCTTTCAATGAGGATACTAATAAACAGGAACTAAATTTATTTTTAATATGTTGCAGTATGCAGTAAAATTTTAGCAACAAAATCATTAAAAAGGGGAAATGAAGAGTGAAGTGGGATTTCAGAGGACCTGGGGTCTTTTCAGTCTTGGCATAATCATAAACTTCACCATTAGCAAAGTCATGTAACCTGCTCAGTTCCCTTACAAAACAAAGGAACTGAACCAATGGCTATTTCACAGGCCCTTTAGCAAGTCTAAAAAACCAAAAAGAACAAACAAAAATACTAGAATCATAAACACTTTAAAATTGTAACAATAAACACAAATATAAGGCAAACACACTATTAGCTTTATAGCTGTCTCCTATGCATTTTTGGTCCAATAGCTAAAAAATGAGAATCTGAGATATTTAACTTTCAGAAAAACCAAAAGAGAAATGAAATAAAATAGCACAAAAAGAACTATAAAGAGAAAAACTGATAAAGCAGACTTCATCAAAATAAAAAACTATTCTTCAAAAAAACTTAAAAAGTACAAAAATCAAGACACCAACTGATCAAAAGTATTTGTAAAATGTATAAGAACTTGAAACTGGAATATATAAAGAATTCCTACAACTCAATTATAAAAGACAGATAACCCAACACTTGTTTTGGTTTTTGTTTGTTTGAGAAAAGGTCTGTCTCTATCACCCAGGATGGAGTGCAGTGGTGCAATCTCAGCTTATTGCCTCCCAGGCTCAAGCCATCCTCCCACTTCAGCCTCCTGAGTAAGCTGGGACTACAGGAGTGCAGCACCACAGGTGGCTAATTTTTTGTATTTTTTGTAGAGATGGTGTTTCACCATGTTGCCCAGGCTGGTCTCGAACTCATGAGCTCAAGCGATCTGCCCGCCTCAGCCTCCCAAAGTGCTGGGATTACAGGCGCGAGCCACCATGCCCAGCCAACACTTGTTTAAAGCGGGGGCAAAAGGTCTGAACAAACACTTCACCAAAGATATCAGCAGCCCACTATCATTAGTCATGCATAAAATGCAAATTAAAATGACACTGAGGCCGGGTGCAGGCGGATCACCTGAGGTCAGGAGTTCGGGACTAGACTGGCCAAAATGGTGAAACCCCATCTCTACTAAAAATACAAAAAAATTAGCCAGGCGTAGTGGTGCATGCCTGTAATCCCAGCTACTCAGGAGGCTGAGTCAGAAGAATGGCTTGAACCCAGGAAGGGGAGGTTGCAGTGAGCCAAGATCATGTCATTGCACTCCAGCCTGGGCGACAAGAGCAAAACTCTGTCTTTAAAAAAAAAAAAAAAAAAAAAAAGACACTGAGACTCCACAAGACAGACATGCATATACTACTAGAAAAGCCGAAAACAAAGTGTGACTGCATCATGTGTTGGTAACAATGTGGAACAACCGGAATTCTTTAGAATGTAAAATGGTGTAAGCACTTTGGAAAACATTTGGCAGTTTCTCAAGAGTTAAACATAGACCTAGCATATGATGTAGCCATTCTACTTCTAGGTATTTATTCAAGAAAAATAAAAGCACTTTTCCACACTCAGACTGTACATAAATATTTGTAGCAGCTTTACTGATAATAACCCCAAACTGGAAATCACCCAATTGTTCATAAACAAGTGAATAAACAAATGGGAGAATATCCAAAGAAGAACATTATTCAGCAATTAAAAGGAGAAAACCATTAATACAAGAAACATGAATAAACCTCAAGATTATGCTGAAAGAAACATGTGCACCCCCCCACCAAAACGTATATACTGCATATTTCCATTCATTTAAATTTTTAATGTAAACCAGTCTACAGCGATGAAAAGCAGATCAGTGGATTCATTACAAAGGGTTGCACAATGAAAATATATGCTATCTTGTTATTGTGGTAGTGGTTTCATGATACATACAAATGTCAAAACTCATCAAATTGTACACTTTAAGTATGTACACGTTATCAGTTTAAATATCCAAGTTATCAACTATTCCTCAGCAAAATTATCAAAAACAAGTCCACGAGTTTCCAAAATACATTATTCTAAAGAATAAGCAATTACGACACTATGAAAAGAGCATAGTATCTGGTTTCAAAAACCCTGACAAGTATTTAAGAAATCAGGGAAGGAAAAGCGTACTTCTCAATCTTACCTGCTCACTGAACTGGGTATGGGAGAAATAAGAGAAAGGTTAGGAGAAAGGACTTGCCCTTCTCCTTTCCTATCATGTCCCCAAATCTGTTTCAAAACATTTCTTGTGGGTCGGGCGTGGTGGCTCACGCCTGTAATCCCAGCACTATGGGAGGCCAAGGCAGGCGGATCATGAGGTCAGGAGATCGAGACCATCATGGCCAACATGGTGAAACCCCACCTCTACTAAAAATACAGAAAAAACAAATAGCTGGGCATGGTGGCGCATGCCTGTAACCCCAGCTACTCCAGAAGCTGAAGCAGGAGAATCGCTTGAACCCGGGAGTCAGAGGTTGCAGTGAGCCGAGATTGCGCCACTGCACTCCAGCCTGATGACAGAGTGAGACTCCGTGTCTGTCTGTCTATATATATATTTCTTGTGGTTCCTTCCTATTCCAGGCTCAGTACAGATACTATAAAGTCATTTAGGAAGTGACAGTTAAAACGAGTGAGAACTAGAGTAAGGCACAATCCATTATGAAAACATTTCACTGGCAACGCCTGAGAAGTACAGACATCCAGGAACATTAGTACAACTTACTGCCAGAAATACTACAGACCTTTAAGAGACCCAGCTTGTCCAATATTTAGCCACTTACAAAGAACTACATGGGACTCTCCTCAGGCAGAAACCTAACTAATGATTCTCCCAAAATGTAATTCTTTAAGATTTTTAAAGATTTATCAGTTACATTCATAAAGGGAGGCCTGGAAGTTTTTCATTCTTCTATTTTAAAACTTCCCAAATGAGAAAACAAGAGACAGGGTAGTTATTTACCCAAAGCCATGAAACTATTGACTGTATTTGATGGACACTTTACTATATTCCAAAACCTCTGCCACATACCACTTTTAAAACTAAAATCAATAAATGAATAAATAATAAGCATACAAATAAATAAATAAAATGAAGCAGATGGGCTAAGGGCAGACAGATCATAGAGCTGCCATCTTGGCACTCGTAACGCAAAGCAAAGATGGAGTGCTTGATGATAAACTATTTGACATAAGCAGCCTGCAGGATTCCCTCAAAATTGTTTACTAACTGCTGTGGTTCTGTTCCTGCTCTCTGGAAGGTCACACTGCTAGAGAAAAAAGTCATTAAAAATAGCTGCTTGAGTCCTCTACAAATTCAAACTGTCTCACTGTCAAAGTCCCTCAAAGTTATTAATCGGCTCTAATTTCCTATTATATTGCCCCACAGCAGCTATTTCCTATATTTATAGATCAAAATCCTAACCAATCTTAACACTCTTGACAGTTGAATTCTTACTCAAGTGAAGTAACTCTCAATATGTGATTCCCAGTTCCGTAAATCAGCAAGCAACATCAGTGTCAACTAAGAACTTGTTGGAAATGCAAATTTTCAGGAGCAACCCAAGACATGTGAAATCAGTCCCTCTAGGTAGAACCCAGCAATCTGTTTTATCAAGTCCTCCAGGTTATTCTGAAGTGGGCTAAAGTTTGAAAACCAATGCTTTAGTAACATCTAGGCCACCAGATGGAAACTTACTTTCTACCTGTAATTTTATTCATCTTTCCTTGCCTCTGTATCAGAACACCAGAGAGAGAGGGAAAGAGAGATTCAAACTATACACAGCTTTCAGCATCTCCCAAATTTAGCCAGTAAGCCTATTACGGGGTAAGATTCATTTAACACAGACAGTGTTTCAGTGACACACCTGGGAAAACATCAATCTCTAATTCCTTATGACCTACTCACAGTTTAGTCCCTGAAAGGTTGCATTCTGCTCCCAACATTCTACTAACATTGCTATTTCAGGCATCTAGATTTGCTGATAGAGTATAAAGTCTCTTTTCTGCTTGTTTTGGTTTTTTACTAAAATAAACACCATCAACTGAAAAAAGGGGGTTTCAAGGTTGGGAAAAAAGGGAGAGAATGAACTAACTAGGAAGCACTGAAGACTTGTGGCCATCAATATATAAAGTGAAACTAGTCCGAAGGCTTTTTTTCTCCAGCTTTATCTGGCTATTTAGGTAAAAGTAGGTAGAATATTGGTTTAATCAAGCAGAATATGACAGAAGTTGGAAAAAGGTGATTATATTAACAGACCATGGAATCTAAGCTAAGAAAAATAAAGACATCAGGAGGAAGACGGATAACAAAGGGATTTAGTGAAATGAAGGAATAGAGATGCTGATGATTGTCCCAAAATTGTTGGCTCCAGTATTAGAGTAAGCCAGGAAGAGAGAATCAGTGGTGGTCAGAGAGCTGGATGCTTGAAACTGAAATCTGGGAGGTGATACAGTTATCAATCAATAAAAGGTCTAAAGTAGTATGAAGGATCACTGGAGGTCAAGGAATTCAGAGGGCCATGCAGATATCTACGTGGATACTGGAATTGCCAAAATGATTAACACTAGTGAGAATAAAAACAGTACCTAAAATGAATGAGGGGGCTGAATACGATGGCTCACTCCTGTAATCCCAGCACTTTGCGAGGCCCAAACGGATGGATTGCTTGAGCCCAGGAATTCAAGACCAGCCTGGGCAACATGGCAAAATACAGTCTCTACAAAAAATATAAAAATTCACTGAGCATGGTGGTGCATGTGTAGTCCCAGCTACTCGGGAGGCTGAGGTGAGAGAATCACCTGAGCCTGGCAAGTAGAGGTTGCAGTCACCCTTGATCATACCACTCTACTCCATCCTGGGTGTCATACAGTGAGACCCTGTCTCTAAATAAATAAATAAATACTGAATGAGGGAGACCGACTGGTATGACTGCAACAAGAAGATGCAGCAAGTGATAAAATCTATTGACATTAAAAGTGGGGGTGAGGGGCTAAAAACAGCACTGAGGAGCAAGAATGACACCTAAAACAAGGAATTATATGCAACAATGGAATTGGTTTTGATGGTCTCTTTTGGGGGAGGTGAATAATCAATTCTAATTGTAGAATAATGTGATGGTTATGGTAGTTAATGAGCTTGGACAAGGGAATCAGACTGCATGAGTTTGAATTCCAACTCTGTATGCTGCTATTTGACTTGAGCAAGTTAACATTTATCTGTAAAATGCAAATAATAATATAACCTATTTCATAGGGAGGTTTAGAGTTAAGTAAATTAATATATGTTTTGTACTGGGAACAGGTATATAAACTTTAAATAGTATTAGTTTGGCCAGGTGCAGTGGCTCACGTCTATAATCCCAGCACTTTGCGGGGTCAGGAGGTAAAGACCAGCCTGGACGAAATGGTGAAACCCCGTCTCTACTAAGAACACACACAAAAAAATAAGCCGGGCATGGTGGCATGCACCTGTAATTCCAGCTACTCAGAAGGCTGAGGCAGGAGAATTGCTTGAGCCCGGGAGGCAGAAGGTGCAGTGAGCTGAGATCGTGCCACTGTACTCCAGCCTGGGTGACAGAGCAAGACTGTCTCAAAAAACAACAAAAAAAATTGTATTAGTTATATTACTTTTGGGCCTGGTCTCTTAAGTGGTTTGCAGTGATGGGCTATGGAGTGATGAAATAAGCAATGACTGGGAAGGGTGGTCTTACCAGGAAAATACAGGAAGCTGTAGATCTCCCTTCATTCCTGCTGCAGACACAATCATAGTGGTCTTGACAGAGCACTCTCCCTCCTCTGAACTTCTAGCATTTTGTAGCTCTCACAGGAAACTCATTCCAAACTGCCTAGTAGTAGAATCACGGAGCATGTGTCTCATTTACTTTTGGATTCCCCATAATGCTTCAAATAATGGGCTGTGCCATATTAAGTGTTCAATAAACTGGCAATACTCAAAGCCAGATATTATGGAAGAACTAAAAATAAAATCACACCAGACAACAGAATAAATTCATAAAATTGATAATTTTTTCCCTTAGTCCTAATCCACTCTATAATTGGAATCATAACAGACACTGACAGAATCTAAAACATGTTAAAGCATATTTTATCAGTCAGTTACTATAGAAATGGATGGCACAGTCAATTTGGATAATTTGAAGGAAGTTTAATAAGGAGACTGTTACGAAGCATAGGTGGGTTGTAAGGAAATCACAAGTGAGAGTGTTATATCCCAGGGTTAGTAACAGCAGGGCATATCACTACCCATTGGCAGTAAAGCAGGGGAAGAAAGAAAAATGTCAGCTGCCTGATAGGAACTGGAAACTTCAATGGAAGGATGCGGCCAGGCTACAGAAATCCCACAGGAAGAAGTCATGAAAAGTAAAAATCCTAACCTCTCTCTCCTCCTTTCCTTCAATCAGCTGAAAATGTTCCCCACCAGCTGAACCCAACTAGAAAGCAGGGACAAGAAGCCCATTTGTATATCCAGACAGACCAGCTGCTTGGAGCCAGAGCAGGGAAAAGACTGGAGTGAGAAGTGCAGATAGCAGCTATCCAGCACAGCAGCCAACTCATGATAATAAATATATACAGGGCTAGCAATTTAACAAACTCAGTTATGAATACCAAAAATAGGAAACCTCCATACTCATTCCCAATTACTCATATATAAAAGGAAAGGTAAGAATCAGTATTATATCAGTAATCCTTGAGGGGGACAGCAAATTGGAGTGGAAACTTGTTGAAATGGATATTCACCTTTATTTGGAGAAAACCTTATTTTCATAAAAAGGATAAAAAGAATAAACCACATGGCATGACTCTGCTTATAACCTCTATATAGAAAGATAAAAGAATAAGGAAAGGACAGAGGATCTGGAATTTAGAGAATCTTTTTTCACTAAGCCAATCTACATACATCCAACTAGATTTCATACTTTCTTTTTTGTCCTTTCTCTATTAGTAGAGATGGAGTAATCCTCTAGGTAATCCTGCCTCCTTTTGTATGTAAGATATAATCACAGCACTTAATAATTCTGCCCATAAAACACAGGAACAAATAACAGAATAGTTTAAAAACTGAAAATTTGATGAACAAGTAATCAATATCCACTTTTTGGAAGTAGAAAAACTGAACAAAAATAAATATTAACAAACAGTAAATACCATTAGAAGCTCTCTAAACAGGTACCGTGGACCTATACAAAATTCTATTACCAACATATTATTTTGCCCTAAAAGGAATAAACGAGGGAGAAAAAGTCCATACTCAGAGAAATAATCTCAAATATATGCCATGACTCAAGTAAAATACTGGAAAAACAAGTACATTATTAAGTACATTATTAACATTTCCTACACGGATCCAGCCTACATTACTTTGACTGTATTGCTAGACCACCAGCTGATTAGTATTTCTGACTGACACATATCTAAACAATACATAAACTGAATGATGCCTGCACAAACAAAAACACTATCCACATGTGCTTTATACAAGAGAAACTGATGGTTTTGCATTTACATACATCTTTTTTAGGAACTTTACAGTATACTCTATCTTAACATTTGGTTTTATAAAATGTGCTAGCAAGAATTAGAACTTATGCAACTGAGTAACTAAAAATAGGCACACACAAGCTGTATGTGAGATCTCTGAGGCATAGTGCCTTTGTGAACCAGCCACATAAATGGACAGGTAAGGTAGTATCAGACTTAGGCGATATGAAATCCGACTTGTTTATTTTGTCCTAGGGTTTCTTTAAAAGTAATTTATTTAAGCACAAACTACCTTATAACAGCTTCCTTAACGTAAAAATCAAATTCTTCATCACAGCCTATTAGGCTTAACAGAATGTGACCCCTGATTAGCCCTCCAAACTAATTTCTAAACTCTTTCCAGCCTACTGGCCTCCTCAGAAAGTCTTCCCTAACCACCCAATCCAAAGGGACAATAATCCCTCTACCAAATCGCAGATACGCACTCTCACATTATTTTCACTACCTTTATCTCATAATTTTTAAATGCTATGTCATGAGGCAGGAACCTCCTCTCTGATTCAACACTATTTGTATGCTTGGTACCTGACACACAGTAAGCACTTAATACCTGGTGTATGAGTGAAAGCAACTTCCTTAACAGCCCTCAAATGTATGCACAATAGAAATTCTCTTTTTTCTTTTGTTCCATCTAAAATATACACACTGACCTAGAACATTTAGTTCCCCAACTTATTTAGGTAGAAATAATAAATTCACTGATCCAAATTCTCACGTCATATACAGCCAGGGATCAGCAAACTGGGCTAAATCTGGGGCCTATGTGTGTAGATAAAGTTTTCTTAGAACACAGTCACACCCACTTGCTTACGTATTGTCTATGACTACTTTCAGCTACAACATCAGCATTAACTGCAACAAAGACCTTATGGCACCCATAAAGCCTAAAATATTTACTATCTGACTCTCACAGAAAAAGTGTGCCAACCCCTAACATACCTACAACCATGGACTATGCTACCATCCCAGCATCCAAGACTAGTAACAATTTAAATAGGATAATAAAAACCTGTTTTAGAGGCATATCTAAACAATACATAAACTGAATGATGCCTGCACAAACAAAAACATATTAGAATGTGCACAGGGAATAACATAGAGAGATGGGCAAAAACTTTCCCCTGGAGGAAGAACTTCCCAACAGCAAGGACTATCTGAGAGCCAATTTATTATACATACTGATTCACTTGATAATATAGGAGAAAAAGTACCAGAATAAGTTTTGGTGAAAGATTAATAGGTATTTAACACTTGTTTTCTAAGTAACTACTAAGTACAAAGAAACAGAAATGATAAAACATTTGAAAAGGGATTAGGAAATCTCACAAAGGAAAAAAAAGAAGCAAATATTTAGAATACTAGAGAGAAATATAATGCAATGGATAGTAAGAAAACTTACTTGCAAGTATCTGCGTTGTGAAGGAGAGCAACAACTCTAATTCAGACATCTACCATAAGGACTTAGTAAAGGGCAGCACACACAGCTCACATACCCATACCTTATTTCACTTAAGGTCTCTAACATCAGAACTGTGTTCTAGATAGGATGAAAAGAATCGAAACCCAGCTATATTAGCTTGGAGAAAAACAGATTTGCAGACAGCATACACCAAAGCACTCCACCAAAATAAAACAAATACTTCATGGGAACCAGGAATGCAAACAGGAAACTATCTGGGACCTGGGCAGTCTGAGTGCCTATCTCCTAAGCCCCCTCTCAACTCACCCCTCCACCAAGACATAGTTTATCATTTTGCTTCTCATACTATGTCTTGTCTCCACTCTTGCTTCTCTAAAGTACTACTTTTTGTTTGTTTACTTGTCAGCCTGCACAGAGCCCACTACATACAATTTTTCAGTTCAGATGACTCGTTGTTTTGAATACAGCCTCTGTGAACCTTAATTCAATTTCTGAAGAAACAGGACCTGATAAGTCACTAGCCCCAGGGTTAGGTGTCCATTCCTGGTACAATCAGGGGTGTGGATGTGTGTGCGTGTGCATGTGTGTGTGTGTATGTGTGGTGCTGTGTTTCGTGGTTTTCCCAGGGCAATAAGCCTTCTCTTCTTTCAGTAAGGAGCATGAGTACAGTAAGCACCCCTCCCTACCCCCCTCAACACACAGGTTATTTATGAATGAACTTTGTAAATTACAAAGAGCTTTATAAATTTAAGACTTATTATTAGTGAAGTCATAGTAGTTTCAAGGAAGATTATCATCTGCCCAACTATCTCAAACTAAGATAACATAAGTAAATTACCCTGTATGGTATGGTGCCTGGCACAGAACAAGGGCTCTGCCTTTTAATTTTATTTACTCTGCCTTTCACGAGTTTCCTTGTTTTATCTAGTTAAATATATCAGTTTTTACTTTGTGACTTCTTCCATTGCTTTCAGTCTATAAAGTTCTTCTGCATTCAAATGCTAAATATGTAGTTGGCTATTTGGCTGTATTTTCTATAGTAATCACTCTTTGTGTTTTACTGTTACCCACCCCCACCATGTATACATCCTTAAACATTACAATTTAGTTCTGCTTGGTTTTTTAATTACAAAATAATTTATTTTACAGAAAAGTTGATAGTGGAAACACATCCCACATACCCTTTACCAAGTCTCCAACGGTAACATTTGCTTTATCATTCTCTTGAGAAAAATAATTTTTTTAATGAACCATTTAAATTGGTGACATAACAAGCCTTTTACCCCTAAATGTATATTTCCTAAAAATAAGTACGTTCTTTTACATAACCATAGCACAATTATCAAAATCAAGACATTAATATTTTATATTATCTGATCTAAAGATTAGTCAGTAATCTTAATAATGGCCTTTATAGCAAAAAGAAAAGGTTTTCCTTGTCCAGAATCCATTAACTGTCTTGTCTCTTTTAATGTGGAACATTCTTTACTCTTTCTGTCTTTCATGACTATGATATCTTTGAAGAGTACAGGCCAGCTGTTTGGTGGTATGTCTCTTCCTCTGGGCTTCCTCATGATTAAATTAAAGTTACGTATTTTGGGGAAGATACTATGTAAGTGACGTGTCCTTCCCAGTGTATCATTATGAAGAAAGATACACAACATCAATTTGTCCCAGTACTGGTGTATACTTGGATTATTTGGTTAAAATGTATCTTTATCCATTTAAAGTCACTGTTTGTCCCCCTTGGGATTAATAAACATTTTGCAGGTAGATCTTTTGAGACTGTTTTCTACATGTTTATGGCTTCCTTTATGACTTACATTTTAATGCTAAAATTTTTCTGAAATTTTGGTGTATCATGTCAGGTAACATTCTAGTTAATTTTCCATTCATTGAATAACCAACTTCCACACTGAATGCTGAAATTCTTTTGTTTTACAAGATCATCCACATTTATAATATATGAAGGTTACAGTATATCTCAGGATCTAATCTACAGATCCGTGCCTATCCTTGCACTAGTTTCAGGTTGCTTTAATTATTGACTATTTACAAACAGTAAATAATTTTACAAATTATTCCCAACTAGTTTTACTTTTCTGTTCTTTTGGATGAGCTTTAGAATTATTTCCTAAAAAGAAAAAAAAAAAAATCCCAACAGTGTTTCCATTCCAATTGTTCTAAACTTACTTTGTGACGCCTCTTAAAGCAAAGCATTCTCACTCCCAAAGATATTATGAATCTGATATGCAAGGTTTCAAGGAAAAATTAACCAAAGGTGTGTTCTTGCCTCCCTACCTCACATATAGATGTACACACAGAAAAAGCTTTACATTTTTTACATTTTCCAGAATACACCTGGAACAAACAAGGAGTTGAGCAAGGGAGTAGCAGAAGAGGGCTAGCTTGTTTGGTCATATAACCTTCAGAAATGATTAAGAACTTTATATTTTGTCTTGATATGAAGTAAGAATTGTTTGTGGATTATCTATGGTTTAAGGATATCATCAATACCAGCCACCTCTTAAAACAAATACACTCATCCATTATTTAGTTCAATCTAGGACTCAATCATAGTGATCTATTTGTACTGATACTCTATTGTCTTGTTGTCCTGGTGACTGAAGGCATGCATTTGTGAGGCAGCTGACCGAGGTTTAGAATGTAGTCATTGGCCAAGGAACAGAGAGAATTAGCACAAATTCAAAACAAGCCCCTGAAGTAAACCACATTTGTACAATATTCTATGTAAATAAACCAAGAGGTGGGGAAGAAACAGTTTTCTTTCAACATTTCTGAATACACGGGTGGCTCACAGGTTAATTAAAAAAAAAAAAAGGAACATTCAGGCAAAGCTCTTCTAGGTAAAAACAAGATTTGCAGAAGTTTTAAATAGGTTTCAAAAACAGATTACCTCATTGAACAAAGAGGGGAAAATTTGGGCATCAGCAAGAATAACTGAGTGAAACATATCAAATAAATAAATTCATAGTAATTTAAAAAAAACCTAATTGCTTGCTGTTGGAAATGTTATGAAACTATTTTGAAGAGTTCAATATTGAAGACCACAAATGGTGGTGCACCATATCTACTGATATTTATAAATAGTTTTAATGTTCTTAAAAGAAGAATAAAACTATTGCATCTTAATGTAAATAACTTTTATTTATAAAAACAGCTTTTTCCAAAACAAAAAAAATTAGTGAAAAGGCGCTTTTTTTTTTTTTTTTTTTTTTTTGAGACAGAGTCTCGCTCTGTCGTCCAGGCTGCAGTGCAGTGGCGCCATCTCGGCTCACTGCAAGCTCCGCCTCCCGGGTTCATGCCATTCTCCTGCCTCAGCCTCCCAAGCAGCTGGGACTACAGGCATGTGCCACCACGCCCAGCTAATTTGTTAGTATTTTTAGTAGAGACAGGATTTCACCATGTTAGCCAAGATGGTCTCGATCTCCTGACCTCGTGGATCCACCTGCCTCGGCCTCCCAAAAGTGCTGGGATTACTGTTGTAATTTTTGTAAACTTCATTAATGCCTTGTTAGGTAGGAGCCAGCTGATTTCTCATCTGCTTCCGCATTTTTATGTTATGTAGCTTCTGGAAAACTCTGTATACCCATGAAAACAGGAGTAAAAAAACAGCAAACTGAGTCTCAGTATTATTAAATTTTTTTTTTTAACTTTAAAGAACCTCTGAAAAGGTCTCAAGGATCCCTTACAAGTCCCAAACTGTACTTGGAAAACTACTGAGTTAGACTATCACCATTTTACAATTGCTAATTAGTGGATGTAGGCACTGAGCATTAGCTGCTAACATGACCAAAAATTAAAACTTTTAAAGTGGTTTTTGATTAAAAAAACACCACACAACCTATGAAATAGTGGATCTTTCCCATTCCTGAAATTAAGCCTGAATCTTAAGAAACTACTACAGCCAACCACCGGTTTATAGGTAACTGGGAGAACAGAGGAACGTTGACACTACGTGGATGGCATTAGCAAAATCCAGAAGGTGGAATAAATGACTTGGTTAGCAGGAGGGCAGAGAATAAGAATGAGTGACTGGAGAGGAAACTTAGAGGATAAAAAAAGACTTAAAAGGGCGAGCAGTGTAGATTTCCACCAGTAGTGGCAAAAAGCCTCAGGTTAAAACCCCAACTCTCCAGCAGATAACAACTATAAACTCTGGACAAAGTCTATTAAGACACTACAGAGCAACCACAAACAAGCTGAAGAGGAAAGAAACAGCACTAGGTATGTGCCTATGTGCTTTTTTTTTTTTTTTTTTTTTAAGGAACATCACTTGAAAGCAGTCATGCAGGGCTGCTAAAACTCAAACAGAAATACACAAGCCTTAAAGCTTAAAGTACAAGAAGACAAGAGGTTCACCACAGCCATAGCAACTGGAAAGTGAGGGCTAAATCCCAGAAGAGAGATGGCCAGAGAAAGAAAATAGGTACCACAAAACTTGCATATCCACTTTTCCCAAGTCTCTGGCTCACTCCTGACCTATGTGTGCATGGGGCTGACTTCAAACAGTTCAATTAAAGAACTGAGCAGATTTCAGCTGGCACTCATCATGGGAGCAGCAGAATTTGCTAAAGTAAAAAACAAAACAATTAAAACCAATAGTTTATGAAGGAACAAAACAGAATCCAGAGGCACTACATATACAAAGAAACAGGAAATTATGACCCATAATCAAAAGAAAAATCAAACAGCGACAGATTCTGCAATGATAAAGATTTTAGAATAAGCAGGCAATAACTTAAAATAGCTAGTATACTTATATTCAAAAACATATTACAGGCTGGGTGCAGTGGCTCATGCCTGTAATCCCAGCATTTTGGAAGGCCAAGGCAGGTGGATCACGAGATTAGGAGTTCAAGACCAGCCTGGCCAAGACAGTGAAACTGAAACCCTGTCTCTACTAAAAATACAAAAATTAGCCAGGCATGGTGGCGGGTGCCTGTAATCCCAGCTACTCGGGAGGCTGAGGCAGAGAATCACTTGAACCTGGGAGGCGGAGGTTGCACTGAGCCAAGATTGTGCCACTGCACTCCAGCCTGGACGACAGAATAAGACTCCGTCTCAAAAACAAACAAACAAACAAAAAAAACAAAATAAAAAGACCATATCATATAAGAAAACATCCTTGCAATAAATAAAAATGAACAAAATCTGAGCAGAGAAATGGAAACTCTAGAAATAACAGAAAAAATACAAATGCTAGAGATGGAAAAGACAATATCTAAAGTTAAAAATTAGAGCTTAGAGATAACAGAAGAGTGAGCTTAGGATAAGAGAGAAATTGTCCAATCTGGAAAGTAAAAAGATGGAGGGAAAAAAATTAAGAGCCTCTGGAAACTGCAGAACAGTATCAAAATGCCTAACATCCATGCAATTGGAATCTCAGAAGGAGAGCTGAGAGAGAATGAGGCAGAAAAAATATTTGGAAGGAAAATGATAAAATTTTCCCAATTTGGTAAATGAAAAATGTACAGATTCAAGATCATCATCAACCACAAGTAGGATAAATACATACACATACACAAAGCATATCCAGGTGCATCACAGTCACATTCTGAAAACAAAAATAAAGTGTTTCACAACTACCCATCACTACAAAGAAAAAACAATATAAGTATGAGATAAAGTAAATTTCAAAAAAGAGTATTATCAAACATAAAAAAGATATTACATAATGGTGGCATAATCAAGAAGACATAATAATTATATAACAGCACCAATAATAAAGTTTCAAAATACATGCAGCAAAAAATGATGTATTTATTACAGAAAAAAATATGTAAATCCACACCAGCTGTCCAATTCTATCTGCAGTTGCTTAACTAGACGAAATCAGTAACGTGGATCCACAACATCTAAACACCATCAATCACAGAGCTATAATTGTCATTTATAGAACACTACACCCAACAACTTCAGAAAACACACTCCTTTCAAGTACACACTGTACACTCACCAAGACAGAACACGTGCTGGACCATAAAGAGATCTCAATAAAAAGGAAAGCAGTGAAAATATATCAAAAATGTTCACTGATGATACAGAATTAACTCAGCAATCAATTACAGAAAAGGACCTAGGAAAACCTCAAATATGTAAAAATTAAACCACTACTTCTAAATAAATCAATGGGTCAAAGAAGGCCCACAAGGGCAATTAGAAAACATTTTGAACCAAATGATAAAATACATCAACATTTGTATAGCACAGTTAAGTAGAGCTTAGAGGGAAAATGATCACTTTAAAATGTTAATAGTTGACAATATGAGTTTGAACTGTGCATGTCCGCTTAAACACAAATTTTTTCAATAAAAGTTACACCAAGTTGGCTGGGCACAGTGGCTCAAGCCCATAACCCCAGCACTCTGGGAGGCCAAGGCAGGCGGATCATTTGGGCCCAAAAGTTAGAGACCAGCCTGGGCAACATAGTGAAGCTCTATCTCTACTCAAAATACAAAAATGAGCCAGGCGTGGTGGTGTATGCCTGTGGTCCCAGGTGCTTGGGAGGCTGAGGTGGGAGAGTCACCTGAGCCCAGGAAGTCAAGGCTGCAGTAAGCCATGATCCAGCCACCGCACTCCAGCCCGGGAGTGACGGAAGTTGAGACCCTATCTCAAAAAAAAAAAAAAAAAATTTACACCAAGTGTCCCTGCCTCTTCCGCCTCCCCTCCACCTCTCCAGTCTGTTATCTCCAAGACAGCAAGACCAGTCCCTCCCTCCTCCTCTTCCTCCTCCTCAGCCTACTGAACACAATCTACTTCCACTTAATAAACAGTAAATACATTTTCCCTTCTTTATTAATGTCTTAATAACATTATCTTTCCTCTAACTCTGTATTCAAAGAGCAAGCTGTAGAATCAATGACCTCAGGTCCCACCTTTAGTAAGCTAAAAATGAGGAAATAACCCAGAGTAAACAGAAGGAAATAATAAAAGAGCAAAGTAATTATAGATCCCATACACATTAAGAGAACAAGACTATTATGAATAACTTTATGTCAATAAATATGACAACTTAGATGAAATGAGCAAATTCCCTGAAAAGTACAATTTATCAAAACCAATATGACAAACAGATAATCTGCACTGTGGTCATTTTCACTCTCCACCACAGTGACACTCAGATCCTGGTGTGCCTTTCCAACTTCCCAAAGAGCCCAGTCATCTCAATTTGGGCAGCTGGTCAAAGGTGACTGAGTCATCAACTCCCAGATTCCACCACTTGGTGCCCAAAGCTGCCAACAGTGGAGGGAGAAATGAGGAAGGAAGGGAGAGAAAATCCAGCTTGGTCTCCATGTCTCACAATGGTAGCTCAATCAGGTAGACCATATAAAAACAGGCAACAGGCCAAATTTGGCCCACAGGCTTTAGTTGGTCAACCCCTGACCCAGAATATCTAACGCAATCTTTAAAAACAGAAAACTGAAGGATTTGTACTACCTGACTTCAAGATTTACTAGGAAAGCAGAGTAACCAAAAGACAGTGTTGTATGGCATAAGGGTTAACAAATACACAAATGACACTATATAATAGAGAGCATATAACCCGTAATTATACGGTCATTTCTTTTTTTTTTTTTTTTAATTGAGACAACTTCTCACTTTGTTGCCCAGGCTAGAATGCAGTGGTGCAATCACAGCTCACTGCAGCCTAAAACCTCCCCAAAGCTCAGGTGATCCCCCCACCTCAGCCTCCCAACTAGCTGGGAATACAGGTGCACACCACCATGCCTGGCTAACTTTTGTATTTTTTGTAGAGACAGGGTCTCACCATGTTGCCCAGGTTGGTCTTGAACTCCTGGGCTCAAGCCATCTGCCCACCTCTGCCTCCCAAAGTGCTAGGATTACAGACGTGAACCACCATGCCCTGCCTGGTCATTTCATTTTTGACAAAGACTCCAAAGCAACACCGAGGAAAGAAAAGTGTTTTCAACAATAGAGCTAGAAGTGTATATATTCATGTAAAAATATGAAACTCAATCCCTATCACACCATACACTAAAATTAATTTGAGATGGATCACAGATGTAAATGTAAAGCTTCTAAAATAAATAAGATTATCCTCATGATTTGAGAGGAAGCAGATTTTTTAAGACAGAGAAGAGGAACCATTCACTATAAAACAAAAAACTAATAAATTGTATTTCATCAAAATGACAAAACTTCCGCTTGCCAAAAGATATCAAAAAGAAAATAAATGAGGGCCAGGCATGGTGGCTCATGCCTGTAATCCCAGCACTTTGGGAGGCCGAGGCAGGTGGATCACCTGAGGTCAGGAGTTCCAGATCTGCCTGGCCTACATGGCAAATCCTCATCTCTACTAAATTACAAAAAATTAGCTGGGACTGGTGGTGTGCGCTTGTGGTCCTAGCTACTCGGGAGGCTGGGGCACAAGAACCAACTGAACCCAGAAGGCGGAGGTTGCAGTGAGCCAAGATCGCGTCACTGTACTCCAGTCTGGGCAACAGAGTGAGACTCTGTCTCAAAAAATTAAAAACAAAAAACAAAAAACCACAGACTGGGAGAAAATATTTACTAAGGATATATCTGACAAAGAAGAATGAACAAATTATAATTTATTCATAGAATAGAAGCCAATACTTGGTAATAAACAGGAAAAAGTACAAGCATCCACGTGCATAACTCTCAAAAGAAGGTTTACTTTGGTTGGGCACTGTGGCTCAGGCCTGTAATCCTCGCACTTTGGGAGGCCAAGACAGGTGGATCGCTTTAGTCAGGAGTTTGAGACCAACTTGGGCAACACAGTGAGATCTCGTCTCTACAAAAATAAACAGTATTAGCCAGGCATGGTGGCACGCACCTGTAGTCCCAGCTACTTGGGAGGTTAAGGTGGGAGAACTGCTTAAGCACAGGTGGTCAAGGCTGCAGTGAGCTGTAATCGCACCACTGCACTCCAGCCTGGACAACAGAGTAAGAACCTACCTCAAAAAAAATAAAAAAGGAAGGAGGGTTATTTTAAAAATCACATTTTAACTTACTTTATATGAATGTGAATAAAAAAACAAAACAGTGCCTCAGAAGTAGACTCCGTCTCTACTAAAAATAAAAAAATGGGCCACGCGTGGTGGTGTATGCCTATGGTCCCAGCTGCTCAGGAGGCTGAGGTGGAAGAATCACCTGAGCCCAGGAAGTCAAGGCTGCAGTAAGCCGTGATCCAGCCACTGCACTCCAGCCTGGGAGTGACAGAAGTTGAGACCCTGTCTCAAAAAATTCAGGGAAGGACTGAATAGGAAGAAGTGTCCAGTGACTGTCTGTAATGATGTTTATGTGTATATTTGTATAGGGCTTTGGATTACCAAATTGGAAGCAATGATCAAAACTCATCCAAAAGTACACTTAAGATTCTTAAGTTTCACTGTATGTAAATTATACCTCAAAAAATTGAACGAATACTGAATTCTAATTAATGATAGATATACTGGGTTAGGCCCAATGGCTCATGCCTATAATCCCAACACTTTAGGAGGCCAAGGTGGACAGATCACCTGAGGTCAGGAGTTCAAGACCATCCTGGCCAACATGGCAAAACCCCATCTCTACTAAAAATACAAAAACTAGCCCAGCAAGGTGGTGGGTGCCTGTAGCCCCAGCTACTCTGGAGGCTGAAGCAGGAGAATCTCTTGAATCCAGGAGGTGGAAGTTGCAGTTAGCCAAGATCACACTACTCCAGCCTGAGCGACAAGACCAAGACTCTGTCAAAAAAAATTAGGCTGGGCACGGTGGCTCACGCCTGTAATCCCAGCACTTTGAGAGGCTGAGGTAGGTGGATCACCTGAGATCAGGAGTTCAAGACCAGCCTGGCCAATATGATGAACCCTCGTCTCTACTAAAAACACAAAAAATTAGCTGGGCGTGGTGGCGAGCGCCTGTAATCCCAGCTACTCAGGAGGCTAAGGCAGGAGAATCACTTGAACCTGGGAGGCAGTGGTTGCAGTGAGCCAAGATCATGCCACTGCACTCCAGCCTGGGCAACAAGAGCGAAACTCTGTCTCAAAAAAAAAATTTTTTTTTTAATTTAATTTAATTTAAAAATAAAAAAGATAGATATATTGCAGTTTATACAAGTAATGTGAACTAATGTTTTGAGCTTACTTTGAAATATCAGATGGACTGATGAATGGATACAGATATCTGCTGAGGCAAATATAGCACAATGTTTATTGTACCTGTATAATTTTTCAACTTTTATGTATTTGGAATTTTCCATAATAATGTTGGAGGAGGGGACGAAAACAGGCAGATCTGGCCATTGTGCTATGGCTCTGAGCATTCTCTACCCAAGTCCAGAGTCTTGCTGTAGCTACCTAGGACAGCAGGTTCTGAGAGACAATGTAGCAGATAGCCAAACCAGGCTCCCTGCAGGCAGACAAGCTGGTGAACCACTGCTCACCTGCCATAAGACCTATGACACTATGCTGCCATTAGATGGCACAAAGCAGGACAAGTTCTCCTATCAAAAGATAACTGCTCACAGACACTCCATCCTTGGAAAGAACCTAGGATCACAGGCCAGTATGAGATTGTCCTTGGGGAAGTAGTGGGAGTCATGGTCCAGTAAGAGACTGACCAAAAAATATCACCCAAATCAACAAGAAGTTCTTGCAGGCATGGCCTTTGGCTACTACTACCCAAACCTTAAACATCATTACCAATTCCTCAAAAACCTATGAGGCTGGAGGGCCTGTTTGTTTTCTTCTTACCAGCTCATAACGTACCCCATAACCACATGGCATACTCTGTTGCCAAAATGAATGTCAGCTGCCGTCCTGACAGACAAACAGGCTTCTTGTCCTGCAGTAAGAACCCAACATCAATTTTAAGGAGACTGAGTAGCAGCTGATGCCAGAGCAATGAAAAAGACACAGGAAAAGGACTACAACTCAGATGTGTACCAGGTAGCACTCGGGCTGCGTCCGTGTCCCATAAGGCACTGAAGTCACCTGAGCTGCTATGTTTCCCAGGGACTTTAAGCCGGCAGGGGCCCCAGGTTATAGATTATCCAGCTCCAGAATAACTACCTGGCCTGAGGCCCCTAACACAAACCTCTGCCTGAATCTATGCCACATACTACTAATACAGGTCCATTCCAGTCCAATCTTTGTAGGTGTCACTGTGATCCATCTAGCCTCCAATCCCTTTTTTTCTTCCTTTTTTTTTTTTTTGAGACAGAGTCTCACTCTGTCACCCAGGCTGGAGTACAGTGGTGCCATCTTGGCTCACTACAACCTCTGCCTGCTGGGTTCAAGTGATTCTTGTGCCTTGGCCTCCAGAGTAGTTGGGATTACAGGCACACGCCACCACGCCCAGCAAATTTTTGTATTTTTAGTAGAGATGGGGTTTTGCCATGTTGCCCAAGCTAGACTCGAACTCCTGGCCTCAAGTGATCTGCCTGCCTCAGCCTCCCAAAGTGCTGGGATTACAAACATGAGGCATGGTGCCCAGCCAAGCCTCCAATCCTTTATAAGCAATACAAAGTTTTAAAGCCCATTTTAACCACTCGATGTGTGGATATTACCTGGATCCTCATTCAAACAAACCATTAAGAAAAAAAAAAGAAAAGTAAGATACTGATGAACAACAGAAAACTTAAAACACTGACCAGATGACTAGATTACTGTTAATTGTCATAGGGACAAAAATAGCACTGTTGCCATATATATTTTAAAGTCCTTGAAATTTACAGATAACATGAGAGTTGAGTTTACAGATGAAATTTTATGTCTCGCATTTGCTTAAAAATAATAAAAAGACAGCCATGTGTTGATGGAAGTTTGTTACATTATCTACTTGTCTAAAGGCATGAATAACTCCACAAAAAAACTCTTTAAAAAAGAAACAAAAGCATCTAATGATTTATATTGTTTTAATTCGAGTCAAGTAAGATTTTTTAGAAGATAACACACAATGGCAAGAAAAAAACAAGCTAAGAGATTACAGGAAGCTAGAATGGTAAGGCAAACAGCTAGAAAGAAATACACTGTAACCTGGAATATGTAATGTAAAAAAAGTTAAGTAAACTCTCAGAGTAGTTACAAACAACATCTAGCTTCTTCTATAAATCTCTGGGTTTTCTGTCATTCAAAAAGACCCACGGATTATGATATGTTCAACACAAAGACATGTCTACATTTTCTACATTTTTGTTAGTGTATTTCTCTGAAAGCCAACAGTTAACATCAAATAATATACTCTAAATATTTTCAACTTTACTAAGTTACTACTGACTAGATTCAGCTAATATTTAGAAGAGCCATAGCACCATACCTTCCTTTCAAAATGCTTAAAAGGCCAGACGTGCATAAATATGCAGACACTAAATAAATATCCCTTAAATAATAACAATAGTGTGCTTTAATATTTTAATTGGATGGTTTTAAACCTGAGATATCCCTCTAGGAAGCTATTCCCTCAAATAATTAATTTTGTAGTTTAAAATGTTTTTCAATGTATTATTAGTGAATGTTTTCATTTATTAATACCATCATACTGACTGAAATTCTGCAAAAATTTATCTCCACCCTAAATTCAATTCAAAGCATGCCATGTTCCTATGTGATACTTATTTTCTGTGTTTAGGAATCAACTGGAAAAGTATCTTTGCCCATAAAAGCACGATCTTGGGCAAGTTACCAAACCTGGGGAAAAAAATTTTTTTTTAATTTTAAAAAATAAAATAAAACCATGATCTTACATCTATATAATACATCAATTTTCAAAATGTTTTCCTATATACTACCTTCAAATCAACCTCATGAAATAGGCAAAACAGATATTTCCCACAGATTACAAAGGAAAATGAAGGTCAGGGAAAAGTGGTTTCCCCAAGGTAACAAGGTTCATAAATTAGTGGTAATCAAACTAAACCACGGATTTTTTTGAGTCCTAGCAAATTAGCCAGGCATGGTGGTACATGCCTGTAATCCCAGCTACTTGGGAGGCTGAGGCAGGAGAATCACTTGAATCTGGGAGGTGGAGGTTGCAGTGAGCCAAGATTGCACCACTGCACTCCAGCCTAGGCGACAGAGTAAGACTCCGTCCCCAAAAAAAAAAAAAAAAAAAAAAAAAACAAAACAAGAAAGAAACTCATTTGGCTATATATGCTTGTGCATTTTCACTGCTTTAGGTATAATTAAGACGTATGCAAGATTATGCCACAGAGATGTCTATAATGTCTTGAGGGCAGTAAGACCAATACAGAAGAAACTAAGAGCAATAACAAAAAAAATTTTTTTTTGTAAATCTTACAGTGAATGTTATTTTTTAAACAGTTTAAAATACATATGGGGGTGTTAGTATCTGAGGTATAAAAACTCCTGAAAGACTGATGGGATTAGAAGAGAAAAGTCAAGCAAAAATAAAAGCCAGCATTGGTAAAATGGCAAGAAAATTAGAATACAGATAGCACATGTGGAAAACAAAACAAAGATCATTGTAGTTAAAACATTTCTGCTGGCAATAACGTCATTACATTAAGAAGTCAGGTCATAAAAAGATTTACATTGCAAGCTGAAACGTTAAGAGTTCTATACATCTTCAATCTGCAGACCAAACTGGGTCATCACTAGCCTGTTTTTATACTGCCTTAATCTAAAGATGGTTTTTACACTAAAGAATTGTGTGTGTGGGGTGGGGGGGGAAGAGGGGGTGAATTTCAAACAAGGATATGCAACAGAGAATACAGGTGGCCCACAAAGCCTACAATATTTACTATCTGGCCACTACAAGCAGTTTGCCAACCCCTGCCATAGGCAACAGAATAGCTGTAAATCCTGAATTAATGAGTATATAACTTAACTCTGCCACTCTACATGGCAATATGTTGTTACTAAAATAACTATCAATTTTCATTATTATTAAACTCAGCAGAAAATCGAAGTTAAAATGCTCCAAGAGTTTAAATACATAACCCGAATATTAATGTAAATGACATGACAGTATGCTATGAAAACTGAAAAATCCCCCTACAGAAACCATCCAAACCAGGAATGAAAATAAAAATTGATAATTCTTCTTATAACTTCTACCACTTTAGATTCAGATTCAATAAATAAATACTATCTGACAAGAAATACGCTGGGAATTTTCACAAGTTGGCCTAATTCAAAAAATCCTAGCATTTTTATACATAGGTATTATAGTTACTACCAATAGAAATTAAGGCTAAAAAGCTTCTTGCCCAAGGTTCACAACCTGCATAGTCCAAATCTGAGCTTTCAGCACAAGACCACTGTACTTTTATTATGTCTCCTGCATGTAGAAGACTGCAAGGGGAGGACAGGAATCATCTCCCTTTTTGTATCCCTAGGACCTAAGGACAGTTCCTGGCACACAGCAGGCTATTTTATTTATTTTTTTTTTTTGAGACGGAGTCTCGCTCTATCGCCCAAGCTGGAGTGCAGTGGCGCAATCTCGGCTCACTGCAAGCTCCACCACCCAGGTTCACGCCATTCTCCCACAGTAGGTAATTTATTAATAAATCTCTGCTTCAAAAATGAATCAATCATGAATGTTAACAAGGGAAAAGTGTACGTTATTGCATGGGTTTTCAAAGCAATCATTTTGTTTTGTTTTTAATCCAGTATAGAGATAATCAAATACTGGCATGCAATGCCTGATTTTACTCCTACACATAGACCATGCCTGTGGAGCATTAATAATAATGTCTTCTTTTTTTTTCTTTTTTTTTTTTTTGAGACAGTCTCACTCTGTTGCCCAGGCTGAAGTGCAGTGGCACAATCTCACTGTAACCTCCACCTCCCAGGTTCAAGCGATTCTCCCACCTCAGTCTCCCAAGTACCTGGGATTACAGGCACACACCACCATGCCTGGCTAATTTTTTTTTTTAATATATATATATTTTTAGTAGAGACAGAGTTTCGCCACGTTGGCCAGGCTGGTCTTGAACTCCTGGCCTCAACTGATCCATTCGCCTCAGCCTCCCAAACAGCTGGGATTACAAGCATGAGCCACTGCACTTGGCCAGTAGTAATGCTTTTACTTTTAGTCTTCAAACATATTAGGAAGGTTAACTTACAACTAGAAAACATAAACTATACATATTTCAAAATAAAATTATTTCTAAATTTTCTTCTCCATTGAATTATCTACTTACAGCAGTGTTCACCAGTCCACCTTCCGTTAACTTTATAATCAGAAGTTAATCCAACTTCCTTTAACTAGAAAACCATAATTTGCCCATGACATCACAAATGAGGACATACAGAAAATCACTATAGATTTTTTTTTTTTTTTTTTTGAGACAGTATCTCGCTTGGTCACCGAGGCTGGTGTGCAGTTGCATGATCATGACTTACTGCAGCCTTGAACTCCAGGGCTCAAGCAATGCTCCCACCTCAGCCTCCTGGGTAGCCGGGACTACAGATGTGTACCACCACGCCTGGCTAATTTTTAAATTTTTGGAGAGATGGGATCTCGCTTTGTTGCCTAGGTTGATCTCGAATTCCTGGCCTCAAGGGATCCTCCCACCTCCACCTCCCAAAGTGCTGGGATTACAGGGGAGCTACAGTGCCAAGATCACTACAGGTTTTTTTTTAAAGTAACTGTATGATACAAAAGAAATACATGGAAACTTTTTGTGAAATATTCTGGTTCTGAAAAAAATGACAAAAATTACTTCAGCAAATAAATACAAAGTGCTCCAATGCGAAATATTTTACTAGCATCTGGCATATTATGTGCTGTAACTTAATGATATACATATCTCCTCCACCAAACACACTGTAGAAGTCTATAAACACTAAAGTAATAGTCAAGAAATTTGTAAACCACATCTGTAGAAACTAATGATCTACTCTGTAAGTATGGTCTCTATGCATATCTATAAATAGTAATAACATTATTTGCTTACCACAGCTACCAATACAGATATACTTTATTGATGACTAAAATACAATTCGTATTGCCATCAGTTGTGTGATTGTATCCATGCCCTTTGCCCTGTAACTTGGTAGCCCCTCTCACTCTGATTCTGGGCTTGGAGCATGACTTTCTTTGGCAATAGGATGTTCAACTACAATGCAAGTATTAAGACAGAATTAAATTATATATGCAGAAGACCATACACAGATGTTTCCCACATATAAATGTCTGGAGGAACATTCATAGCATATGGCATGCAGGTTAATTCTGTTCAACACATTACAAGTCATTCATCATTCATGGTGCTTGCCTGCTTAAGCCAGCAACATCTTCCAATAGTGACAACAACCAAACATGCCCCACAGCTCACTAAAACTCCCTGGTGGGGATCAAAGATCCAAGGCTGCTGCCAAAGCCAATATACTTTCTGATCTTTTAATTTTGGAAATACTCATCTTCAGGCATGAACTCATTCATGCACAAGATGTATGATAGAGCCTTTTTAATCCAAAACTTATGTGACTGAATATGGCCCTTTCCAAACTATTAAAAGGTGACGAGAGAATATGGCAACTTATTTTGAAATGTAAACTTACGTTCTGGTACTATTCCCTATGCAAGTGATATTTACCATTTAAAGGTTTAAAAAAGATAAACTGATAATAGAACACTTGCACGTGAAATCCATAAAGATTTGGTTATAAAGCTGTACCAACTGTCCCACACTTCGTATCTTCATCACCCTCTACACACCTCTCAAAATTTTAAGAACACAGATACTGTTAATACTGTAAAGAACCAAACATACCTGTCCATTATTTTGGTTCTAAGATGTTCTTTGGTATACTATAAGAAGGTATGTTTGTCTTCCTTAACAAGCATTTACAAGGTTAGTATATTTCCTAGCAACCTATTGCAAGTTTCCCTTTTTCTTTTTGTACTGTTTGCTCCATCTTCAGTGACTTCCACTACCAGCTTAGGTTCTAGTTACCCTCAAAAACCAACAAATGTGTTATCTGTTCTGTCGGGTCTTCCCAATCCTCTCCTTTCCACCAAAATACTGATTCCCTTTTTCCATACTACTGCTGATACTTCTTATTCTTATCATTATTTATCTAATACCATGTTGCAATTATCTGTTATGTATCTGTCACACCAACTGTGAGCCCTTTGTCCACTAAGCCGGTGTAACACATCTATAACCACATCCCTAATACCCAGCACAGTGACAGTGATTGTCATGGTAAGTGCTTTGAGTGGTCTATCAACTTGCAAACCTCTTTGTAGGACTTAAGATTCATAAATACATTTCAGTCACTTATAACATTTACATTTTGCTTCTACTTTTTGATACAGTGAGTTCCTAAAAATTAACTAATTCTTTTTATATACTCTAAATTTACCATAATGCTATAGCCTTAAAAAATATTCCTTCAGAAATCCTGCCATACATGACAATAAGGATGAATCTTGAGGACATTACACTAAATATGCCAATCACAGAAGTACAAATATTGTGTAATTCCATTTATATGAGGTATCTAAAATAGTCAAACCCATAGAAGCAGAGAGTAGAATCGGGGCAACAGGGGCAGAAGATAAAATGAGGAGCTGTAATTCAACTGGTATAAAGTTTCAGTTATACAAGATGATTAATTTCTAGAGATCTGCTATACAGCACTATGTCTATAATTAACCATAGAATACTGCACATCTAAAAATTTGTTAAGAGGGTAGATCAATGTTCCCACCACAATTAAAAAAATATATACTCCTTCAATCTTGGTATTGTTTTGGACCAGTCTCCACCTAACCTTATCTCACATATTGTTATATTTTCACTTCTTCAATTGACTGCTGTTATCACAGTTTTGCTACTCTGTTTTTACCTACTGTCATATTTTTAATCTAAAGATAGAATAATATTCTTTATTTCTGATTCCATTCTAATTTCCAAAATTTTGCACACTAAGCCAACATTCTAAGAAAGTAACTTCAAGTGTGCAATGTTAAGTTAATCCTACTTGTAAACTTTACACAAGTAGTTCAAATTGTATTTTAATCAATATATATATTATTCTATGCTTACTCTTCATTAAAAGCCTCCTACCTTTTCATCCAGCTTTACATGTTCTTATAATGTACTCACATTAGTCTGGAATCTGAATACTCAAAATAATTTGTCATCGGCAAAATCTGGAGACTTCAAAATGTGCTCTCTTCTTTAAATAATTTAATATGAAATATTTAAAAATATTTCATAGCTGTGAATTTATATTTCCTCACTATTTTAGAACCAAAAGCAAGTGGACATCACAAGTAGGCAAACAATTTTAAGGTATTACTTTCAGAGTATTAGGAAGAAAGGCAGAGTGTAAAATGCTTGCATATATTTTCTAAGGGTCCAAGGAGAAGATTAAAACTAATAAAATTTTAATATTTAACTTACTTTATGTTTATTAAGGATATCAAAGATGCAACCAGAAGAGTACCACTAAAGTACTACTTATCCTTTCTAGAAAAGGAGACTTTTCTGTCAAATAATAATAGCTATTATTAATCAGCTTGGGTTAACTGGCTCATCCTTATTGCAGGATTATAAAAAAATGCCCACTCTCTTTGTTAATTTTATTAATTTTAAAAATATTAGAAAAATTTTAAAAACTTTTACTAATAGCAAAACACAGAGCTAAAAGCAAACAAGCAAACAGAATAGAATTACTGGAAGCCCATTAAAGGCAAGAAGAAAAAAAGCTTCCATCCAAATCTTTATACCATCTGGCTCCCCATGACACTTAGCTGCCACTGAGAACTACTAACCTCCTCCCTACTGAGCACCTGCTAAACATTACACATCACCTACACGTCCAAAGTTAAAAATTTACGAAAAATAGAGGACTTCAAGTGAAAGCTGATCACACAACACTCTAACAAGTTTAACACAACATCACAAAATGAATTCTCTTCCTCTTTTTTGACTTTTGAAGCGAAGACTAACAATAACTGTAATAATGGGTGTCCTCCGAAACGCCTTTTATATTCAAGACTGATGACTTTTAAATACACACATTTCACCTCAGATTTACGGTAAAGTGTTTATGTAGTAAACATTAATTCCAAATACATTATTAAATGAGTACATTTTAAAATATCTAAATATAAAATACAAAAATAACTTATTTAGACCGTGAAATTCAACGTTTTAAATAACTTATTAAATCTCATTAAAATGACTGCCAACAAAAAAGTCAAAAATTGCAAAAAAAAAAAAAAACCACTTACTTCATTTCCATGTTTTTGTAAGAATTCAATTTCCTGTTGTGTGAATGTTGTCATGGAGATAGATTTCACCCTGTGTGGTGGATTTAATCCTCGCCTAAAAGATAAAATATTTTACAAAATTTACTAGTACATACCACATTTTTAAAATGACACATCTAGTAATTCAAAATATTTCTAACCAACACACAAACTTGAAACAGTGTTTTCATTCCATAAACTCAAAGTATTTTTAAATTATTTTAAACTATTAAACTTAATAATAGATATTAAGGTTTGGTTAGACTCATTAAATAATAGACTTAACAATAAATTCAATTAACCACCTAGTTAAAAACACAAAGTAACTGTGACACATGAGTTTCTAGGAAATGCAAATAGTGCTTTAGTGTGTTTCTGATGAAAAGACTATACATATGAAGAACTCTATGAAAGAATTATTAAAATTCTTTAAATATTTCATATTTCCTAAGAAACAATGATATAATAAGACCAGAGCTATACAAATATCCTTATCAAACAGCTGTTAGCTTTAAATAAGCTTAAGACTAATTTAGAAAACTATATTACAAGTAATATCATGAATTGAGGTAATAAACCAATTAGTAAAGTCCTATCTTGCCATCAATTCAAGTAAGAATTTATAATAAAGAACATTTTCAGTCACCTCAAAAGACAGTGTGTACAAGAGGAAACTGCAGGGACATACGGAAGAGATTCAAAAAAATTGCTGCATGCATGATTTAACAATTTTTAAGGTCCTTTAGAACCCTGAAGCCTTTTCTGTATGGATGGCCTTAAAAGGACTTTACCTTGATGTTTGAACACGCACATGAAAAACCGAGTGGAAATGCACTCAAACAGATTTAATAACTATTTACATGTTGTCCAACTATCTTGTGGGCAGGTCCACCCACAAGAATAATGGCCCAATAATCTATGCAAAATACCAAGTAACCTACGCAAAGTTCCACAGAACTACTTTGGGGTCATGTTCTCTGACAAAGGTCTCATTTGAACTCTAGGTTCTACAGCAATTACTGCAGTAATTTTTTTTTTTTTTTTTGAGACGGAGTCTCGCTCTGTCGCCCAGGCTGGAGTGCAGTGGCGCAGTCTCGGCTCACTGCAAGCTCCACCTCCCGGGTTCACGCCATTCTCCTGCCTCAGTCTCCTGAGTAGCTGGGACTACAGGTACCCGCCACCACGTCCGGCTAATTTTTTGTATTTTTAGTAGAGACAGGGTTTCACCGTGTTAGCCAGGATGTTCTCAATCTCCTGACCTCGTGATCCACCTGCCTCGGCCTCCCAAAGTGCTGGGATTACAGGCGTGAGCGACCACGCCCGGCCAACTGCAGTAATATTTTTAAAGAATTTGTCAGTCAATTTGTAATCATTCACACTAATTAAATAGGATATTTAACAATGATATAAAATAATAAATGTACCAGAAGTTTTTAAAAAATATTTTGGGAACATTTTGAATAATTAAATATGGTGCGTAACATTCTAGAAATTCACGGTATTTTTGGGCTGGGTGCTGTGGTTCACATCTGTAACCCCAGCACTTTGGGGGGCCGAGACGACGAGCTCACCTGAGGTCAGGAGTTCAAGACCAGCCTGGGCAACATGGCAAAACCCTGTCTTTACTAAAAATACAAAAATAAGCTGGGCGTGGTGGCATGCACCTGTAATCTCAGCTACTCGGGAGGCTGAGGCATGAAAATTGCTTGAACCCAGGAGGCAGAGGTTGCAGTGAGCCAAGATCGTGCCACTGCACTCCATCCTGGAAAACAGAGCAAGATTCTGTCTCAAAAAAAAAAAAAAGTATTTTTGCTTGTCAAAACACAAAGGAGAAGCTCCTCAATTCACTGCTTCTTTTTCTCCCTCCCCCTTGTCACAGATAAATGTCATCTTTCAGATCATGATCTGAATTAAGACAAGTTACACTTCATTTGTTTCGAATTTCAAAGTAGGGAAAAGTTAACTTGGGTTTGGTTGTTGTTTTGTTTTGCTTTAAATTTTATA